>NC_000006.12:34605454-34908484 GCF_000001405.40 Homo sapiens
CTGTCTCTACTAAAAATACAAAACATTAGCCAGGCATGGTGGTGGGCACCTGTAATCCCAGCTACTCAGGAGGCTGAGGTAGGAGAATTTCTTGAGCCCGGGAGGTGGAGGTTGCAGTCAGCCGAGATTGTGTCACTACACTCCAGCCTGGGTGACAGAGCAAGACTCCATCTTGGAACAAATAAAAAGTAAAAATAAAATAAAACTACTGGTCAGAAAAATATCATTCTTACAACATAGTCACTTGCCCCTCAAATAAACATAAACTTTATTTTTAAAATTTAAGGTGAACGCCAACATGAATTGAAGCCAGGACAGACCTAACAGTTTATGTGGTAATATGGGTAGGATGCTAGGCTTAATATGCAGCATTATTATTCAGAGAAGAATACACAGGAATGCTTACAGGACTCCACCACTTGAACCACCTACAACAATGAACTCCCAGCATCAGGGCTTTATTCAACCAACCAAAACCAACAACCAGGCACCATCATCACCTTAGCAAACTGTGGAAGACACTGTTTAATCAATTGGCATAGAAGAAAACAGATCAAGAAATCAAACACCTAGAAAAGTGCCTCACAACAATCAGAATATTTAAAATCACAGTTAACTCAACAAACAACTCTCACTTATTCACCACATTTGAAAAGTCAAAATATCACTGGGGCCTCTCTGGGTCATGGATAAGGAAGTCGATGGGCCATAAGGACTGAAAAGACATCAACAAGACATGCAAACAGGGTAAATAAAGCAAAGCCCAACAACAATATTTAGAATAAATAATTGAGCAACATTGTTTCTTTTTTTAAAATACTAAAGGTAAAGAACTTCACTCTTTCAACACCCAAACCATAGCAGAGAGACAGGAGTAAATTATAAATGTGGATGAAGCAACATCCACAGGACATGAAGATGGGGCTGGGGAAACGGGAGAAGGGGTAAGCTTTTGCATTGTTGCTATTGGCAGGAGAGCTGAGCAGTCTTAAAGAACCTCCTCTGGGGAGCGGCAGTCTAGGATTCTAGGTTTGCCATGAAGGGGTATCACAAGTCCCAAGGCCCACCACCTACCCCTTCTCTTCTCCAAGGGCACCTACCTTACTGTAAGTCACTACTGATAAGTTGTTTGCGTGACTGCTGGGAGACAGATTTACAGAGTTCTGTGACAGTCTATTCTGGTCTTGCTCAGTTTGGTCAGGAGCAGGAGCCCATGTGTCAGGAGCAGGAGCCCATGTGTTTTTGCTGATCGAGTCGAACTCGGAGCCCCCAGGGTCTTTTAAGTTGTTTTCATCTGATTGTCGGTTCTTTTGGGGAGAGGCAAAAGGGTTGAAGTTTCCTTCTACCTTACGATGCGGCTGTGTGTTGAACTCCGTTTCAAAAGATGACAGCTGCTGCGTTACTCCTAAAAGTCCACCCACCTCCACACTGAGAATCACCCAGATGACATCTGAAACAAAAAGGTAACTCATTTCAATGCCAGGCTTACCCTTAAAGGCCCAAGATAGCCACCACCAAAAACCCCAAACATTATCCAAACCACAGAATGAAACATTCTTCTATATGCTAGTTTTAAAAGCTTGCTAACAAAGCTGCCTGGTACATTTGCATTGCATGCATAGCTACATTTTTGGTAATGTCAAATTCAAATTCTAGTATAAATTCAGCAGAGGTCTGTGGTGAGATCCATGAAACTCTATTTATAAAAAGCTTACCAGTTGATGCCAATGCACCGTCATCTTTGGAAATCATTATTCCAGAGAACGATCAATAGATAGAAATCAAAAGTTTCCTAGAATTGGTATCTCTTTGTGGTTTTTCACTTTATTTTACATGTATTTTACAATTATGAGAATTACAACTTTATCAATGCTCTTCCCTTTGGGGGCAATTTAGAATGACCATATGTTGTCCAAACTAGGACAAATGAGAGTGAAAGAGGGACCTATTAATAATTACGCCAGGACCAGCATTTATCTAGACAAAATGGAAGATACTATCACCCTGGCTATCTTCTCAATCTATTTGACCAAAAGACACCAAGAATTTGGCATGCCTCAGACTTTCTAAAATACCCAATTTAACACCTGCTTTGCTTTTCTGTCATACAGTCATGCATTGCTTAATGAAGAAGATATGTTCTGAGAAATGTATCATTAGGCAATTTATCACTGTGTGAACATCATAGAGTGTACAAAACCTAGATAGTAGAGCCTACTACACACCTAGGCTATATGGTATAGCCTATTGCTCTTAGGCTACAAATCTCTATAGCATGTTACTGTACTGTTACTTTATTGAATACTGTAGGCAACTGTAATACAACAGTAAGTATATGTGTATCTAAACGTATCTAAGGCCAGGCCAGATTTCATGTCTGTAATCCTGGGCATTCTGGGAGGTCTAGGCAAGAGGATCACTTCAGACCAAGAGTTTGAGACCGTCCTGGGTGACACAGGGAGACTCTGTCTCTACCAAAAACTTAAAAATTAGCTGGCCGTGGTGGTGCTCGCCTGTAGTCCCAGCTACTTGGGGGACAGAGGTGGGAGGATCGCTTGAGCCCAGGAGGTAGAGGCTGCAGTGAGCTGTGATTACACCAATGCACTCCAGCTCAGGCAACACAGCACCACCCTGTCTTAAAAAAAAAAAAAAATTACAGCCGTGGGTGGTGGCTCATGCCTGTAATCCCAACACTCTGGGAGGCTGAGGCAGGAAGATCACTTGAGGTCAGAAGTTCGAGACCAGCCTGGCCAACATAGTGAAACCCCATCTCTACTGAAAATTAAAAAACTAGCTGGGCATAGTGGCGGGTGCCTATAATCCCGGCTACTCAGGAGGCTGAGGCAGGAGAATTGCTTGAGCCTGGGAGGTGGAGCCGAGATTGTGCCACTGCACTCTAGCCTAGTTGACACAGCAAGACTCCATCTCAAAAAAAAATTAAAAAATTAAAAAAAATAGCTAAACATAGAATAGTAAAATATATGATATGAAAGATAAAAAATGATGTACCTGCCTAGGGAACTTACCATGGAGCTTTCAAGCCTGGAAGTTGATCTGGGTGAGTCAGTGAGTGAATGTGGACATTACTAAATACTATGTAGACTTCATAAACACTGTGCAGTTAGGTTACACCAAATTCATTAAAAAACAAACTACAATGTTATGGAAGCTACAGTGTCACTAGGTAACAGGAATTTTTCAGCTCCATTATAACTTTATGGGACCACCATCACTGACCAAAACATCATTATACAGTACAAGACTATAGAGGGAAACTCTACCACCTATCCACAATTAAACCATAAATGTATTTTTAAATAGATGTACCATAGGACATTTGGTCATAGTTCAGCTCTTGATTTGCTCAAGTGCCAAAGCTAAGGGTTCAAATAAAAAAAGAAAGTAGCGGTTCCTGAACCTTTGATGTTCAGCACCTCACTCCAGAGAACAGTGACACGTACATTCCTGTTGGAAGGTTTTCAAAAAGCAAAATACAGAAAGGCCAAGAAGCTTTTAACTGTGTGAACCGTACTGAACACAAATACGAAGAACTGTCTAGGATCCTAAATAACTGTTGAAAGGTTGATAGAAAAAGGCAAATGCATTCCATCAGTTAGCTACCTAGAAATAGAGATAATATAATCCTAGAACAAACACTAAAAACAAGCAGTGAAGGAAACTAAGGAAAACTCTCTCAGGCTGTGTTTATTCTAAATTTTTAATTTGGGCTGTATATCAAAAGAAGGCAGCCTGGCTGGGCACGGTGGCTCATGCCTGTAATCCCAACACTTTGGGAGGCCGAGGTGGGTGGATCACTTGAGGTCAGGAGTTCGAGACTAGCCTGGCCAACATGGCAAAAACCCTGTCTCTACTAAAAATACAAAAATTAGCTGGATGTGGTGGTGCACGCCTGTAGTCTTGGCTACTTAGGAGGCTAAGATGGGATAATTGCTTGAACCTGGGAGGCGGAGGTTGTAGTGAGCTGAGATCGTGCCCCTGCACTCCAGCCTGGATGACAGAGTAAGAGCCTATCTCAAAAAAAAAAGGTGGGGTGGAATCTTAAAGTATCATACAACCATAAAAACTTAGAGGTTTGGAAGCTGTATTAAGAACTGGTTGTATCCAAACAGCCAGCCTGGATGACAGAGTGAGAGCCTATCTCCAAAAAAAAGGGAATCTTAAAGTATTATACAACCATAAAAACTTAAGAGGTTTGGGAGCTGTATTAAGAACTGGTTGTATCCAAACAGCTAAGAGTCAGGCCCTAGTAAGTGGAGATGCAGTGACATCTGCTGTTCACTCCTGGAATTAGCAATTTCTTTCTCCTCTAAGAAGAGGAAATTAAAGCCACCAGCAGCAGCACTAGTATGACTCACAGGAATGTACATTCATTCCAGATACACTTATCATCAAAGAAAATATGGCCGGGTGTGGTGGCTCATGCCTGTAATCCCAGCACTTTGGGAGGCCGAGGCAGGTGGATCACGAGGTCAGGAGATCGAGACCATCCTGGCTAACACGGTGAAACCCCGTCTCTACTAAAATTACAAAAAAAAATTAGCCAGGCATGGTGGCGGGCTCCTATAGTCCCAGCCACTCGAGAGGCTGAGGCAGGAGAATGGCATGAACCCGGGAGGCAGAGCTTGCAGTGAGCTGAAATCACGCCACTGCACTCCAGCCTGGGCGACTGAGCAAGACTCCGTCTCAAAAAAAAAAAGAAAAAGAAAAAGAAAAAAAAGAAAAGAAAATATAAATCCCCATGTAAACTAGCAACATAAAAGTTAAACCTCTTGACTTAACACCACACATGTAGTGTGCCACTTCCCTTGAAAATCTGGGACAGTGCCAGGAATAGTGGGTCAGAGGACCTGTGTTCAAAGCTCAATCTCATAAATCAATCCAATGAAGTGGGACAATCCAATAGCAGGCAGCCTGAGGGAGAATCATTCCATGCTCTCCTATCCTAGCTTTCTAACACAAGACAGCATTCCTTCACTCTACTATTTGTTTTTCCCAAACAGATAAGCCCTGTCTTACAATACAGGCTGAGTATTCCTAATTTGAAAATCCAAAACTTTTTGACCACCAATCTGACACTCAAAAGAAAATCTCATTGAATCATTTCAGATTTTGAATTTTTGGATTAGGGATGATGAACTGATATAATGCAAATATTCAAAAATCCAAAAAAATGTAAAATCTGAAACACTTCTGGTCTCAAGCATTTCAGATAAGGGATACTCAACCTGTAGTTTTACTCCTCCTTGTCTACCACCCATCTGTTTTAAAAATAAATTCTTTTGTAAGTACATGATAGATTTGGCACACAGCTACTAAGCTACAGGTCATATGCTTCATTCTTAGCTCAGGAAACTAAATGCTTATGAGAAAGCTATTCTGAAAGCTGTTATCCATAAATAAGACTAATAACCTACCACCACCCCTTTTCTCCCTTTAGAACTAAAGCATCTTTAGGCTGGGTGCAGTGGCTAGCACCTGTAATTCCAGCACTCTGGGTGGTTGAGGAACGAGGATCACTTGAGCCCAGGAGTTTGAGACCATTCTGGGCAACACAGTGAGACTTCTTTCCCCCTCCCCCTCCCCCTCTCCTTCCCTCTCCTTTCCTTTCTTTCTTTCTTTCTGATGTCTTTTTTTTTTTTTTTAATTAAATTTTTAGTAGAGATGAGGTCTCACTATGTTGCCCAGGTTGGCAAACTCCTGGGCTCAAGCGATCCTCCTGGTTCAGCCTCTCCAAGTATTGGGATTACAGGCATAAGCCACTGCACTGGCCAAAAATGTCCTTAGTATGACTCACCAGAACTTATCATACTTAAGCCACCTCCCCATCTCTTTGCGTTGGCTATTGCTCAGCTCTGTACATAGATTCTACATAGTAGCTATAAAAGGAAAGTCATTTGAGAAGCCACTGATTTATAAACACCAACAATAAATATCAGTTCTGACCCTCCTAAGTTACTGCTGCAATGGGTCATCATGAACAGCAAAATACAACTTCTACGTGGTACAATCTCAATCATCTTGTACCACTTCTAGACCTTATATTCCAGAATGCGTTCACCCCCTGCCTACTGTATTACTTTAATCAAACAAATGAAAAAGTAAAGAAAAGGTAAAGATGGCCTAATAAGCTTGTTTCATAGACAATGACCATTCCCAATTCTTACCAGAATGCCTTGATCACTGAGATAAGAACTAGCTGCTAGCCAGATACTTTACCATCTGTTATAATAAAACCACAAGTGGAAGAGATCATCCAATGAAACTGCTTCGTTTTCTAGATTTAAAAAATCTGAAGTCTAGAGGTAAAAGTGATGAGCTCAAGGTCATAATTTAAGTTAAAGCAGACTGAGAACACCCAGCTTTTAGTATAGCTTTAAAAACTCACACCTAACAGGAACATAGGAACCCAAATACCCAGGGAACTAAAGCTATGGTTAAGTCAGTCCCATTTCCCAAGCCATAGTATCTTTACCCACAGGTCTTTGGCACCTGTGATCTTTGGCACCAACAGGAAGAATGGACCACAAATGTCCCAGAGAAGTAGCCAAGGAGGTAGAATCATGTGCCATGAGAACACAATGAGGACTTAGTAAGCAAATGGAGACCCTGATTCTAAAATGTCTGGCCTTAAGGAGATTTTCTTTTAAAGCACCTGAGGCCAGTCACAGCCACTCACATCTGTAATCCCAGCACTTTGGGAAGCCAATGTGAGCAGACTGCTTGAACTCAGGAGTTTGCGACCAGCCTATGGCAACACCAGCCTAGGCAACAACGGTGAAACACTGTTTCCACAAAAAATACAAAAATTAGCCAGGCATGGTGGCACACGCTTGTAGACCCAGCTACTTGGGAGGCTGAGGTGGGAGGATAGCCTGAGCCTAGGAGGTCGAGGTTGTACCACTGTGCTTCAGCCTGGGCAACAGTGAGACCCTGTCTCAAAAAATAATAATAATAAAAATAAAAAGCACCGGAGACAGAACATTAGAGCTAGAAAGTACTGTAAATGTTATCTCATTCAACTTGTCCCTTTACAGATGACAAAACCTCATTATTATAGTATAAACTTCCTTTTGTAGAAATACATCATAAATTACTAAAGAGAAAACATAGCTTTCCTATTTCTTAATCTTGGACGATAAGTATAAAAGAGGCCAGGTACAGCAGCTCATGCCTGTAATGCCAGCACTTTGGGAGGCCAAAGCAGGTGGATCACTTAAGGTCAGGAGTTCCAGATCAGCCTGGGCAACATGGTGAAACCCCATCCCTACTAAAAATACAAAAATTTGGCTGGGTGCAGTGGCTCACGCCTGCAATCCCAGCATTTTGGGAGGCCAAGGCGGGCGGATCATGAGGTCAGGAGATCAAGACCATCCTGGCTAACACGGTGAAACCCCATCTCTACTAAAAATACAAAAAAATTAGCCGGGCATGGTGGTGGGCACCTGTAGTCCCAGCTACTCAGGAGGCTGAGGCAGGAGAATGGCGTGAACCCGGGAGGCGGAGCTTGCAGTGAGCCGAGATTGCGCCACTGCACTCCAGCCTGGGCAACAGTGCGAGACTCCGTCTCAAGGAAAAAAAAAAAAAAATTTGTTACATGTGGTGGTGTGCACCTGTAGTCTCAGCTACCTAGCATGCTGAGGCATGAGAATCACTGGAACCTAAGAGGAGGTGGAGGTTGCAGTGAGCCGAGATCGCATCACTGCACTCTGGCCTGGGTGACAGAGTGAGACCCTGTCTCAAAAACAACAACAACAACAACAACAACAACAACAAAAAACCAAAGCCAATCAAACAAATTTTTAGAATAAGTGTAAGAGAATAAAAGGAAAATGTTTAAGTTGGAGCTCACATCCATAATCTCAACGATTCATACTGACATACAAAGACATCACAGATTATGGTCAGATAAAAAATGTCTGCATACATGTAAAAGCTAGCATCAGAGGTCAAATCACATCATAATCAGCATATACACATCTACAATTTCTCCAGTAAAATAAAATAGTAAAAATCAGTGCAACATTCCCAACTGGTAAATCTGTTTCTGATGGGATATAATTCTGAAACTGCTGTCAGTGTATACTGGGGCTGAACAAATAAGTAAACGGATGTTATATAGTGGGAACAAGGTTCCTCACTTTTGAAGATATTATAGATAAGCAAGAAAGGAAGGCATTCTAAAAATGAATGCTGTGGTACTGAATTAAAGTCAGAGATGTCAATATAAGTTCCTGGTTATAATAGATGAAGAAATACGGAATCAGTTGTAGATACGTCCATATACAAAAGTTGGTGTGCATACATGTATTATCTAGCTCTGTTTGCCAAGAAGGACTAGAATTTATGACACCCCAGTAGCAATGAACATACCCAGTGCCCAGATTTTGGTTTCTATATAGGATTCTCCAGTAAAAAGTACAAGAGCTCCTTGGATAAATGGCTGATTCTGCGGCTAGGGCATGGAAAATACAAGATGAATCTGAAACATCCTATAGTAGCAGAAAGAAAGTGGTCAAAGAACAAAAGGATAAGGGCATGTCACAGGGACATATAAACCAACCAGAAAGAACTTCCACTGGCCAAAGCTGGAACAATTCGAGCAACATAATAAATAACATAGTTTTAAGTCACAATCCAAAGTATAAAATAAACATACATGAATCCTGGCTGGGTGCGGTGGCTCACGCCTATAATCCTTGCACCGTGGGAGGCCAAGGCAGGTGGATCGCCAGGTCAGGAGATCGAGACCATCCTGGCTAAAACGGTGAAATCCCGTCACTACTAAATATACAAAAAATTAGCCGGGCATGGTGGCGGGCACCTGTAGTCCCAGCTACTCGGGAGGCTGAGGCAGGAGAATGGCGTGAACCCAGGAAGCAGAGCTTGTAGTGAGCAGAGGCCACGCCACTGCACTCCAGCCTGGGCGACAGAGCAAGACTCCATCTCAAAAAATAATAAAAAAAAAAAAATATATATATATAAAATGTATATTATATATTTTTTATATATTATTATATATATTATATTTTATATATATATATATATTCATGGATCCACAGTGCTATACATATAAGTGGGAGAGAAGAGACAAACTTCCTAACAGAGGAATTCCAAACAATATATGTAGATACTCCCTGTTTCCAAGAGGTAGAACTTAATTCTATACATCTCCCATTCCCTCCTTGAGAGTGGGCTAGCCTTGTGATTCGCTTCCAAAAAATTGTATAGGGAGAAGGAAAAACAGTAACTCTACAATAGAAAAACCTGGCAAACATACTACTTAACCAAGTGATCAAGGTTAGCATCACCAATGATATTAGATGAATATCAAGTACCCTTGATAGGGTGCTTTACCTCTGTGGTATTCTTTCTAAACCCCGTAACATCAGTGTAATCATGAGGAAAACATCAGACAAGCTCAGATTACATGTCATTCTATAGGATACTTGCCAGTATTCCTTAAGACAGTCAAGGGTCATGAAAAACACTGAAAGACTGAGAAATTGTCACTGACTAGAAGAGATTGGGGCACATGACAACTAAGTGTAATGTGGTAGCCTAGATTGGATTCTGGAATAGAAACAGGTCATTAGTGAAAAAAATTGGTGAAATCCAAATAAAGTCTGGAGTTTAATTAATAGTAATATACCAATGTTGATGTCTTTAACAAGTGTACTATGATAATGTAAGGTGATAACAATAGGAAAAACTGGGTATATAAGAACTCTATATTTGCAACTTTTCTGTAAACCTAATTATTACAAAACATACACTAAAATACATTGGTACAGTATTAGAAAATCATATTTCAGAAATTAACAGGTAAAACTGCAACAGAGGCCAGGCATGGTGGCTCACACCTGTAGTCCCAGAACTTTGGGAGGCTGAGGTGGGTGGATCACCTAAGGTCAGGAGTTCAAGACCAGCCCGGCCAACATGGTGAAACCTTGTCTCTACTAAAAATGCAAAAATTAGCCAGGCATGGTGGCACACACCTGTAATCCCAGCTACTGGGGAGGCTGGGGCAGGAGAATCACTTGAACCTGGGAGGGGCAGGTTGCAGTGAGCCGAGATCATGCCACTACACTCCAGCCTGGGACACAGAGCGAGACTCCATCTTAAACAAAAACAAAAACAAAAACTGCAATAGAGCTGATGCAGACCACTTTCTATGGAGAGAATTGACTAGCAAAAGAGAGTGTTTTGATATCAAGCGAGGGGTAGAACAAGGTTGTAGCAGGGCAAAAAGGGAACCATCATGCGCCCAAGTCCTTTAGAAGCCTCAAAAACACCGTTTTATCAGCTGAAGACAGAAGCCAGTCCTATCTGCAGGGAAACGCTCCCTTTCCCAGTAGAGCATTACAGATCAGTTAACAGTCTTCAAACTAGGGTTACATCAATGACTGTACAACCGAACCACCATCATCTTGATGTGGATGTTGGGCTGAGGCTGCTTGACTAATCCCAGAGTCTGCTTTTGACCAGCAGTTGTAAAGAGAAACCACTTAAGCCAAACAATAAACTGCTTCATCAATAGGCTTCCACTTGGTTCTGGGCTTCCCAAGGGGAAAGGTCAGGGGACTTGGGAAGGGACCACTTCAAAAATCTAACGTACATGGACACCTCCCAGTGGTTAAAGGTATAGCTGAGACTAAACTCTTGGATGCTTCTGATCTTTAGAGCAACCACCACTCCTTGTGCCTGGGAGTTGTGAGACATGAATGCCCTGGCATCAGGAGGCAAAGCCTGGTGAAGGTCAACAGGAAGATTATGGTGGAGGCCACTTCCAGATTTGAAGGTTGTGGGTTCAAATCCTTTAGGAAGATCAACCCATCTTCAAAGCAGAACAGGAACTTCACACTTCCCCTAAGGATTAAGAAACAAAAGGGGTCTGGCTGCAGTCAGCTGCTGAGCTATAAGCTACAGGCTCATATTTCATCTCTATAGAAAAGCTGGGTGTGTACTGTCTAGCTTCAGTGAGAAAGGCTTGAAAGTGGACTGAAACATGCCCCAACAGTAGGCAGTGCAAAAGTCAGTATTATGCTCTTTTCAGGCTGGAACCATGGAGGGTGTCGAAGAGAAGAAGGTTCCTGCTGTGCCAGAAACCCTTAAGAAAAAGCGAAGGAATTTTGCAGAGCTGAAGATCAATCGCCTGAGAAAGAAGTTTGCCCAAAAGGTGCTTTGAAAGGCAAGGAGGAAGCTTATCTATCACAAGGAATATAAGCAGATGCACAGAACTGAAATTCAAATGGCAAGGATGGCAAGAAAAACTAGCAACTTCTATGTACCTGCAGAACTCAAATTGGCATTTATCATTAGGATCAGAGGTATCAATGGTGTGAACCCAAAGGTCTGAAAGGTGTTGCAGCTTCTTTGCCTTCATCAAATCTTTAATGGAACTTTTGTGAAGCTCAACAAGGCTTCAATTAACATGCTGAGGATTGTAGAACCATATATTGCATAGGAGTACCCAAATCTGAAGTCAGTAAATGAACTAATCTACAAGCATGGTTATGGCAAAATCAATAAGAAGTGAGTTGCTCTGACAGACAACACTTTGATTGCTCGACCTCTTGGTAAATATGGCATCACCTGCATGGAGGATCTGATCATGAGATCTATACTGTTGGAAAATGCTTCAAAGAAGCAAATAACTTCCTGTGGCCCTTCAAATTATCTTCTGCATTAAGTGGAATGAAGAAAAAACTACACATTTTGTAGAAGGTGGAGATGGTGGCAACAGGGTGGACCAGATCAACACGCTTAATAGAAGAATGAACTAAGGCGTCTATCATGATTATTTTTCTAATCTAGTCAGTTAATAAACAGTATGCGCTCTCAAATTGAAAAAAAAAGTCAGTATTATGAGCAGGTCTTGACATCTTTGTGCGTGTCTCTTAGAACTGCTAAGGCAGCAGTGTGTGCATACCATTGTGAAAAGAAGGAACTTCCAGTTGTCCCGGTGCTGATCTGTCTAGTCTCAACTTCTAGTCTGCACTGCCACATAATTTACTCAGCACAGTAGCCACGCTCCCCTGACACATGTCTGGGCACTCAGATTCTTTCACCACATCTGTCAACATGCCACCTACGCCTCAGCACCTAAAGGGGAAAAGGCTAGAGATAGGCTCCAGTTCATCAGCTTCTCAGTGACCTCCTGATTTCCGAGGCTTAGACCCCACCAGCAGCAGAGTACCGCTGAAGGACAACCTCCACTGAAACTCCGCATCCCTACCCATTCTCACTCCCTACCACCTCTTACCTCAAATGTGCATTAGAAACTTGTTCCTTAGTATTTAGCATTATACCCAGGAATTTCCTTTTAAAATGCAAATGCCCCTCAAAAAACGTATTAAGCTACCTTAAATCTAATCATCAGAGTAACAAATCAGATCAACCAATGGGCACAAGTTCACGCAGGAAAGAAGAGAAGCCTAAGAAAGGCACTGATAGGAGAACTGAAGAGGAAACAACAAAGAAACTATTCCTATTTCACAATTTTTCCACATTATGCCCTATTTCAAAAATATGAGATTTTCCCTTAAACATGGGGAGGGAGCAGTACAGCAATCATTTAATCACTTATTTCTCTCAAATCTTAGGAAACAAGGATCCTTGCTTCCCAAATCCAGGAAATCAGTGCCATGGAATTAAGAGTAAAAACCTGGCTGGGGCTGAAAAATGAAAATCTGTTCAGAATGAAAAAGGAAAAAGCAACTCTCCCATAATTGGACTGGGAGGACAGACACAGATAAAGACAAGTACAAAGTTAAGAGGAAATATTATTTCTCCCAAGGTCATGCAGCAGCAGTAAAATGTCCTAATGACCCTCTCTTTGTGTGGCTACTGCCTTCGTACCAATAATGCTTCCAGACCTAGTTTGCTATAGCCATCTATTACTGAGAATACCCAATTGCTAAACTGCCCTTGCTTCATGTCAACACCTAAACCCTAATTATTCCTGTTTCACCTAATCCTGTCTCAGAAACAGCAACCAATCCAGAACTGACCCCTGTCCTACCAAGCATCCCTTAAAGCTTCCTCAGAATCCTTTAGCTAGAACCCAAGCCCTACAAAAGATGCTTCCCTCCTCCTTCCTGTTCCATGGCATTCCACAGTTCCTCTGAAGTGCCTTCACTCACTGCATCACGTCAATAATCTGATTTTGTCAGGCTACAGGCTTGTTCCTGGTGATCTTTGAACCTAGATGCCTTCCTCTCTTCCTCCCCCTCATTCCAGCTCATAGATGCAGAGACCCCATCACCCTTTTCCTTACAGTCTTCCCTCTTTCATGACTGCCCTCCTCTGAAATGGGCCCACCTGGCTCAGCCATCAGCTGATACCATAAGGAAGGAGAAGAGATGTATTCATTCAATACCAAGGGCATCAGAAAAGATAGAGAAGGAACAGCCCTGACAATAAAGGAAAACCGGGAGTCTATGGTGCTCTAGAAGCCTAGTGACGAGTGTTTCAAGAGGACAGAGGACAGAGTCACCAGCTGAGTCCAGTGCTGCTAATAAGTCAGTAGAGTACTAAGGACAAACCATTGGATGTAGCAACACAAAGGTCACTGGAGAGCTTGAAAAAAGCAGTCAGTTTCAGCGGAGTAATGGGGATAGACAGCTACATAGAATTTGTGAGAGTAAGAGATCAGGAGGTGGAGACAATTATTATTGGTACATTTGCGAAGAAGTTTTGCTACAATGGAGGGCAGAGAGATGAGGAAGAAGCTAGAAGAGGAGAATTAAGAATACTGCATTATTTGTTAACAGCAAGAAATTTAAAACAACTCAAATGTTCATCAGTAGGTACACAGAATATATATATATATAGAAGGATCTTCATTTCTTCTGTATCACAGAAGAAATGAAGATTTCCATTAACTTGTTTTTGAGACAGAGAGTCTCACTCTGTCACTCAGGCTGGATGAAGTGCAGTGGCATAATCATGGCTCACTGCAGCCTTGACCTCCTGGGCTCAAGTGATCCTCCCCCCTCAACCTCTTGAGTAGCTGGGACTACACGCAGGCACTTGCCACCATGCCTGACTATTTACTTTTTGTAGAAATGGGGTCTCCCTTTGTTGCCCAGGCTGGTCTTCAACTCCTGGGCTGAAGTGATCCTCCTGCCTCAGCCTTACAAAGTGCGGGGAAGACAGGCATGAGCCACCACATCTGGCCTCTATTACCTTTTAAGAGTGCTCTCTAGGATATACATATTAAGTGAAAAAAAGTGGCCAGGCACAGTGGCTCACGCCTGTAATACTTTGGGAGGCTGAGGCGGGTGGATCACCTGAGGTCAGGAGCTCAAGATCAGCCTGGCCAACATGGTGAAACCCCGTCTCTACTAAAAATACAAAAATTAGTCGAGCATGGTGGTGCAGGCCCGTAGTCCCAGCTACTTGGGAGGCTGAGGCAGGAGAATCGTTTGAATCTGGGAGGCAGAGGTTGCAGTGAGCCAAGATTGCACCACTGCACTCCAGCCTGGGTGACAGAGCAAGACTCTGTCTCCAAAAAAAAAAAAAAAAAAGCTAAGATGCAGATCAATATCTGTAGTTATAAGATTGTCTTAGAAAAGGGGCAAATTTATATACATTTGCTAGTGTTTGCTAAAAGAAAAAAACAATGAATAAAAATGAGTACCCTATAGCAGGAGGATGGGACTAGCTGAAGGGGGCAGGGATGGATATATATTATATCCATCTAAATATATTACGTAAATAAGTTTTGACTTAGGAATCACAAAATGTTTCACATATTCAAAAAATAAAATTAGGTCAAGGTGAGACACCGTAAAAATGGAGATAAGGAAATTCCCTAGGATGGTGACTGGCACAAGGCAGGTGCTCAATAAGGAGCAAATTATTAATGCAAAAGTACTTAGCACCATAAGTAGCATTAAAAAACTGCTTACTGTGTTGCCCTGTTGGAAGTTGGAGTCACTGTTAAGGGTAACGTCTGAGGATCGGGTATGTCTAATTTAACCTGGAGAACTATAACAATGACAGCAAATTGAAGGCAGAAAATACCTCCTTACTAAGATGTGTTAACATTTAATATTGCTAATTTAAATATAAATTATTGCAGAGCACAGTGGTTCATGCCTGTAGCCTCCAGCCTCCCAGGAGGCTAAGGTAGAAGGATCACTTGAGCCCACAAGTGTAGCAACACAGCTACACTCCAACTCTACAAAAAAAATTTAAAAATTAGCTGGGCATCATGGCACATGCCTGCAGTCCCAGCTACTCAGGAGGCTGAGGTGGGAGGACTACTTGAGCCCTTACGTTTGAGGCTGCAGTAAGCTACGATTGTGCCGCTGCACTCCAGCCTGGATGATAAAGTGAGACCCTGTCTCAAAAATAATAATACATTTTAAAATAATGATAAATTATGTTGATAACATCTGCCTTTGATAAGACCGGACACTAACTTGTTAATGGACACCATCTTTGGTAGGGAAGACATACACAACAAAACAGTAACTGTTTTAAAATCCATAACACTACTTTATAGGAGTCTGCTCTGCAGACCAACCACCTCCATCAAGATCATGTGGTTTCTGTGTTAAAAATACATATTCCTTAGCCACTATCTGCAAAGAACTAAAACAGGTTTCATATACAGAATCTAAGAGTTTACAACGACACTTACAAAAAGGGGGAAATCAAACCAAATATTTAATTCTTCTTCTTCATTAATTTCATTGAAAGCAACAAGAGCATCACCTTCTTACTCTAACAACTGAAAATTAAAGGTAAAGAATTAAGCATTTAACCAGCCTTTTTGGTAGAAATTAAATTTCAAGATAAGTCACTGTTGATGAACAAAAGGATTCCCCCACTTCAAAAGAATTCCAGCTAATAAAAGTAGAAGGAATCGCTACTTTGTAACTTCTAATGAAATGATTTAGGCAATCATCACAAATTGATGAAACAATTATGCAAAATATCGATTGCAGAGATCCCTCTGCAATGGAGGGATCAGGCTGTTACCACCTGAATCCTTTAATCTTAGCATCACTAAGGCTAAAAAATTTTGAACAGTGAAAATAATTTTGAAAAAGAAGACTAACTTATTCCTGATGTCAAAACTTATCACAAAGTGGCCCGGCATGGTGGCTCATGCCTGTAATCCCAGCACTTTGGGTGGCCGAGGCAGGCAGATCACTTGAGATTAGGAGTTCGAGACCAGCCTGGCTAAACATGGTGAAACCCCCGTCTCTACTAAAAATACAAAAAATTAGCCAGGCATGGTGGCGTACCCCTGTGGTCCCAGGTACTCAGGAGGCTGGGGCAGGAGAATCACTTGAACCCAGGGGGGCAGAGGTTGCAGTGAGCCAAGATCGTGCCACTGCACTCCAGCCTGATGACAGAGCAAGACTCCAGCTCAAAAAAAAAACTAGTGTGGTACTGGCAGAAAGACAGACATATTAAGACCAATGGAATAGAAGAAACTGCCCAGAAACAAACCTTGTGTATATGGTCAAATGATTTCAACAACGGTGCCAAAACAATTCAATGGTGAAAGGACAGTCTTCTCAAAAAACGATGCTGAGAAAACTGCATATCCACGTGCAAAAGAATGAAGTTGGACCCTTACCTTATGCCATATACAAAAATTAACTCAAAATGGATCAAAGACCTAACCATATGAGCTAAAACTATAAAACTCCTAGAAAAAAGCTTAGGGAAAAGCTTTATCACATTGGATTTGGCAATGGTTTCTTGGACATGACACCAAAAGCTAATAAATTAGACATCAAAATTAAAAACTGTGCACCAAATGACACAATCAACAGAGTAAAAGGCTACCCATGGAATGAGAGAAAATATGTACAGATCATATATGTCATAAGGGGTTAATATCTCAAATATATAAAGAACTCCTACAACTCAACAGAAAACACAACCTGATTTCAAAATGGGCAAAGGACTTGAATACACATTTCTATAAAAATACAAATGTCCAATTAGCACTTAAAAAGATACTCAACATTACTAATCACCGGGGAAATGCAAATCAAACCACAATGAGATACCACCTCACACTTATGATGGCTACTACTAAAAAAAAAAAAATCCTTAGTTGCCCTTGGTGAAAGCTTTTGCTTCCTAGAGACATCAGAAAATGCCAAATGTTGGTGAGGATGTGGAGAAATTAGAACGCTTGTGTGCTGTTAGGAATGTAAATGGTGCAGCTGCTTTGTAAAACAATACGATTCCACAAAAAATTGAATATAGAATTGACAAATGATCCAGTAACTCTACCTCTAGGTATATAAACTAAAGATCTGAAAACAGGGTCTCAAAGAGATATTTGTACACCCATGTTCATTCATAGCAGCATTACTCACAATAGCCAAAAGGCGGAAGTAACCCAAGTGTCCAGTAAAAGATCAATGAACAAAATGTAGTATATATATACACCAAAATATTATTCAGCCTTTAAAAGGAAGGAAATTCTGATACATGCTATAATATGGATGAACCTTGATAATGTTAAGTGAAATAAAGTAGTCCCAAATGGACAGATACTATATAATTCCACGTATGTGAGGTACCTAAGGTAGTCAAAATCAGAGACAGTAGAATGGCGGTTTCCAATGGCTGGGGTGAAGGGGAATGGAGAATTATTAATGGGTACAGAGTTTCAGTTTTGCAAGATGAAAGGAATTCTAGAGGTGAATAGTGGTGATGCCTGTGAATATACTTATTGCCAGTGAACTGTACACTTAAAAATGGTTACAATAAATTGTATGTGTTATTTTACCACAATTAATCAAAACAAAAACAAAAACATCAGAGGCCTACTGATTCTGTTATTTGTTGAAGGCCAATCAGTAATTTATTATGTGGCAGAATTAGAAGTCAGATCTTTTTTACTCCTGGTCTAGTGCTTATTGATGACATCTTGCAACAATCCCACCCCACCCCTGGTCAGTTTTGAGAGTTCCACTAATCAGAAAATAACTAATACTCATGGAGAAAACACTTCCTGGCAGAAAAGATGGAAATATTATCCTAATAATTTAAACTTCTATAGCCTACGAAAAAAAGCATAATCTGAGTGGGTAATAGCACTACCACAAAAAAACGTAATATAGCATGAAACTACACTTAAGAACTTAAATTACTAATTTAAATTTCAAAGTACAATTGTGTTTAAGGATATGCAGGAAATCAAAATGATAGCTACAGTACATTAAGAGGCAAATCTATACAGCTGGCATAAAATCATTTTGGCATTAATGTTGAAAAGCACTTAAATATAACATTGGATAAAAAGGCTTAAAATTTAAATATTGTCCATTTTATATGCAAATAGGAAGACAAATGGCTGGTATTCTTACTCCTCCAATACTTCTTTTTCTTTTTGTTTTTTTGAGTCTCACTCTGTTGCCCAGGCTGGAGTGCAGTGTCACAATCTCGGCTCACCGCAACCTCTGCCTCCTGGGTTCAAGCGATTCTCGTGCCTCAGCCTCCCAAGTAGCTGGGAGCACAGGTGCCTGTCACCACGCCCAGCTAATTTTTGTATTTTTAGTAGAGACAGGGTTTCACCATGTTGGCCAGGCTGGTCTTGAACTCCTGACCTCAAGTGTTTGGCCCACCTTGGCCTCCCAAAGTGCTGGGATTACAGGTATGAGCCACCATGCCCAGCCTCCTTCACCAATTCTGGTGAATTTACCAACCAGTATAATTGGGACATACTTGGTACATCTTGATATCTGTGAGATTTTCATCAAAGGGTAAAATTTAGAATAAGATATTGAAGAAATACTTCCAAGTATTTATTAATTCTATAACTAGAAAGTCAAATTCTAGACTACCAACTAATTACCTAATTTATTTTTTTATTTTTTTATTTTTTTTGATGAAGTTTCACTCTTCTTGCCCAGGCTGGAGCACAATAGTGTGATGTCGGCTGACTGCAACCTCCACCTCCCGGGTTCAAGCAATTCTCCTGCCTTAGCCTCCCAAGTAGCTGGGATTGCAGGCATGCACCACCACACCTGGCTAATTTTGTTTTTTTGTTTTTTTTTTAGTAAAGATGGGGTTTCACCATGTTCACCAGGCTGATCTCGAACTCCTGACCTCAGGTGATCCACCTGCCTGGGCCTCCCAAAGTGCTGGGATTACAGGTGTGAGCCACCATGCCCAGCCACCTAATTCAACTTTAAATTCCAAACATTTAAAAACAACAACCACCCATTCCTCTGGTACATCTTCCAAGGTGAGCTTTAACTTCTACAGAGCTAATGTGTTAGTTTTGAACAATTAAGAACAAAATAAGATATACGCCTCATTGGTCTTTTAAAAGAAACTCAAACCCTATTTTGGATACAATTATGAACAAAAAGTATAAAACATCATTACTGATGGTAACTAGTTACTCTTGGTGAAAGCTTTTGCTTCCGAGAGATCTTAGATAATACATTGTGTTAACTCTGCTCTCTCTTCCCTCTCCTCCTGAAAGAGGATGGGCTTTAGTTTCTGGCTTCAAGGAAACTGCTCCCCATCAATATCACAAACCTAGCTGGACCAGTGCAAGAACCAGCAGAACAAATAACATAGTAACCTCTCCCCATCAACATTCTCTCCAAAGAGAACTACACTAGCTCTTTAGTCATCAAATTCACTGACAGAAGTCGGAGTTGAATATAGCAACAAAGCAGAACTTCCTTAATGTTTCTTCTTTTTCCCTCCTCCCCCCTTCCCCTCTTTTTTTCCTATTTCTTCCTACTATCTTCTTCATTTCTTTGGTCTTATCCAGCTTTACCAAGCATCCCTTCCTTCTCATCTCCACCACACGCCCTTCATGGGCCAAGGTATTTTCCTAGCTCAAATGTGAGCACAGAGCTCTGGGGGCATTAATTCAGCACCAAACTGAGTAGGTCTATCAACATCTCTCATAGGGGTACTTAGAACTCCCTCATGGCCATCTGGACATCTCAATCCTACAAAAGGCAGTCAAACCACTCGCCCACATCTGATGTGCAGAGTAGACACATGTTCTCTTGGTCAGACATGCTGAAGTTGTACACCTTGATCTGTGATGGTTAGCTACTCAACTCTCTTACAGATGACCAGTGGGTGCTAATCTTCATCAAAAAGTACTGTAATCTCCAATCTATCTCCCATTCTTTCCCACAGAATGCCCAAAGTGTACTAGTCATGCTTAACCAGAGTTTATGCTTTTGCCCACCTTCTTTCAGTTTAGAAATGAAGTACCTTCTCCCAATCGCCAAACATGAATTTAATTTAGTTAAAAGACTAAATTTGGTAAAGTTTCCCATATTTGAGAAAGTCCTTCCAGCCTATCCTACCTCAAAGGTTATTATTTCTTACTGTTCATTATTTTTTCTTATTGAAAGGCTTTTTTTTTTTTTTTTTTTTGAGATAGCGAGTCTCGCTCTGTCGCTCAGGCTGGAGTGCAGTGGCACGATCTTGGCTCACTGCAACCTCTGCTTCCCAGGTTCATGCCATACTCCTGCCTCAGCCTCCCGAGTAGCTGGGACTACAGGCACCCGCCACCACGCCCGGCTAATTTTTTGTATTTTTAGTAGGGACGGGGTTTCACCATGTTAGCTAGGATGGTCTCGATCTCCTGACCCCATGATCCGCCTGGGTCGGCCTCCCGAAATGCTGGGATTACAGGTGTGAGCCACTGCACCCGGCCAGGAGGCATTTTTTAACAGATTCCTTTTTTTCTCTTTTCCAAGACAGGGTCTCTCTTTGTTGCCCAGGCTGGAGTGCAATGGTGCTATCACAGCTCACTGTAGTCTTGACCTTCTGAGCTCAAACAATCTTCCCACATTTGCCCGCAAAGTAGCTAGGACTACAGGTGCATGTCACCATGCTCAGCTAATTTTTAAATTTTTTTGTAGAGATGGGGGTCTTCCAATATATTGCCCAGGCTGGTCTCAAACTCCTAGGCCTCAAGCAGTCCTCCTGCCTCAGCCTCTCAAAGGGCTGGAATTACAGGCATGAGCCGCTTTGCCCGATCGTATTTTATTTTTTTATAGCAGTTTTAGGTTCACAGCAAAACCAAGAGATATTTCCCCCACATATGCACAACCTGCCTATCAACATACTGCACCACAGTGGTATTATTTGTTACAATCGATGAACCAACACTGACACACCATTATCACCAAAAGTCAATAGTTTATGTTAGGATTCACTCTATGTCGTACATTCTACGGGTTTGGACAAATGTACAATGACATGTATCCCCCATTATATTAATATATCAGGCGGGGTGTGATGGCTCACGCCTGTAATCCTAGCACTTTAGAGGCCGAGGTGGGCGGATCACGAGGTCAGGAGTTCCAGACCATCCTGACCAACATGGTGAAACCCCATCTCTACTAAAAATACAAAAATAAGCCAGGCATGGTGGTGCGCACTTGTAATCCCAGCTACTCGGGAGGCTGAGAAAGGGGAATTGCTTGAACCTGGGAGGCAGAGGTTGCAGTGAGCCGAGATCATGCCACTGCACTCCAGCCTGGGCAACAGAGCGAAACTCCATCTCAAAAAAAAAAAATGGTATTCAGAATACTTTCACTGCCCTAAAAATCTGTATTCTGCCTATTCATCTCTCCCTGCCCCCAGTTCTGACAACCACTGATGCTTTTACTGTCTCCGTAGTTTTATCTTTTCCAAAATGTCATAGAGTTGGAATCCAACAGTATGTAGCCTTTTCAGATCAGCTTCTTTCACTTGGTAATATGCATTTAAGGTCCTTCCATGTGCCTTAATGGCTCATTTCTTTTTAGTGCTGAGTTATACTCCATTGTCTAGGTGTACCACACTTTATTTGTCCACTCACCAACTAAAGGTCTTCTTCACTGCATCCAAATTTTGGCAATTATAGATAAAGTTGCTATAAACATCTGTGTGCAGGCTTTTGTGTGAATGTAAGTTTTCAACATCTTTGGGTAAATACCAAGGAGCACAGCTGCTGATGGGAGGGTAAGAGAATGTGGCTGTACCATTTTGCATTCTCACCAGCAGTGAATGAGAATTCCTGTTGCTCCACATTCCTACCAGTATTTGGTATTGTTGGCGTTTGGGATTATGGCCATCTTAATAGGTATATAGTGATATCTCATAGTTGTTTTAACTTGTAATGTCCTGAAAACATATAACGGTGAATATCTTCTCGTAAGTTTTTATATGCCATGCCATCTGTGCATTTTCTTTGGTGAGATATCTGTTCAGGTCTTTGGCCCTTTTTTTTTTTTTTTTGAGACAGAGTTTCGCTCTTGTAGCCCAGGCTGGAGTGCAATGGCGTGATCTCGGCTCACCACAACCTCCGCCTCCCTGGTTCAAGCTATTCTCCTTCCTCAGCCTCCCGAGTAGCTAGGATTACAGACATGCACCACCATACCCGGCTAATTTTTGTATTTTTAGTAGAGACAGGGTTTCGCCATGTCAGCCAGGCTGGACTTGAATTCCTGAACTCAAGTGATCCACCCGCCTCAGTCCCCGAAGTACTGGGATTACAGGCATGAGCCACCGCCCCTGGGCCTGCATACACTTTTTTCTTTTTTGAGATGGAGTCTCACTCCAAATATTGTTTCTGTCACTCAGGTTGGAGTGCAGTGGCACAATCTCAACTCACTGCAACCTCCACCTGCCGGGTTCAAACGATTCTCCTGCCTCAGCCTCCCAAGTAGCTGGGACTACAGGCACACACCACTGTGCCCCGCTAATTTTTGTATTTTTAGTAGAGACGAGGTTTCACCATGTTGGCCAGGCTGGTCTTGAACTCCTGACCTCAGGTGATCCACCCACCTCAGCCAGCTAAAGTGTTGAGATTACAGCCATGAGTCACTGAGCCTAGCCTTTTTACACTTTTTTTTTTTTGAGACGGAGTCTCACTCTGTCACCCAGGCTGGAGTGCAGTGGCATGATCTCGGCTCACTGCAACCTCCGCCTCCCAGGTTCACGCCATTCTCCTGCCTCAGCCTCCTGAGTAGCTGGGACTACTCCAGCTGCACTCACCTGCCACCACGCCTGGCTAATTTTTTGTAATTTTAGTAGACACGGGGTTTCACCGTGTTAGCCAAGATGGTCTCCATCTCCTGACCTCATGATCCGCCCGCCTCGGCCTCCCAAAGTGCTGGGATTACAGGTGTGAGCCACCACGCCCGGCCCACCTTTTTACACATTTTTGAAATTCAATCTGCTAATATTTTGTTGAGGATATGTGCATCTAAGTTCATGAGAAATAGTTTTATAATTTTCCTGTAATCTTTGTCTGGTTTGGGTATTAGGGTAACGTTGGCCTCACAGAAGGAGTTAGGAAGTATTCCATTTGCTTCTATCTTCTGAAGGAAATTGTAGAGAATTAGTATAGGCTGGGTGTGGTGGCTCACACCTGTAATCCCAGGACTTTGGGAGGCCAAGACAGGAAGACTGCTTGACCCAAGAGTTCAAGACCAGCCTGGACAATATGGCGGAATGCTGTCTCTACCAAAAGAAAACTAGCCAGGTGTGGTGACACATGCCTGTAGTCCCAGCTACTTGGGAGGCTGAGGTGAGGATCATTTGTGCCTGGGAGACAGAGGTTGCAGTGACCTGAGATCACTGCATACCAGCCTGGGCAACAGAGCAAGACTCTGTTTCAAAAAGAATATAAAAAGAGAATGAGTATAATTCTTCATTAATTCTTGGTAGAATTCACCAGAAAACTCATTTGGACCTGGTGCTTTCTGTTGCAGAAGTTTATTAATTATTGATCCAATTTCTTTCACAGACAAAAGCCTATTCAAGTTGTCTATTTTTCTTGAGCAAGCTATGACAAACTGTGTACTTCAAGGAATTATTCCATGATATCTAGGTTATCAAGTTTGTGGGCACAGAGTTGCTTGTAATATTTCTTAATTATCCTATGTTGGCCATGTGGTCTTGAACTCCTAAGCTCAAGTGATCCTTCTGCCTCAGACTCCCAAAGTGCTGGGATTATAGGTGTGAACCACTGTGCCTAGCCTCAATATTTAAAATATTTAATTCCACTCTCTTCTTGATTGCATTTCTGAGGAGAAATCATATGTAATTCCTACTGTTGCTCCTCCATAGGTAAGATATTTTTTCCCTTTGGCTTCTTTCAAGATTTTTCTTTATCTTTGATTTTCTGCAGTTTGAGTAGATATGCTAGATGTCATTTTCTGGGCATTATCCTGTTTGGTGTTCTCTGAGCTTCCTGGATCTGTGATTTGATGTCTGACATTAATTTGGAGAAATTTTCAGCCGTATTGTTTCAAATATTGTTTCTGTTCCTTTCTCTATTCTCCTTCTGTTATTCCCATTATGTGTGTATGTTACGCCTTTTGTAGTTGTCCCACAGCTCATGGATACAGGAGTCCTTCCTTATCCATGGAAAATAAGTTCCGAGACTCCCAATGGATGCCTGAAAGTATGGAAAGTACTAAATCCCATATATACTATGTTCTTCCCTATATATACATACCTATGATAAATTCTGACTTATAAATTAGGCCCAGTAAGAGGTTAACAATAACTGATAATAAAATAGAACAATTTCAACAGTATGCTAGTATCACTACTCTTGCATTTTGGGGCCATTATTAAGTAAAATAGGGGTTACTTCGACACAAGCACTGCAATATCCCAACAGTCGATCTGATAACCAAGATGGCTACTAAGTGACTAACAAGTGAATAGTGCATACACGTGGATATGCTAGACAAAGGGATGATTCATATCCTGGGCAAGATGGAACGCTCCTGAGAATGGAATGCAATTTAAAACTTAAGAACTGTTTATTTCTGGAATTTTCCATCTGATATTTTCAGACTGTGTTTGACTATGGGTAACTGAAACCATGGAAAGTGAAACTTTCCTATCCACCAGATAGGGTGATGGGGAGGCTACTGTATTCTGGGCTTCTTTTGTTTTGTTTTTGAAACAGAGTCTCACTCTGTCGCCAGTCCGGAGTGCAGTGGTGTGATCTCGGCTCACTGCAACCTCCGCCTCCTGGGTTCAAACGATTCTCCTGTCTCAGCCTCCCGAGTAGCTGGGTCTACAGGCACGTACCACCATACCCAGCTAATTTTTGTATTTTTAATAGAGATGGGGTTGCACCATGTTGGCCAGGATGGCTTCGATCTCTTGACCTCGTGATCCGCCCGCCTTGGCCTCCCAAAGTGCTGGGATTATGGCGTGAGCCACACCGCCTGGCCCTGGGTTTGTTTTTTTAAGCAATGAGGTCTCACTATGTTGCCCAGGCTGGACTTGAACTCCTGGGCTCAAGGAATGTTCCTGCCTCAGCCTCCCAAATAACTGGGACTACACGCACACATCACTGTACCTGGCTTGTTCTATTTTTATTCAGCCTTTTCTCTCTTTTTCAGTTTTGGAATTTCTACTGACATATCCACAAGCTCAGAGATTATTTCCTCAGTTGTGTCCAGTCACTAACAAGCTCATCAAAGTCATTTTTCATTTCTGTTAATGTTTATCTCTAGCATTTTGATTCTTTCTTAGAATTTCCATCTCCCTGCTTACATTATCCATCTGTTCTTTCATGTTGTCTACTTTTTCCATTGAAGAACTTAGCATACTATTTATAGTTTTTAAAAAAATTCCTGGCCTAATAATTCCAACACGCCTGCCAAAACTGATTCTGATGCTATTCAATTTCTCCAAACTGTGTTTCTTGCTTTTTAGTATACCCTGCTGAAAGGTAGACAGGATGTACTGGCTAAAAGAAACTGTAGTAAAGAAGCCAGTAGTAATGTAATGGTAAGGTGTGATTAGGTTTCAGTCTTTTGGTGAACCTACACTCCTGGACTATGAACTTCACCAGTGTTTCTCAGTCCCCCATTCCCCTCTTTTTTTTTTTTTTAAGACAGGGACTCACTCTGTCACCCAGGCTGGAGGGCAGTGGCGCGATCTCGGCTCACCGCAACCTCCGCCTCCTGGGTTCAAGCCATTCTCATGCCTCAGCCTTTCGAGTAGCAGGAATTACAGGCATGTACCACCACGCCCGGCTAATTTTTGTATTTTTTGATATACACAGAGTTTCACCAAGTTGGCCAGGCTGGTCTCAAACACCTGACCTCAAGTGATCTACGCACCTCAGCCTCCCAAAGTGCTGGGATTACAGGAGTGAGCCACCATGCACAGCCTAATACATTTTATTATTTGCTCACTATTTATATATCTTGCACTATCCCAGCAAAAAGAAGTATCTACTCAGAGAAACAGAAAGAACATTAGTGGCTGCCAGGGGCTGCAGGAAGGGAGGAAAGGGGAGCCATGCTTAACAGGTATGAGGTTTCCTTTTGGGGTTATAAAATACATTGGAATCAAATACAGATAATGGTTGCACAACACCATAAATTTACTAAGTACACTAAACTGCATGCTTTAAAATGATTTATTATGTGGATTTTACCTCAATTAAAAAAAAATCCATAATAGTTTATAGTTTAGTTAATACTAATCTAGTGGAATGGTATGAATTACTGAAAACTGTGTTTTTAAAAGTATTTAATGTTAAGGGGAAGAAGTTCTAAAACATTAGTGAATGGGAGAAAAAAGTAGGTTACATAAGAATAGGTAGCACAATACCATATTTAAACAACAAAAAAGTTTTTTGCTTTTAATACATGGATTTTAAAAAACTATGTGGAAATGCATACATTAACAGTGTTTAGGCTGGGCGTGGTGGCTCACACCTGTAATCCCAGCACTTTGGAAGGCTGAGGCGGGTAGATCACTTGAGGTTAGGAGTTTGAGACCAGCCTGGCCAACATGGAGAAACCCCGTCTCTACTCAAAATACAAAAATTAGTTAAGCGTGGTGGCACACGCCTATAGTCCTAGCTACTAGAGAGGCTGAGGCAAGAGAATAGCGTGAACCTGGGAGGCGGAGGTTGCAGTGAGCCAAGATCACACCACTGCACTCCAGCCTGGGCGACAGAGCAAGACTCCATCTCAAAATAAAAAAAAATAAGTGTTTATATTTGGATGGCAGAACAAATGTTTCCTTTTCTCTTTAGACTTTATTTTCTATAATAAATCATGTATTTCTTTTTATCAGAGCAAATAATTTTTTTTTTTTTTTTTTGAGATGGAGTCTCGCTCTGTCACCCAGGCTGCCTCCTGGGTTCATGCCATTCTCCTGCCTCAGCCTCCCGAGTAGCTGGGACTACAGGCACCAACTAACACACCCGGCTAATTTTTTTTTTTTTTGTATTTTTAGTAGAGACGGGGTTTCACCATGTTAGCCAGGATGGTCTCGATCTCCTGACCTTGTTATCTGTCTGCCTCAGCCTCCCAAAGTGTTGGGATTACAGGCGTGAGCCACCACGCCCGGCCAGAGCAAATACATTTTTAAAACAATTTAATCACAAGTAACCAATAAGTTTAGCAATGTAACTGATTTAAGTCTTCAACTAAGAGAACAAAACATATAATAAAGTGGTAAAACTAAATTCAAACATTTCAATAATTATATTAAATGTGAATAGTCTAAACACACCAATTAGAAAACACAGATTGTTAGAATGGAGGAAAAAAGATCCAACTACATGCTATCTATAAGAAACTCCAAATAAAATGATACATGCAGGTTGAAAGCTAAAAGATAAAGACCTTGTAAACACTAGTCAAAAGGAAGTTAAAGTGGCTATACTAGTATCAAAGTAGTCTTCAGAGCAAAGAAAATTATCAGGGAAGAAAAGGGATATTACACATTAATAAATGGGTAATTCACCTAAAAGATAATGCTAATATGTTATGTACCTAACAACAGAGCTTCAAAATACATGAATTAAAAACTGATAACTGAAAGGAGAAAAAAAGTAACAACACAAATCCACAATTGTAGTTGGACCTTTCAACACTCCCTTCTCAGTAACAGATAGAACTAGTAAACAACAACAAAAATCAACAGATATAAAGGAATTGAACAACAAAATCAACCAACTGGATCGAACTGACATTTATAGAACACTCAACTCAGCAAAATACACATGCTTTTGAAGTACGCATGGAATATTCACCAAGATAGACAACATCTCCTGGGTCATAAACACCTTAATAAATTAAACAAAAAATCAAATCAGCCAGTGTGGTAGCTCAAGTCTGTAATCCCAGCACTTTGGGAGGCCAAGGTGGGAGGACTCCTTGAAGCCAGTAGTTTGAGACCAACCTGGGAAACAAAATAAGACCCTGTCTCTACAAAAAATAAAAAGTAAAAAACAAGACAGGCATGGTGGTGTGCGCCTGTAGTCCCAGCTACTTGGGAAGCTGGGCAGAGTGAGACCCTGTCAGAAATGGAAAGGGAAAGAAAAGAAAGGAAAGGAAAAAGAAAAAAGAGAATAGGAAGAGAGGGGAGGGGAGAGGAGGGGAGGGGAGGGAGACATGGAGGGAGAGAGGGAGGGAGGGAGGGAGGGAGGGAGGGAGGGAGGGAGGGAATGAAATCATACAAAGGATATTCTCTGACCACAATGGAATTAAACTAGAAACTATTAACAAAGCTGGGAGCACATGCCTGTAATCCTAGCACTTTGGGAGGCAGAGGCAAAAAGATCACTTGAGCCGAGGAATGAGACCAGCCTGGACAAGCTAGCAAGACTCCATCTCTACAAAGTAAAAATAAAAATTAAAAATGTATTTTAAAAAAGAAACTAACATTGAACAAGATAAAAATTTCCAAACGTTTGAAAATTAAACACCACACTTCTGCATAATCTATAGGTCAAACAGGAAGTCTCAAGGGAAATTAGAAGATATTTTGAACTGAATGAAAATAAAAATACATTTCTGCATTCACTGCAGTGTCTAAAAATTTAAAAAAAAATACATTTCAGAAGTTGTGGGATTCAACTAAAAGCAACACTTAGAGGAAAATTTATAGTACTAAACACATATTATAAATGAAGAAAGGTCTCAAAGCAATAATCTCAGTTTCCACCTTAAGAAACTAGAAAATAAATCAAGAAGGAATTAATAAAATTAAGAGCAGAAATCCATAAAATTGAACACAGAATAGAGAAAAACCAATGAAACCAGAAGCTGATTCTTTTCAAAGA
Organism: Homo sapiens; assembly: GCF_000001405.40. Classification (NCBI taxonomy): domain Eukaryota; kingdom Metazoa; phylum Chordata; class Mammalia; order Primates; family Hominidae; genus Homo; species Homo sapiens. Next base: position 34,634,541 of record NC_000006.12, read on the forward strand.
CCAATAAAATTGGGAAATCTATCAAAAGAAAGAAAAAGAGAAGAGACACAAAATATCAAGAATGAAAGAAGGGATTATCATCAAACATAGATGTTAAAAGGATAATAAGAGGATACTACAAACAACTCTATGAACATAAATTCAACTTAGATGAAAAGGACCAACTCCTTGAAATTTTCCCACATCACTCAAGATGAAATAGATTACCTTAATAGACCTATAACTATGAAAATAAGTTGAACTAGTAATTGAAAACCTAAACACCTCCAGGTTTGAATGGTTTTGCTGGAAATTCTTTAGTAGAAGAATAACACCAATTCTATAAAATTTCTTACAGAAAAAAAATGGTACAACGTATCAGACAGCATCCACAGAGCTGCACTGTCCAAAAGAGCTGGTGGCCACCAGCCATATGGTGGCTATTGAGTACTTGGGATGTAGCTAGAGTCACATGTTGAAAAAATATTTTGGCTATATTCAGTTAAATAAAATGTATTATTAAATATTTTTTAAAGTCCTCAAATAAGGCTGTCAGAAATAAAATTCACTTTCACAATCACTTCTGATTTCTAAATATATAAGAGAAATCATGAAAATAAAACGTAAAAATGACTGAAATCTACTGAGCCAAAACCAAACCCACTTTAGAATTAAATTGCTTTCAAGATCATGTCAAAACAAACTATAAGCAAAACTCTTAGAAATCTGGCTGGGCACAGTGGCTCACGTCTGTAATCCCAGCACTCTGGGAGGCCGAGGCAGGTGGACTGCATGAGTCTAGGAGTTTGAGACCACCCTGGGCAACATAGCAAAACCCCGTCTCTAATCAAAATGCACATTAGCGGGGTGTAATGACGCGTGCCTGTAATCCCAGCTACTTGAGAGGTTGAGGTGGGAGAATCACCTGAGCCTGGGATGTCAAGGCTACAGTGAGCCAGGATCGTGCCACTGCACTCCTCCAGCCTGGGCAACCAGAGTGAGACCCTGTCTGAAAAAAAGAAAGAAAGGAAGGAAGGAAGGAAGGAAGGGAGGGAGGGAGGGAGGGAGGGAGGAAAAGAAACTCTTAGAAAGCTTTTTTTTTTTTTTTTTTTTGAGACACAGTCTTGCTCTGTTGCCCAGGCTACAATGCAATGGCGCGATTTCGCCTCACTGCAACCTCTGCCTCCTGGCCTCCTGGGTTCAAGTGATTCTCCTGTATCGGCCTCCCAAGTAGCTGGGATTACAGGTACCTGCCATCATGCTCAGCTAATTTTTATATTTTTGTAGAGGTGGGGTTTCACCATGTTGGACAGGCTGGTCTTGAACTCCTGACCTCTGGTGATCCACGCGCCTCAGCCTCCCAAAGTGCTGGGATTACAGGTGTGAGTCACCACGCTGGGCCTGGAAATCTTAAGAAGAAACTGGAAGGGCATTAGTTACTACAAAGAGAAATCCAGACTGGACGTACTGGTTCACATCTGTATTCCCAGCACTTCGGGAGGCGAAGAGGAAGAATTGCTTGAGGCCAGGAATTATAGACCAACCCTGGCAATGCAGTGAGACCCCAGCTCCACAAAAAAGGTTTTAAAAATATTAGCCAGGTAGGTAGTCCCAGCTACTTGTGAGACTGAGGTGGGAGGACTGCTTGAGCCCAAGAGTTCAAGGCTACAGTGAGCTATGATCCTGACACTGTCCAGCCTGGATGATAGAGTGAGACACTCTATATCAAAATAAATAAATAAATTAAATTAAATTAAAATCCAGAGGCCAGTAGGCTCACAACATTCTTTCTCGGGGCTGAATGTCCAACACTGACATTCCCTTTGTAAATAAAGGAAAGTATAAGCTCTTTAACAATAAAAGGAGAAAAATAAAAAGCTAAAGAAAGATTTTTTTTCAAAATAAAAATTACAGAACTAATTTCTAACTGAAAAATATCCTTGCCATTTCAAGGTAAAACCCATTACATCATTATAAGGCTGGTGTCAAACCATCGTTACAGGAACAGAATGCAATCTGCTTTTCAATAGGAGATTATCCTCTTCAAAGATCCCCAGAGTAATGTGAGGTTTCTAAGAATGAAGTTATGACTACATTCTAAACAATAATTAAGGAATATAAACTGTATCAAAAACTAAGCTATCAGATAAAAGTTTAAAAGCCCTCTACACTGTTTAAGATACCAATCATCATTATGTTAAAAAATAACCACACATTAGTTTTATAGCATATACTGATAATTTGAATAAAAGTCAATTATGCTTACTTCCTTATTTATAAGAAACATGTTCTAGTCTGATCTAGGGGCAAGTGCACACAATGGCACTTACTAAAAACTCCCATCACACAACAATTCAGTGAAACCTTCTTAAGAATTTCTTACCTGAAATGGTTTCAGCATATATGTCAACATATTTTTCTTTTGTAAAGAGAAAACATACATATCTAATTTTTAAGTATCACCTTTTTATTCATTTTTAATATCTCTGAAATGAAGATGGACCATCTAATGTTTTCATTTAATATGGCAGTGGCTCTACCTCTCTCCCCTACAAGGAAAGTAATCATTAAACCAAGGATGCATATTAAAATTACTGTCACTTCAGAACTGGGGAAGTGCAGTAAGTTCTATTTGCAAATGTTTTACTCTGACAGGGCTATATTCCCTAAATAAGTAAAACACTTTAACTATATCTGGCCTAAGCTATAGTCCTTACTAATGCATATATACAAAAAAGTTAAGGATTATATTAAGATACAAATTATGCTGAAATATGTCATCTTTAAAACAGTCAATGGTTTTACAACTATTTATTTTCCTTTTAACAGTAAGTATGCTAGTATTTTAGTACAGAATTGTACTTGATTTTAAGAATTTTTTAAGGAAATATCACTACTCCCTTAAATTCAGAATTTCTGGAATCCAACATTTCAGACTAAAGAAGCTTCTGTTTAACAGAAGGGCGCTGGCTACCATGAGTAAAAAAAGGTGCAGCTTTCAAATTATATTTTTGCCCTCTACCAAATCCTTTTCTATACATGTGTATGGTAAGTTGAGGAGTAAGAAAATTAATTTTAAAGCAAACATCATTAGCACTAACAGCACACATTAACACTACTCACAGCCAAGTGACTAGGCAGTGAAAACATTTGATGCTTTACTGCCTAGACATTCAATATCTTGCTAATTACTATACTTTACAAAGGATTACTGTTTCATCAGATTTTTAAATTTTTGATGGCCCATAGAAGGTTCAAGACCCACATATATGCATTTTAGAGGTTAATCTGAACAGTACAGTCATTTCACATTGCTGTTGTTGTTGCTGCTGCTGCTGCTGCTGCTGTTGTTGTTGTTGTTGTTGTTGTTGTTGTTGTTGTTGTTGAAACTGGGTCTCACTCTGTCACCCAGGTTGGAGTGCAGTGGAGTGATCTCGGCTCACTGCAACCTCCGCCTCCCAGGCTCAAGCAGTCCTCCCACCTCAGCCTCCCAAGTAGCTGGGATTACAGGTGTGTGCCACCATGCCCGGCTAATTTTTTGTATTTTTGGTAGAGATGGAGTTTCACCATGTTGCCCAGGCTGGTCTTGGGCTCCTGGGCTCAGGCAATCCACCTGCCTCGGCCTCCCAAAGTGCTGGGACTACAGGCATGAGCCACCATGCCGGGCCTTCATACCGACTTTGACTCACACAGAACTATCTGGAAATGACCACCAAAACAAACAATCACCACCACCTGGTGGCAGTGCAACTGACGGCAGGTTTCCTTCTTCAAAGATGAAATAGCCTATCATCTCATAACATAATATTTTAGAATTTCAGATCTCATTTACATTTTGAAACATTCCTTCTAAAATATTTTCCATACAAGTCACAGCTTAGGCTAGAATTTCTCTTATCAAAAATGAAATTTGGCAGGTTGCTGTGGCTCATGCCTGTAATCCCAGCACTTTGGGAGGCTGAAGTGGGAGGATCGCTTGAGCCTAGGAGTTCAAGACCAGCCTGGGCAACTTGGCAAAACCCCGTCTCTACAAAACAAAACCAAAAACAAAAACCCATGCCTGTGGTCCCAGCTACTTGGGAGGCTGAGTTGGGAGGATTGCTTGAGCCTAGGAGGTTGAGGCTGTAGTGAGCCGTGATCACACCACTGCATTCCAGCCTGGGTGACAAAGCAAGACCCTCTCTCAAAAAAGAAAAAAAAAACAAAAATGGAATCTTATTTTCAAGGGCTACTCATATTTCTGGTATTAGAGAATTCTAGAGACCAGAACTGAAACAGTGAGCATCTTATGGAGGATCTTCTAGAAGCAGATGAAGCCTTTTTGAGTTCAACATAAAAGAACAATGTTCTAAAGGTGGGGTTAATAGGCAAAAGGGCAAGATAACTGGGAGAAATGTCGGGCAGAATAGCATGTGAGTAGAAGACATCATGGATTCTAGTATGAAGAAGTTTGTATGAAACCATAGCTTCTTTTGTAACATGATGTTACTAAAACACAAGCAAGAAATAAGGAAAGCCTCATGTTACCTGGTTAGGTAGGACATGCTATAAAATGGAGAAAGTAAAGGAAGAATTTACAAAGGTTTTGGGAAATAAACAGTGTAGTTTACATAGAGCACCCAATAAGTTTCCTAACATGTGGGACATATTGTGGTTTGGGACCTTCATAAGGGGAGCTTCATTTCTAAACTCTGAGAAACCAAATGAATAATGCATAGGTTATTTACTCGATATGTCAAATGTCCCTAGGGACCCATATGAGGTATTTAACAAGAACTACTTCAAGTAGTGGAAACCCCCATAAGTGCGAGATAATCAGACTATCACTTGACTTAGCTTATTTCACAACTAGGACCCTGAGAGTTAGAGGAAACCGTCATGGTACAGGGTAAATCTCTCCTTTGGAAATCTGGAAGGCGGCTCTCTGTTAGTAGGAGATGAAGCATATTACTACTGGCATCCAGGCTAAAACAAGGACAATCACTCATGCTGCTTACCCTTTGCCCAGAGTCCAATGTCCTATAGAACTGAGTATCTTCTAGCAGGCAGGAACTCTCTGGGGAAAACTGACACCCAACTACCTAAGAATAGCCCTGTCAATCTCAACTCCACCTCAATGCCCACTCACTCTGGAAGTAGAGAGAAGACTTCCGGACCATATACTCCACCCTCACTAAACTCTAACAAGTATTAACACCCTAGAACCAGTTTCCTTCTGAACCCCATATACTAGTGACAGCCAAAGTAATGACAAAGATAATAAAATTACTTTTGTTAATTTATAACTATAATTCGTAACTAATTTACAACTTTTACTAGACCTTAAGCCTCTCTGGTCTTTAGTTTTCTCATCAATAAAATGCAGCTAATATTTCGCAAGGTAACATATGCAAAAAGCCCAAAATAATACCTGGCAAATAGTAAGTACGAGAATTTGTTAGTACTTTCTACTATTTGTTAGTATTTGCTACTTAGATAAAAGCTAAGAAGCTAATCCTTTGGTGGGGTGGAGTGGGAAGGGGTATCAAAATCGAGGAAAAAAAAGATAAAATGTTAGGGCTTGAAAATAAATCTGTCAAAAATCAGATACTTATTAGTCTTGGACCAAGTGAGCTAGAAATTTGTGTGGTGGGGGACAGTGTTTGTTATCAAGATAAACAGGTGAAGCCACGGATCTTTAGTGGGAGGAGGCCAGAGGTCTTGTAATATGCCCCACACAGTGAAGAAGTGTCCACACCACATGCCGAAAGCACGCCCACTGAGAAACTCTGAGAGAGCACAGCCAAGCTGAAACAGGGTGGAGGAGACCTTTTACAGGAGACCTGTAACTGACTGAATACAGCAAAAATTCTTTCTAAGAGGAAACGTGAACTGAAACAATCTAAGAGTTATTATAAAAATAAAGGGAGTGGGCCGGGCGCGGTGGCTCATGTCTGTAATCCTAGCACTTTGGGAGGCTGAGGTGGGCGGATCACAAGGTCAAGAGATTGAGACCACCCTAGCCAACATGGTGAACCCTGTCTCTACTAAAAATACAAAAATTAGCCGGGTGTGGTGGCGCGCACCTGTAGTCCCAGCTATTTGGGAGGCTGAGGCAGAAGAATTGCTTGAACCCGGGAAGCAGAGGTTGCAGTGAGCTGAGATCACGCCACTGCACTCCAGGCTGGTGACAGAGCGAGACTCCGTCTCAAATAAATGAATGAATGAATGAATGAATGAATAAATAAATTAAAGGGAGTGGATTCTTTCTCAAGAAGACCATCTAAAGATTACAGAAGCAGCCAGGCACGGTAGCTCATGCCTGTAATCCCAGTACTTTGGGAGGCTGAGGCAGGTGGATCACGAGGTCAAGAGTTCAAAACCAGCCTAGACAACATGGTAAAACCCCATCTCTACTAAGAATACAAAAATTAGCCGGGCATGGTGGCACATGCCTGTAATCCCAGCTACTCGGGAGCCTGAGGCAAGAGAATCGCTTGAACCTGGGAGGCAGAGGTTGCAGTGAGCTGAGATGACGCCACTGCACTCCAGCCTGGGCGACAGAGCAGGACTCCATCTCAAAAAAAAAAAAAAAAAAACAAATTATAGAAACAACCACCCCACCAAAAACAGAAACCTCCAAAAAGCAATCTTTTGTTGTTAAAACAGAAAGATGAGGTCCAGAGAAGTTACCTAATTTGTCCAAGTTTGTGCCTAGGCAACAGAGTCCCACAGTTCACACTCTTAGCCACTATATTACACTCAATAAGCTAGTAAGCCGAGTGAGCCAATCATGGTTATTATGGAAGTTTATTTTTTTCCATGTGCTCATGGCTATGGTTGTATACATAATCTATTCTCTTTCTGTTACTGATACTAGGGTATGTTTTACAACCAATAATAATTTGGATTCAATGAAATACAGTACTTTATAAAATGGAATTAAACTGTTCACTGGAGCAGATAAAGGTTGGCAAACTATACCCCACAGAGCTCCAGCGGTCATCCCAGACACACAAGGGCTGGAAAACATAAGCCAAGGAGGCCCAGAATTCAACGAAACATTTCATGTTTATCCTTTCCCATTTTACAAGGAGGCATTCATATATACTTCTGTCAAGGAAAAGGTTCCATAGCTTAACAAAAATGCTTGAAAACTACAAAATCAGATGAATTATTAAAATCCCTTGAAGGCACTAGATTCCACAAAGTCCTGAGAAACAACTTACAGACTATTAAGACCAAAAAAGGGTTGTTAAGTTAAAATTAGGGGTTTAAAGTTAAAATGTTAATGTTTTTGCTCCAAGGCTAGTATACAAAGCATCTTCAAAAAGTTCATGGTGGGTAAGCACAAAATTAAATCTAAAAAAAAGAAAAAAAATCATGGAAATTGAGTATTATGAAAAAACTATGCATGGATTTCAACTTCTTTTTGCATCAAAGTAAACTCTTACTAGCTTATTATAACAAATCTGAACAGCACCTAGTTTGAGGCACTAAGGACAAGACATCAGTTTAAAAAAAACTCCTCACTATGAATTTTGCTAAAACTGAAGCAAGGGCAAACATCCAATTCATAGTGAAGTTTGAATCCACTATGGAAGATCATTGATGCTTTACAAAAAGTTTATGGGGATAATGCCCCAAAGAAATCAGCAGTTTACAAATGGATAACCTGTTTTAAGAAGGGACGACATGACGCTGGAGATGCCCATAGCAGCGGACCATCCACATTAATTTTGGAGGAAACAATTAATCTTGTGTATGCTCTAACTGAACAAGAACCAATGATTAATAGCAGAAACAACAGCCAACACCACAGCTGAATCTCAACCGATTCAGCTTACACAGTTCTGACTAAAAAATTAAAGTTGAGCAAACTTTCCAATCAATGGGTACCAAAACTGTTAAACCCAGATTAGCTGCAGACAAGGGCAGGGCTTTCAATGGAAATCTTAAGCAAGGGGATCAAGATCCTGAAGTATTTCTCAAATAACTATAACAGGAGATGAAACACGGCTTTACCACTGTGATCTTAAAGACAAAGCACAATCAAAGCAATGGCTACCAAGAGGTGGAAGTGGGCCAGTCAAAGCAAAAGTGGACCAGTCAAGAGCAAAGGTCATGGCAACAAATTTTTTTTGGCTCCGCAGGATATGTTGCTTGTCAACTTTCTAGAGGGCCTAAGAATAATAACAGTGTTCTGAGAGCTGGGCACAGTGGCTCACACCTGTAATCCCAACACTTTAGGAGGCTGAGGAGGGAGGACCACTTGAGTCCAGGAATTGAGACCAACCTAGGCAACATAGGGAGGTCCCGTCTCTACCAAAAAAAAAAAAAAAAAAAAAAAAAGGCATGATGGCACATGCCTGTAGTCCCAGCTACTTGGGAGGCTGAGGCAAGAGGATCACTTGAGCCAAGGACTTTGAGGCTGCAGTGAGCTATGATCGTTCCACTGCACTCCAGCCTGGGTGACCAAGGAGAAAAAAAAAAAGGAAAGAATGAAAGAGAGAGAGGCCAGGCGCAGTGGCTCACATCTGTAATCCCAGCACTTTGGGAGGCCAAGGTGGGCAGATCACCTGAGGTCAGGAGTTCAAGAACAGCCTGGCCAACATGGTGAAACCCCGTCTCTACTGAAAATACAAAAACAATTACCCAGGTGTGGTGGTGAGCGCCTGTAATCCCAGCTACTCGGGAGGCTGAGGCAGGACAATCACTTGAACCCAGGAGGTGGAGGTTGCAGTGAGCCAAGATCATGTCACTGTACTCCAGCCTGGGCGACAAGAGCAAGGACCCATCTCAAAAAAAAAAAAAAAGTGCGTGTGTGTGTGTGTGTTAGTTTTAAGAAACTCAGCCAAAGCTTTAGCAGAAAAAGATCTACTCCACTATGACAATGCTCCTGCTCATTCCTCTCATCAAGCAAAGGCAATTTTCTAACAGTTTCCATGAGAAATCATTAGGCATCCACCTTACAGTCCTGACTTGGCTCCTTCTACCTTCTTTTTGTTTCCTAGTCTTAAAAATCTTTAATGGACACCCAGTTTTCTTCAGTTAATAATGTAAAAAAAAACCTGCATTTACATGGTTAAATTCTTAGGACCCTCAGTTCTTTGGGGATGGACTAAATGGCTGTTATCATTACTTACAAAAGTGTCTTGAACTTGATGAAGCTTATGTTGAGAAATAAAATTTATATATCTTATTTTTATCTTTTTTTGTTTGATATGAAGCCTTCACTCTGTTGCCCAGGCTGGAGCGCAGTGGCGCGATCTCGGCTCATGGCAACCTCCACCTCCCAGGTTCAAACAATTCTCCTGCCTCAGCCTCCCGAGTAGCTGGGATTACAGGCGTGAGCCAACTGCCCGGCTAATTTTTGTATTTTTAGTAGAGACAGGATTCCACTAGGTTGGCCAGGCTGGTCTTGAACTCCTGACCTCAAGTGATATGCCCACCTCGGCCTCCCAGAGTGCTGGTATTACAGGCTTGAACCACTGCACCCGGCCTTTACTTTTATTTTTTAATTCCATTTTTCCAAGATCTTTTTAAAGTCCCCTCATATTTATATTCCAACTACTTTTGAATTTGAGAGAGTTGCTATGAGTATAAAATGTAATGTCCCACATAGTGATAATTATTTTAAATTTAACACTAAAAACACACACACATAAAACAAGACTAGCGTTCTTAACCACTAGGGAACATTGAGAAGTAGTATTTTTTCATCAAAGGGATTTTTTTTTATTTTTAAGTCATGTATATTGTCTTCTTCTCCCCTTAAAAATGGTAGCATGTATTTTAAAAATTTACTAAGTAGCTATTCTCCATTCTGCATTAAGCTCAACATTTTTGAGTTATAAAGATAAACCAGACATGTGTCACCTTCAGTTTTAAAGATGACATGAGACATTTATCAAATTAAATGGGTAGAAAGACGTAAAGTGCCAAGAGAAGAAACAAAGGAGTGAGAGGTGAAGAGCTAATATAAAGGAGCTCAGCAGTGGGAGAAACAACTTCCAATCCCAGGTCAAGGGGATTCTTAGCAGACACTGCCTGAAAATGGAGTCCTACAGGGAAGAGACAAATAACCTCTCTACATTTTGATACGTGATTATTCAATTATTCAACAAATTGTTCACAATTTCATAGGATAAAAGGATAAGCAAAACAAATACCTAATATACAATGTGTTAAATATAATAACAAGCATGTGCATGATATTAATGAAGGGGGAGGGATGAATTTTCTTAGGGTAGTGGGGAGAGGAGGCAAGGGGGAGGAAGCAAGAAGGAAAGGTGACTCAGGCAGGGCCTTGAGGATGAGCAGCAGTTTGGTGAAATAAAAGGATATTTCAGGCAATGAGACAAATGAGCAAGGGCATGGAGAAGTGAAAGCATATGGCATCTTTGGGGACTGACTGTGGGGGAGTTAGGGGATGACTGAAGATGGGAGTGAAAATGAGTCCAGGCCAGATCGTGAGCCTTATATCCTGTGCCAAGGAGTTTAGCTTCATTACAGTAGGTACAAAGGCTTTAGGCAAAGAATGATGTCACATAAGCACTATGAGACTCTTTCTAATATTAACATTTCTAAAGTTGCCACTGGCTCCAAAAACATATATGAGATCACTAATTCTAGGATGTCTAGAAACAACTCCAAAGTTCCCACTGGCCCACAGGCCATGAGTCCAGTTAAGAGCTCTGTGAAGGCAAGTACTATTTACTATTTATTTGTTTTTGATCTCCAGGACACAGGATATAGTGGAACCAATAGGAATCAGTTTCTGATTAGGAATGACAGAACAAATGATGGCTCCCAGGTTTCTGACCCGATTATCTCAGGGGGGTGCCAATGAGAAGGATATAAGGTTGGTTTTTTTGTTTTGTTTTGTTTTTTTGAGACAGGCGCTCACTCTGTAATTCAGACTGGAGTGCAGTGGTGTGATCATGGGTCACTGCAACCTCGACCTCCTAGGCTCAAGCAATTCTCCCACCTCAGCCTCCCAAGTAGCTGGGACAACAGGCTCACCCCACCACGCCAGGCTAATTTTATTTTTTGTAGAGACAGGGTCTCTCTGTTTTGCCCAGGCTGATCTCGAGCCTCTGGGTTCATGCAATTCTCCCACTTCAGCCTCCCAAAGTGCTGGGATTATAGGCGTGTGCCACCATGCCCAGCAGATATAAATTGTGTCTGGGAGATGTTAAAAGTTCTGCCCATAACGAGTTAAAACATGGGTGTGGGGTTCAGAAAAGAGGCCACAGCTATAGATATTAATTTGAGCATCACCGTGTATGGTATACTGGCGACAGCTGAAGCCGCATGGGTGAATGAGGTCACCAACCATGAATGGGGCCCAACTAAGAATCTAGGAATCCCAGGGTAAAGTTGAGAATAGACAGAGACAGAGAAAGAACAGAGAAGAGGAAGACAAACAGGAGAGATGTCCTATGAGTCTAAGAAAGTACCTATTTCAAAAAACTTGTGTAGTATGGTGCCAAATGATCATTAAAAGGTCAGCTGGTATGAAGACTGTAATGAGGCTACTGGATTTGGAAACAGGGTAGTCCCTGATTAACTTTCATTGGAGTGGGGAGTGGATAAAGGATAAATTGGGTTGAAGAGTGAATGGAAAATGTGAAAGAAGAGACAGTGAGTATAGATCACTGCTCAAAACGTTTGGCAATAAAGAGAAGGGAGTGAGATATGTTAGCAGTTTGACAAGTAGGTTGGAAGAAGTATGCACATTTTGTGCATTATCTGTTTTATATGACTTGTGTCTAGAGACTTTGAGAACAAGGACTGCCTTTAGTATTCTTACAGTATCTACCAGCTTATATAATAAAAACAACAGCACTACTAAATATTTATTTAGAACACAAAATATAATACCTCGTACAGGTCACTAAATTATATTCCTAGGATAAAAGAAAGAGCACTAGACTAATCAATTAGTCATAAAATGCAAATCATTTACCTGCATGAGGTGACTGTTAAAAAGAGGCCATGCCCTGTTATGCAATTTGACAGGCTCTGTGAGCAACACTGGGGATGTTATAAGATGTTACCTTAGTTCCTTTACCCTGGGCTGCACAAGGACATACTCACCTCCATAGTAGAGTCCTGTAGCAGTGCACATCCGCCACTGTCCCTGATACATTCCTGCTCTGCTGGGGCTGCACATCTGGACGCTGACATCTGCAATCTCTTGGGGCTCTAGCGATCTCACCATCACCATGTTCACATGTCCAAATTGGTCTCCCCCGACATATTTAAGACAAACCCCTGGAGGCCAGGCCTCTGCCCCTGAGTTCAAGCAAAAGAAAAAAATGTTAGGCAATCAATGGTCCTATGCTGGGTGCAGTTTATTATGAAACTGTAGAAGAGGCCTCTTTCTTTTTCTCACATACATACATAAACCTAACCACATATACCTAAGCCATATATTGTCTCACACAACTGATCAAAAGGAATTATCAGAACCAACAACCTCTGACCAATAGTCTAACCCTATGAAGAAGCACAAAAGGCAAAAGCAAGGCAGTTCCTCAAGACAAGTATTTCAGGTGACTCCAGGGAAGGCCACACGTCACACTGAATCTGTAGAACCTAAGAATGATGTCCATGAAGAGCCATGGAGATGAAGCACAGGCCCACGTTTAGGGGACAGCTCTCTCTACTAAAAGGTAACACATGTCCATTTTCACAGTATATCTGATTGTTGCCAGTTTTTCCACAGAAACAAGAGGATGAAACACACAAGGAGTAATTTCAATGGTATTATTCTCAATTTAAAATTGCTTTTTGCCTGAGGTATGACTTTTCTTCTGGGGTCCATAACTATAAAATACTCAAGAGCTCAAGAGACCACATGAATATAAAAGGCAGTAAAAGTTTAGACCTTGGGTGGTAGTGAAAATATAAACAATGGGGTGATCTCCCCTGATAACATCAATGAACTGTGGTCGCAGGAACAATGGCACTAGTTGGAGGAGTTGGAGGTACTTGCGGATAGGATGGGAAGGAGGGTCAATCAGACCTGTCAAAGGGAGATAGATTTTTATAGAGTTACAGGTTAAATTTAACCTGTAACTCTTTAAAGAGTCGCCTGGACTGGAGTACAATGAATGGTACAATCTCTGGCTCACTGCAACCTCCGCCTTCTGGGTTTACACAATTCTCCTGCTTCAGCCTCCTGAGTAGCTAGGATTACAGGCGCCCATTACCACGCCTGGCTAATTATTGTATTTTTACAAGAGATGGGGTTTCACTATGTTGGCCAGGCTGGTCTCGAACTGCTGACCTCATGATCCGTCTGCCTCAGCCTCCCAAAGTGCTGGGATTACAGGTGTGAGCCACAGCGCCTGGCCTAATTTTTGCATTTTTAGCATAGATGGGGTTTCACCATGTTGGCCAGGCTGATCATGAACTCCTGACCTCAGGTGATCTGCCTGCCTTGGCCTCCCAAAGTGCTGGGATTACAGGCATGAGCCATGGCGCCCAGCCGGTACCCACTCTTGTGTACCTATTTTCATGTAACTAATTCATGAGATATCTATGTGTTGACTAGTTCCCACTAGTCAAGCGGTATAGGTAGCCACACAGTGACTAGATGTGATTTTTCCTGTGAAGTCTCTCCAATATGCAGCAATTGATATACTCCTTTTTAACTGTAGACAGAAACTTCTATATATCTTTTTTTGGAATATATACATTCATTATAAAAATAAACCACTGTGAAAACTTGAACATGGCAGGACTCTTAGAACAGAGGGTGCTTGTCATTTATCTCCTACCAGTACTCTAAGATGCCTCAGTTCCTTGCTCTCTAAGTGCCCAGTTTTGACATACCTGATGGCTCACTACTGGAAAGAAACCAGACAGAGAAAGGCAACCAGAGTTCTACTCCTGAGATCTCAGCTCCATTATGAATGGCACCCTCTGTGCTCCTTGGGTCTTAAGGGGTAGCAGCTAAAGCAGTGGCCACTATGTTTTAGCATACCTTCTTCTAAAAAAATTTGCCAACAAAATGTCCTAAGTTAACCCTATAAAGGGCAACCACTGCTGGAGGAAAGGCTGTGGATGATATACTGACAATACACGCAACTTATCTTTTTCATTTCTGAGGTCTGGCAAAAGCCTATTTGTCTTACAACAAGCAGAACAGTAGCTGACATGAAGCACCTTACAAAATGTCAGTCTCCTTAAAGACCAAAATCGAAAAGAAAAATTATACTACTATCATGGGGCTGAATTCACAGTTATTCTTTAAGATACACACATACACACACATATACATACACACACATACACATACACCTGCAACAAGATAATGTCTGTTTATATGAAATCCCAAGAATGTGTCTGTTTTTTGAACTTATAAGTAAATAAGGTAAACCAAGACTGCATGTGAAAAAGACTTAGCTCTCCTAGGCACAACCAGAAGCAGCTGAGATGATTGGGTCATCTTAGCTGTGCAAAAGGAGTGCTGCTACATTCCAGAGAAACTGAGTTAGTCAGTAAAACATTAAATGGGTAACATTAAACACTGGCATTTGGCTAGGGTCCTGCCCTTCTTGGTACTCCAGATACCTATTACTTCTCAGTGGAGTATTTAAAGAACCTCTGGGCTAGAAGAGTTATCCACCAACAACTCTGAAGTGTTCATTGGCTATGAAGTGAAAAACCAATCATCTGCCTTCTGAGTGTTATCAATGATACATACAATTCTTATAGTCACAACTGTTAGGTCACGTAACTCTGAAAAGGTCAAAGATATTGATGCTTGATACAGAAGGAAGGGAATACCAGTGAGTTGTCTGGACTACACTAAACATACCTGAAATCTGAGTTCGAGAAGTATAATAGAACTGGACTCCAAATTAAGTCTCAGTTGCAAACTGGATTAATGGGGGATAGATTTCTATCTAGAAGAAAAGAAAGACTAATCTGTGTTTTATGACGTTCCTAGTTAAGTATCACAATCAAGTATATAATTAAGGCTGTAATTCTCCAGATATGAAATATCACTTTATTTTTTAAAATAAAGTAAAAACAAAAACAAAAAAAACCCTGTCATGTTACAATTTTGAGATGGTAGCAAGCATCACAAAAATCAAAAGTCCAACAGTCCCAGGGGACTTAGTAAGTATATACAATTATAGAAATAGTCTGGAGACAGTAAGGAATATCCAAATAGCAATACAGAAGACAAACCTTAATGATGATCTCCTTTTTAACCCTTATAAGTGTGGACACTGCATTTCATATTAAGCTCCATGAAAGCAGAAACCTTCATCAATCTTGTGACCATTCCTCCCTTGTACCTAATAAAGTGACTGGAACATAATAAAATGTGTTGAATGAAAGAAGCAAAATTATCTTCTCTAGAATCATACTGAAGAGAAAGGTAGAAAGCTAACTATTTTAATGCACTAGAAGAAAAATGGGGGAAATAATTGTTCTTTCTCAAGTTCTTTTCCCATCCCTTTATATTCACTTCTATGAAGTTCAAAAAATAAAGACGACTCTGTATCAATATGCCCAAGATACCCTCTCATATGACAATCACAAAAATTTCACCAAAGTCAGAGAAACACTAGGGTTATCATAACATGCACAGCTTAATATTCACTACAATTGTACAACAGAGCATGGTAGTATAACAACTGAGAAGCTCTAGGTGCTGGTAAAGAGAATTCTGTCTACTCATATTTTTAGAGGGACAGTTTTAAATTTTCATTTTAACTCCCAAAGTTTCCTGCTCAGGTTTACTAAGCTTCCAATGCTTCCACAGTGACAGAAGTCTGAATCCTAGAATTTTGCATCTATGTTATTAGATATCTCAGTTCTGCTTCTGCAAATCTAAATCTAAGGACTTAAAAAATATTAGGAGCTTAATTTTATTTATTTATTTTTATTTATTTATTTATTTATTTATTTATTTATTTATTTATTTATGAGTCGGAGTCTCTGCCGCCCAGGCTGGAGTGCAGTGGCGCGGTCTCAGCTCACTGCAACCTCCACCTCCCAGGTTCATGCAATTCTTCTGCCTCAGCCTCCCGAATACGTGGGATTACAGGCGCCTGCCACCATGCCTGGCTAATTTTTTTGCAGTTTTAGTAGAGATGGGGTTTTTAGTAGAGATGGGGTTTCACCATGTTGGCCAGGCTGGTCTTGAACTCCTGACCTCAGGTGATCTGCCCGCCTCAGCCTCCCAAAGTAGTGGGATTACAGGGTTGAGCTATCTACCACGCCTGGCCAGGAATTTAATTTTAAACAGTGCGCAACGTTCGCCTTCTTCGGGAAAGCTATTGGGACAACTATATGCGATTCCTATCAGTCTCATCTGTGGTATATTTGCATGCCCAGCACGCCTAAAACATGACAAGACAGAAGTGCCATAAAAATTATTATTTATGTAGCTCTTTCAGTGAGTGCTTATTTCTTAGGGAGGTTATGAATGAGAGTAAGACAGCCAGAGGAAAAACTGCCAAGGCCTGCCCTACTTCCATGTTACTACTCTATTTACAGAAATAACTCAGGCCAGATTAGGATGATGCCAAAAACCTGTGCACATGCATGTTCTTCCTCTCTCAAATAACATGCCTGATACTCAGTAACGGGTGGCCAGATTCTCCTTAACCAAATGGAAAACATCCAATTTATAGATTAAAACTACTCTACAGCTGGGGGGACAACTTCCAGAAGAGAAAACCTATTTATGCAAAGCACCTTGAAAGATAAAATCTCTAGCAACTGCTACCTAACCTTTCAAGACCTGTTCAGGCACAAGAATGCCCTTTCACACAAGGAAAGAGATTCAGAAGCTGTTTTAAACTGAGGTTACAAAGCAAATGCAGAGGGGAAAAGCAGTCAGGCCCACCAAGAGAGATTTTTGTAAGTCAACATGAAAGGTAGGCTTTGGGGGTTCTGATTTGACAGTCTAACTACTACATACCAACCTCCCAAAGCTCCCCATTAACCCAAGTAACAGTCTAGTAAGTAGATATATCAAGAGGCTTTTTGAAATATAAAATGGTTAGTCTGCCACAAGATGGTATTTAAAACATTTCAACAGTACTCTAACAACTTTCAGTATTTAAAAACACTGAAGAGCTCACAGAAAGCCAGGCCATTTTCATTGTTTTCACTATTAAGTAAACAAGGTACTGACTTCACTTTAAAATAAACAAATAAAACTTGAATTCAAGTCACACTTTCCAAACAAACCTCATTTATTAAAAAAAAAAAAAATTATATATATATATATATCTCACTGGTAGATTCCAAAAAACTTTTTTTTTTTTTTTTTTTTTGAGATGGAGTCTGGCTCTGTTGCCCAGGCTGGAGTGCAGCGGCGCGATCTTGGCTCACTACAACCTCTGCCTCCTGGGTTCAAGTGATTCTTGTGCCTCAGCCTCCCAAGTAGCTGGGACTACAGGCATGCAACACCATGCCCAGCTAATTTTTTGTATTTTTAGTAGACGGGGTTTTGCCATGTTGGCCAGGCTAGTCTTGAACTCTTGACCTCAAGTGATCTGCCCACCTTGGCCTCCCAAAGTGCTGGGATTACAGGTGTGAGCCACTGCACCCAGCCTCTGAAAGCATTTTTGATCAGTAACACAGCAGGTTTTAAATTCAGAATAAAAACATGATGAATAAAAGCTATTATAAAATGAAGAAACTGTCTTGATATTTTTTTAAAAGCAGGCAAAATCAAGCAAGGTGAGAAAGAAATTAGGCAAAGTAAAGCAAATTAGACTTTGAACAAGTAAGAATTTCAAGAAAAATAGAAAATATGGCTATTTTCCTCTGTTACCATGTACCTCCCAAACTAACTGTTATAACTAACTGTTACAACTAAAAAGGAAAGGGGGCGAATGAAATTTTACAAAGTCACAGGTGTCCTGAGTCATCCACAACATTGGGTCAGTCCAAACTATGTGTTTGGTCAATGACACACTGAACTTTCCTCCAAAGGTGAGTTACTTCTAAATATGCCAGAAAAACTAAGAATAACAATTCAATTTGGTACATTCTTACATAAAAGGCTGGTCTAGCCAGTCTTTCCCCATCATAAAGAACTGAATTGTAAAGAACTGAAAAGTAAACCAAATCAATAAAAGGTCACTTTTATAGGTTTATTTGAGTCCTCAGAGTTTTAAATCATCTCATATAAAATTAACTTGCTAGACAGGGCACCCCCACAAACACGTATTTTTAGCCTAGTTTTCCATCTCTCAGAATTTTTCTCTGAAGTTCTCATTAATAATAAGAAAGTTAAAACACCTTCGACCAGTCAACATAAATTGTCATTAGATGTGACAAGAAATACAAAACCCAACCCCTGCTCCCAAAACTCATTAGAAAATAATTTAAGGCCAGGTGCAGTGGTTCATGCCTGTAATCCCAGCATTTTAGAATGCCAAGGTGGGAGGATCGTGTGAGCCCAGCCCGAGCAACACAATGAAACCCTATTTCTACAAAAACTTTAAAAAATTAGCCAGGCATGGTGCGGTGGCTCACATCTGTAATCCCAACTACTCAGAAGGCCAAGGTAAGAGGATTATTTGAGCCCAGGAGGCCAAGATTGCACCACTGCACTCCCAGCCTGGGTGACAGAGTGAGACCTTGTCTCAAAAAAAAAAAAAAAAAAAGAAAAAGAAAGAAAGAAAGAAAAAAAATTTAGACACATAGACACTATTTTCAAAGAACTATGGTTAATTTATTTATTTTTATTTTTAATTTTTTTTTGAGATGGAGTCTCACTCTGTCACCCAGCCTGAAGTGCAGTGGCATGATTTCAGCTCACTGCAACCTCCACCTCCTGGGTTCAAGCAATTCTCCTGCCTCAGCCTCCCAAGTAGCTGGGATTAAAGGTGCCCAACACCATACCCGGTTAATTTCTGTATTTTTAGATGGGGTTTCATCATGTTGGCCCAACTGGTCTCCAACTCCTCATCTGAAGTGATCCTCCCACCTCGGCCTCCCAAAGCTGGGATTACAGGCATGAGCCACCATGCTCAGCCTATGGTTAACTTATTTCTAGTTTGTCTTAAAAGAGGCTGCAGTACATCAAAACAATGTTTTTCTTGTATTTTTTTCTTTTTAGTGTTTGTAGAGACAGGATCTCGCTACATTGCCAAAGCTGGTCTTAAACTCCTGGGCTCAAGTGATCCTCCTGCCTTGACCTGTAAAAGTGCTGGGAGGCCATGTGCAGTGTACATATGTAATATCAGCTATCCAAGTGAGAGGATAGCTTGAGCCCAAGAGTTCGAGATCAACCTGGGCAACACAGGAAGACTCCATCTCTACAATTAAAAAATTAGCTGGGCACAGTAGTGCACGCCTGTGGACCCAGCTACTCAGGAGAGGCTGAGGCAGGAGGATCGCCTGAGCCCAAGAGTTTAAGGCTATAGTGAGCCATGATCACAACATTGCACTCCAGCCTGGGCAACAGAGCGAGATGCTGTCTCAAAAAAAAAAAAAAAAAAAGTGCTGGGATTCTGTGTGTGAGCTACCACACCCAATCTGTATTTTTTTTTTAAACCAACAATTTCTCTGTCTCCCATTTTGAGCAAATTCCCATATTTCCTACCCTATTTTTCAAAGTGGTATTAATGTCTCAGATATCCTAATGAAATTTCAGAGACAATCATCCTTGTGGTTGCAAAAAAAAAAAAAAGAGCTTTCAAAAGAGCAGATGCTCACAGCTCTTTCCAACTACCTTGTTCTATTCAAGGATACACCTCCTCTAGCCTGCTGGAAATGACTGGAAGATTAATTAGAGCAGAAATAAAGTGATGAAGTAAAACTGTACAGGTGGAGCCAATACCCCATCATATAGAAGTCTAGTTCCTAGTAACAAAACCAATATTGGATTGTGTTTAGATGCCATTAAGTTATAGGTGGCTTAAAAGCATGAGACATAAATTCTTCTTCCTACTTTAGAGCAGGAGATATTTCACTAATGTTTGGTCATCACACCAGTACAAGAAAATACTACATATCATGTGTAAGAGAAAGCTCGCAGTTACACAATCACATACATAAGCTAAAACATTTCCTTCTTATTTAACTATTAAGAAAATGAAAACTAGGCAAGGGAGGATTGCCCATTATGTACTTACCAGAATTCTGGATCCGCCATGTTTTTACAAACTGAGTATCCGGAGGTATTGACTCCCCTTCTCCTATGGTGACATCTTCAACAAAGGACATAGAGGGCACACTGATGTTTGGGCTCTCAAAGTCATAATAGGCGCCAATTGCTGCTTGTAGGTTCCTATAGAAAAAGAGAAAAGGCAACAGACTTCAGTACTGTCCAGATATTATCCTAATTGTTAAACAAAAGGAAAAAGCCTGTTTCTTAGGGTTTGTCACAGAACCTGAGGCTCCTGGTATACACGTCTTTAAAGCCTTCTATTCTGGCTGAGGAACAATAGGAAAAACACCAGGACCAACAAATTTGTGTATCACTTTCTTCCCACACAGAAAGTAACAAACATTAGTACCATCAGCAACAGTATGAGGAAATCTCCCTTATTACCCACAGGAAAACAAGAATGGGTAAAGAAATCAATTAAAAGAGAGTTCTATAACTACGGCATTCAAAGAAGCACTACTTTTTATTTTGTATTATTATTATTTGTTAATATTAAAAAAAAGAGAGAGAGACAGCCATGTTGCCCAGGCTAGTCTTGAACTCCTGAGCTCAAGCGATCCATCCATCTCAGCCTCCCAAAGTGCTAGGATTATAGGCATGAGCCACTGAGCCCAGCCAGAAGCTTCACTTTTTAAAATAAAGTTAATATGTGCACATAATACAGAAAATCATGTTCTCTTTTTTCCTCAACATACACACACAGATATAACTGTTCATATTACTTTCTTAAATATCCTTCCAGAACTTTCTTATACACATTCAAGCAAACATAATATACAATCTTATTTTCCCCCTTTTTTATACAAATGGTAGCATAATATACAATGCCCTTTGCTTTATTCTCTTAATACTGTATCTTGAAAACATCTCTGTTAGTACATAAAGAGCATCCTCATTGTTTTTTACAGCTGTAACCACTATACAGATGGATCATCATTTAACCAGTGGACTTTTGAGTTTGTTTCCAGTCATTAACTCTTCCACAAATAAGCTTAAGCACACAGTTTTGTATACATGCAAGTGTATACAATCTGTGAGATAAATTCCTATTAAGTGATACTGCTGTGCCAGAGTTTGTGGTTTTAATAAATATATCCAAACTTCCCTCAATAAAAGTTGTACGCTAATGGTCCCACCAAGAATATAAGAGTACGCCTATTTTCCCCACTTGCTCATCAGTGGTGTTTCTCTAACATTTTGGATTTCTCCCATCTAATAGGTTAAAAAAAATATATCTCAGTGAGATCTTGAGAGGCTGAGTATCTTTTTACAGGTTTAAGAGCCATTTGTAAAGGCTGGGCTCAGTGGCTCACGCCTGTAATCCCAGTACTTTGGGAGGCCGAGGTGGGCAGATCACGGGGTCAGGAGTTCAAGATCAGCCTGGCCAACATAGTGAAACCCGTCTCTACTAAAAAAAGTACAAAAAATTAGCCAGGCACGGTGGCGGGCACCTGTAATCCCAGCTACTCGGGAGGCTGAGGCAGTAGAATCGCTTGAACCCGAGAGGTGGAGGTTGCAGTGAGCCAAGATAGCACCATTGCACTCCAGCCCAGGCAACAGTGCCAGACTCCGTCTCAAAAAAAAAAAAAAAAAAAAGAGCCATTTGTAGTTTCTTTTTTGGAAGTATCATTTTGTAAATGTTGGTGTTCTTTTTAATTACTCACAAATCCCCTTTCATCAGAAGGAACTACGAAGCACCTAAGCCAGAGTTCCCAACTGAGCAGAAGCGCGTGATTGTCAGCTTGGTTATCAGTGCCAGAAACCAAGGGCCACTAAAGGGTTTCAGTAAGCTGCGTTCATTACAGAGATCAAGGAAATTGTTGGTAATTACATTAACTGCTTCTCTTCTGGTCTTACTCAAACCAGTGACATCATCTCCACTTCCCACGCTATGTAACAATCCAAACTGCATGTTTCTAAACATAATCCAACCATAAACCAACGAATCCACTGAGCTGTTTTTAATTATACATAAACATAGCATGAAACAAGCTCTGACAGTACACAACTGATCAACAGAAATGCTAATAACAGCAAATAATTTTCTGTTGGGGGCCTGCCTGCTCCTCCAGGTGCTTGCAGCTGCCAGAAAGGAAGGCTATAATTAGAGCAGGTACCTGAGGTCAAGCCTCATGCAATGGTGGCCTGTCATATTAGTCAGTAATGACTGAAATTACAATACCAATGGCCTGCCTATGGTATATGTGCTTGATAATATTTACATAAAGAGAGCTGGGCTGGGGCCAAACTGCACCTGTTTGCTTGACTATTCAATACAAAGCTTGAACTTGAGTCTTCTCAGCAGTTTCCTGTCTAGCTGACAGTGATCTAAAGTGAAGGATGTTTGTGACTGGTCAAACTTGGGGAAATCCAGCCCCTACCATCCACAAACAGGCTTAGAAGTATATCTGGAATTAGCATTACACTTAGGGATCAGGGAGAATATGGGAGAAAAATAAGCCTAGTTTGCAATTTGCTCTTTTGAAAACATTTTGGAAAAGCTGTATGTCTACCGTTTTGAAAACAGAATTTTTTTGCAGCAGGTCTTCAGTAAGTAGCCTGCTGAATTGTTTTCTGTTCACTTGGCTGCAAAATATGTTTTGGAGGGAAGAAACTATTTGTGCACTCAGGACAATTGCCAATTCTCATCCCCAGCTTGTGTCATATTTCACCCTTTGGCTCTGCCATCAGGATAGGACTTTAAGACCACTGCAGTAGGAACACTAGTAAGTGGGAAAGTCAAGCTACCCAACTTAGGCAGATCCATTCCTATCCTCAAATCTCCTTTCACACCTTTCCAACTTATCCCACAGTCAAAGCTTATTTGTATGTGTATTATACAGGTAATTCAGCCAGAGAAAGATTAAGAAACATTTTTAAACCCCAAACTGAAACTGAAAGCAGCGAACTGGAATCCTGGCAGGAAGCTGGAGAGGATGACAAAGCAAATTCATTTCCCAAGTACAAGGCAGAAAGTGGACTTTAGCCCGAGTGATCTAACCCATCAAGCAGGTACACAGCTACAAATGTGGGGTACACAGCTTCTCAGAGTTCAGAGAATTTAAATTACTGGCCCACTAGGCTGAGCAACAGCAGGCATAGACCAAACAGCTCCAATTCAGTGTCAGAAAGTAGACATGATAGCAGGTATTCCTGTTCAAAACAACATACTCAGCTATTATTAGCCAACAAGTAATTCTTCATGAAATGGAGCTGGCTAAGGTGATGGGAAAGGGAAAACATTGACCCAGCATTCAGTGCAGTCTGAAAGTTTAAACCTCCAGATTCCTTCAGTTTTTCTGCTCAAAAAAGTTTTAAATCTAATTTCAGATGGTTAAAAGTACCCTGAAGAACAAACAGAGGCAACGTTAACAGTGATAAAAAGCACAGATTAAGATGGATGCTGGTGCTGGATGCTGTGACTCACGCCTGTAATCCCAACACTTTGGGAGGCAGAGGCAGGCAGATCACTTGAGGTCAGGAGTTTGAGACCAGCCTGGCCAACGTGGTGAAACCTCGTCTCTACAAAAAATACAAAAATTAGCTGGGCATAGTGCATGCCTGTAATGAGCTACTTGGGAGGATGAGATAGGCGAATTGCTTGAACCCAGGAGGCGGAGGTTGCAATGAGCCAAAATTGTGCCACTGCACTCACTCTGACCTAGGCAACAAAGTGAGACTCTGTCTCAAAAAAAAAAAAAAAGATGGATGATGGTAATAGTTGCACACTGCCAATATAGTTAATGCCACAGAACTGTATACTTAAAATGGTTAAAATGGTAAATTTCATGTCATGCAGATTTTACCACAATGAAATAATTTTTCTTTTTCTTTTTTTTTTTTTTTTTTAAGAGTATGGTCTTTAGGCAGGACACAGTGGCTCACACCCATAATCCCAGGACTTTGGGAGGCCGAGGCGGGCAGATCGCCTGAGGTCAGGAATTCGAGACCAGCCTGGCCAACATGGGGAAACCTTGTCTCTACTAAAAATACAAAACTTAGCTGGGCATGGTCGTGGGCGCCTGTAATCCCAGCTACTTGGGAGGCTGGGTCAGGAGAATTGCTTGAACCTCAGGAGGCAGAGTTTGCAGTGAGCTGAGATTGCGCCACTGCACTCCAGCCTGGGCAACAGGGCAAGACTCCATCTCAAGAAAAAAAAGACTGTGATCTTTAGAGTCAGCTCCAACTCTTGGCTGTGGGGTTTTGAACAAGCAGCTAAGCCTTTCCCCATCAGTTTTACTCATCTGCAAAACTGAGTTGATACTACCTATCTCATTATAATGTTGGCTGTGAAGATTGCAGAGGCAACGTATGCAAATGTCCTGGTTGGCAGTCATTCATTCAACAAATATTTAATGAACGAGCATTTACCCTTGTGCCAGGCACCTGGCCTGGAGCATTAGGGATACAGCAAATTGCAAGACAGGCATGGCCCTTGCCTTCAGTGTTTATACTCTATAGCTAACCAGGGACATTCAAACAAAGGTTAACTCCAAATGCCTCTCGCACAGAGGCTATGGGCCCAAAGCAGCTTTTCCTGCTTAGGGTGAAAGATGGGCTTGGTACACAGCACAGTTTCAACTGCACAGACAATGAAGTTAACCCGAACTGGAGAAGAATTTGGTAACACTGACATGTTTCCTGATAAAATACAACTCTGTCCAACCTTCATTTTATAGATGAGGCTACTGAGGCACTGACAGGCGAGGTTAATTTGCCCTAGGCTAGGCAATTATTAGAATTCAGAGCCACACCTATTCAAAAGTTTTAACCTACCCAGAATTTCCAATTATATAACACTCTGAACATCTGATTTTCTTAACATACTAATTACCATTATGAATTCTATAAATGAATTGTAACCCCCATTAAACTGAATTCTTTAAAGAATTGATCTTGCATATATTCACAAACATAGAACATTTATTTTTGTTGTATATATACATACATAAGGCAGTCTTTTTTTTTTTTTTTTTTTTTTTTAACGGAGTCTCACTCTATCCCCAGGCTGGAGTGCAGTGGTGCTATCTCGGCTCACTGCAACCTCCACCTCCCGGGTTCAAGCAATTCTCCTACCTCAGCCTCCGGAGTAGCTGGGATTACAGGCATGTGCCACCACGCTCGGCTAATTTTGTATTTTTAGTAGAGACGGGGTTTCTCCATGTTGGTCAGGTTGGTCTCGAACTCCCAACCTCAGGTGATTCACCCGCTTTGGCCTCCCAAAGTGCTGGGATTACAGGTGTGACCCACCACGCCCGGCCCATAAGGCAGTCTTAGGAAGAAAAATCATCTATATATTTATATGAGGCCAGAAACATCATTCAAAAATATGGCAGTAGAAAACAGTTAAGAAAACCAGGCCAGGTGTGGTGGCTCATGCCTATAATCCCAGCACCTTGGGAGGCGCAGAGGCAGGTGGATCACTTCAGCCCAGAAGTTTGAGACTAGCCTAGGTAACATGGCGAAACCTCATCCCTTCAAAAAAAAAAAAAAATCAGCCAGGCATGGTGGCATACACCTATAGTCCCAGCCACTCAGGGGGCTGAAGTGGGAGGATCACTTGATCCCAGGAGGGTGAGGCTGCGGTGAGCTGAGACTGCGCCACTGCACTCCAGCCTGGGCAACAGTGAGACCCTGTCAAAAAAATAAATAAATTTAAAAAATCAGAAATAGAGAAGGAATGCCATTAGCTCAGATTCTCAAGGAAAAAAAAAAAACTAGATACCTTTTCTTTCCATTCTCTGAACAAGTGAGAAACTCAAAAGAACACAAATTATTTATGAGAAAAAGAAAACTACCAACCTTATTTGGACACAAATTAAAATGGGAAACAGAATAATGAACCCATGTTATCAGGCATGAACAACAGCATCTTAGGGCTTCAAGACATTGTTATCCTGAACCACAAGGGGTTTTCCTCACCTGGGATACGCCAATAATATTGCTACTAAAGCCATGTACCACCAAGAATCAAGAAGACCTTACTATCTCTGAATGACCAAAAAGGTAATTTGGCCGGAAAAAGGCTCAGCAAAATAGATGCTCTTAACCAGGGCCTTCCAACATCAATGTGAGAGGAATCTAACATGGAATACCAAAAAGAGGGGCCAAACATTACATACTTGTAACTACTATGAATTTTAAAGCCTGGAAAGAAACTAAGACTTTCATTGAAACAGAAAGATGACCGCAAATAGGGAATTCAAGTTGGGCTAAAGGCAACGGTCAATACTGTCAACCTAAAAATGTACTCGCAGATACTCTTTAATACGTGAAGACAACTAGTAAAAAGAATTTGTGGAAAATTACATTCAGAGGAGGGACAAAGTTAATATCAACATTTTACCCACTTCTTAGAGCCCTATGGCATCTAAAATTGTTTCTCCTCTCTTCGTTTCCTGGCTATTTATTGATCCATTAATTTTATTACTTTTAAGAACTGGTCCTTCTGTCTTCAGCAGCTATACCATTTTCCAAGTAGAAAATAAAAAATAAGTACTCTGCCACAAAAAAGAAAGGAAGTGGTGGCATTGTTTTATTATTGTATTAGGTAATAGTACATAGTTATGTATGAGAATATCCTTGTTTTTAAAAAATACATGCAGAAACATTTAAAGATCAAGGGTCATAAAATGTCTACAACTTTCAAATGATTTTTTAAAAATCTTACATAAAGAAAGCAAATATGGCAAAAATGTTAACCATTGTGGAATCTAGGTGGTAGGCACAAGGCTATACACTCTACAATTCTTTAAAATGTTCTGTAAGGGCTGGGCACGGTGGCTCATGGAGGTGGGGGTACTGAGAAATTTGGAACTGGAACTAAGAAAGTTTCTCTCATAGTATCTGGTCTATAAACTACACATTTGAGAGCTCTGGACAGTCATGGCTCTCTTCAACAGAGATAAAAGACCACTGCAAACATCTAGATAAAACACACAGAGAAAGAAACCTAAAGGTATTTCAAGTCCTTGAGTCTAGTTGTTCCTGAAGCACAAACATATTTCTGTCTTTGGGTTCTGTGTAACATAAAAATATCCTTAAAGAAACCCTTTTATCATTATCTAGTTTGAAGTAAGTTTGTTACTTTCAACATAATAGGTCCAAATTAGTTCAATATTGTATAATGGCTTCTAGGGAGAGTTTGAATGGAAGGTACAAAGCCAATTAAAAGACATAGAAGAGGCCAGGCGCGGTGGCTCACGCCTGTAATCCCAGCACTTTGGGAGGCCCAGGTGGGCAGATCACAAGGTCAGGAGATTGAGACCATCCTGGCTAAAACAGTGAAACCCCGTCTCTACTAAAAATGCAAAAAATTAGCCGGGCGTGGTGGCGGGCGCCTGTAGTCCCAGCTGCTCGGGAGGCTGAGGCAGGAGAATGGCGTGAACCCGGGAGGCGGAGCTTGCAGTGAGCCGAGATCGTGCCACTGCACTCCAGACTGGGCGACAGAGCGAGACTCCGTCTCAAAAAAAAAAAAAAAAAAAAAAAAAAAAAAAATTAGCTGGGCGTGGTGGCAGGCGCCTGTAGTCCCAGCTACTCAGGAGGCTGAGGCAGGAGAATGGCGTGAACCTGGGAGGCAGAGCTTGCAGTGAGCCGAGATCGCGCCACTGCACTCCAGCCTGGGTGACAGAGCAAGACTCCGTCTCAAAAAAAAAAAAAAAGAAAAAGAAAAGAAAAAGACATAGAAGAGAAGCTGGAGCACTAAGTTAAAACTTACTCAGATCTAGCAATTCCACTTCTGGGTATCTAAGAGAACTGAAAGCAGTTCTAAAAAAGAATATGCGTGTTCAGAGCAGCATTATTCATAAGAGTCAAATGGTGAAAGCAACCCAAGTGTCCACTGACCAATGAACAAATAAACAATATATGATTTATACATGTAATGGGATATTATTTAGCCTTAAAAAGGAAGAAAATTCTGAAAACACATAACATTACGGATGAACCTTGAGGATTTTATGCTAAGTGAAATAAGTCCGTCACAAAGGTCAAATACTTACATGGAAAGTGGGTAGTTGTTTAATGAGTACATAGTTTCTGTTTTGCAAGATGAAAGAATCCTGGAGATTGTTTGCAAAATGACGTGAATATACTTAACACGCTACGGAATAGTACACTTAAAAATCGGTAAGATGGGCCAGGCATGGTGGCTCACACCTGTAATCCCAGCACTTTGGGAGGCCAAGGCAGGAGGACTGCTTGAGCCCAAGACTGGTCCAGCCTGGGCAACATGGTGAGACCTTGTCTCTATAAAATTTAAAAGAAAATTAAAAATTAGCCAGGCTGGGACTACACAGGGTGGTGTGCACCTATAGTCACAGCTACTTGGGAGGCTGCAGTGGGAGGATCCCTTGAGCCCGGGAGTTCAAGGCTACAGTGAGCCCTAATGATGCCACCCTACACGAGCCTGGATGACAGAGTGAGATCCTGTCTCAAAAAAAAAGAGTTAAGATGGGAAATGTTAAGTACATTTCACCACTAAAGGACCATGACGGCTCATGCCTGGAATCCCAGCACTCTGGGTGGCTGAGGCAAGAGGAGTACTTAATGCCAGGAGTTCAAGACCAGCCTGCGAAACAAAGTGAGACTCTGTCTCTACAAAAAAATTGAAAAATTATCTGGGTATAGTGGCGCGTGCCTATAGTCCCAGCTACTCAGAAGGCTGAAGTGGAAAGATCACTTGAGCCCAGGAGGTTGAGGCTGCAGTGAGCTATTATCATACCACTGTACCCCAGCCTGGGTGACAGAATGAGACCCTGTCTCAAAGAAGAAAATGAAATTTAGATTTACTCTTAAAATGAAAGGAGAGCACCTAAAGGTTTCTAAAATTTTTGTCTTTAAAATTTTAAACTTAAAAAAAAGAGAGAGAGAGAGACAGACAGGGTCTCACTATGTTGCCCAGACTGGTTTTGAACTCCAAGCAATCCTCCTGCCTTGGCCTCCCAAAGTGCTGGGAATATAGGCATGAGCCACCCCGTCCAGCTAAGGTCTCTTTAAAAAGCAATTTTACCGAGGTATAATTTATGCAGCATAAAATCCACCCATTTCAATTGTACAATTCAATGATTTTTAGTAAATTTACAGAATTGTACAACCATCACCATGTTTAGAATATCATGTTTCAGAACATTTTCATCATCCTAATAATGTCCCGGTCCCTGGAACCTATGAATATGTTAAGTTATATCGCAAAGAGGAATTAAGGGTGTTAATCAGCTGACCTTAAAATAGGGAGATTATCCAGAATTATCCAGATGAAACCAATGCAATCACTTCCTTAAGAGTGGAAGAGGGAAGTTAAAGAGAGAACTGAGAAATAGCAGTGTAAGAACGACTCAGCTTTGAAGAAGGAGAAACAGGGCCGTGAGCTAAGGAATGCCTGTAGCCTCTGGAAGCAGGAAAAGGCAAGAAAAGATTCTTCAAAAGGAACAGAGTGTTGATGACGCCATGATTTTAGTGCAGAGACCATTTGAACTTGTGACCTCCAGAACTGCTAAAATTATAAATGTGTGCGTTTTTAAGTCACATAGTTTGTGGTAATGTATCACAGCACCAAAAACTAATATAATGGCTACACATTGTATTATTCTACTTTACTGTATATTTGAAAATGTTTATCATAACAAGAAAAAACTATGAATATGAAAGCAGAATAAAGACTGCAATGAAAATGGTGGGGTTTTGCGGGTTTTTTGGTGACAGGGTCTTGTTATGTTGCCCAGGCTGGTCTCAAACTCCTGGGTTCAAGGGTTCCTCTTGCCTCAGCCTCCTGAGTAGCTAGGATTACAGGAGCATGCCACAGCACCGGGATCAAAATGGTGCTGTTTTTTTGCTGAGTCATTTCCTTCATAATAACTCTGCTTCCAAGAACTCAATTTGCCATCAAAGATACATATTTAGAAATAACTCCCATTCTTGTTGCCCCCTGAATTAAACTGTCATGGATACTTCCCAAAATGGGAAACAATCACTAGGTTCAGTGTTAACTGTAATTTTTGAAAATGCTGGACCACTGGCCCAGGAGAGACATGAAAATATATGATACCCAAAAAGTCCCAGAATGACAAACAAAATGTGACTGAGAAAAAGCTATCTTTATAAACAAAATGTCTATGGTTTATCGTTGCTCATGAAACTTCAGGAAATGGTTTAAAATAGCAGTTACGAAATGATCAGATAAATCTATAATGAAGCATGCCTTTCAAAAGTTTGTTACCAAACAGGGAACTTACAATAAACCAGCAGCAGTCAAATGTATCTCATCCTGGTCAGAGAGCTGTTTTCTAAAAAATACCAGCAATTTTTTGTTTTGTTTTGTTTTTTGAGAGAGACAGGGTCTTGTGCTGTCACCCAGGCTGGAGAGTGCAGTGGCATACTCACAGCTCACTGCGGGTTTGAACTCCTGGACTCAGGCAATCGTCCTGCCTCAACCTCCCAAGTAGGAGTACAGGTGCACACCACAACATCTGGCTCATCTTATCTTTTTTTTTTTTTGGTAGAGATGGGGGTCTCAAGCTAGGCATGGTAGCTCACCGCCTATAATCCCAGCACTCTGGGAGGCTGAGACAGGAGGATCACTGGAGCCCAGGAGTTCAAGACCAGCCTGGGCAACACAGGGAGACCCCTTTTCTACAAAAAAAAAAAAAAAAAAAAAATTAGCCAGGCTTGGTGGCACACACCTGTAGTCCCAGCTACTCGGAAGGCCTGACCCCATGAGGTCAAGAATGCAGCAAGCTGTTATTGTACCACTGCACTCCACTGTGGGCGACAAGACGCTGTCTCAAAAAAAGAGACAGAGAGAGAAGGAGAGATATGGGGGTCTCATTATGTTGCCCACACAGGTCTCAAACGCTGGGCCTCAAGTAATCCTCCCACCTCAGCCTCCCAAAGTGTTGGGATTATAGTAGGCGTGAGCCACCATGACCAGCTGTTTTTGATTTTTTAATTATAATAGAGATAGGGTCTTGTTACATTTCACAGGCTGGTTTCGAACTCCTGGCCTCAAGCAATCCTCCAACCTTAGCTTCCCAAAGTGCTGGGATTACAAGTATGAGCCACCACGCCCAGCCTTCATTTATTAAAAAGGAAAAAAATGCCAAAAAAACAAAATTATGAACCAACATTCCATCCTCTTGTTTCTGCATACAGTGAAAAATGCATAGGCTTTAAGAAGAAATGCCACACTTTTGCATACACTTTTGATTAAAATACTTTACAATTGTCTAATAATTCTTGCCTTTGAGATTTCCTGACAGTGTGCTTCAAAGTACCTTCAGTTTCATCTATGCTTAAAAAAAAAAAAAAAAAATGCTGGCCATACCATCAACATACTTCACCCAGAAAAATGCACCCTAGGATATACATCTAAGAGAAAAATCTATAGCCCTATGCTATCTTATTCTCTCTGCAAGAGCAAAAAGGTAAACAAACCTTAGCCAAATTCTAATATATGATGGGCAAAGACAATGTCATGTTACCTAATACTACCAAAGAATGCCACATGGCATTTAAACTCTGACCCCCAACTCTACTCATTCAGCTGCCAGTATCTCCAAGTACTCTGTGGACATATTTGGCTGCTTTCTGGTATATAGGTACCTTTAAAAAGCTATATACTTGGCCGGGCATGGTGGCTCATGCCTGTAATCCCAGCACTTTGGGAGGCCGAGGCAGGCGGATCACCTGAGGTCGGGAGTTCGAGACCAGCCTGACCAACATGGAGAAACCCCCATCTCTACTTAAAAATACAAAATTAGCCAGGCGTGGTGTTGCATGCCTGTAATCCCAGTTACTCGCGAGGCTGCGGCAGGAGAATCGCTTGAACCCGGGAGGCAGAGGTTGCAGTGAGCCAAGATTGCGCCATTGCACTCCTCCAGCCTGGGCAACAAGAGCGAAACTCCATCTCAAAAAAAAGAAGAGCTATATACTTACAAATAGGGGGCTAAAACTAGATGGAACTTGGAAAAAGAATAAAAACAAATTTTATGATAATTCACAGGCCTGAGAGTTAACAGTCCTCCTTTTCTTTTACAAACTAATGACAGTATAAATATGTGACATGTGAGAGAATGCTATCATTTTTAATAACTAATCAGCACAAACAAGGGATACAACACTTAAAGAATATATCCTGTAAAAGTCCTGTTGTACTTGCAAACAATCTCACGTATTCTGTTAATGTTTTCATGTTCTGGGCAACCAACTCTTCAGATGATAACCAAGCAGGTTTGAGACAGCTCATCCAACTATGGCATTTCTTATGCATTCCAGAATAAAAGGACTTTTAAAAATAGCTTCTTTACATGACACTGCGTAATTATCACCAGTAAAATTAGTGGCCCTCCCCTCCATCAAAAAATCATAAAGCCACTCGAATATACATGAAAAAAAACTATCCAATCTGGTTTACAAAGAAAAAGATACTAAAAACTGAGAGGAAAAAAAAATCTATCTATAGTTTATTCTGATTCTTCCTTGAAGAAAGTTTGGTCTCTCAAAGACAGAAAAGCAGCACACATCCCCAAATAATGTAAACATAGTGAATGAAGGTGTTTATGTAGTTCAAGCTTTACAAAGTCAAGGAGATCTTTCTCAATACCCCCTTTTTTGGATCCTGTATGGCTGAAGGTAAGGCAAATACACTTAGGCTCACAATGTTAAACTAAAACATGACCTAAATTTGGCTTTATTCACCATGAATTCCTTCCCTAATTTGATATGTTCTATTTAAAAATTAATATATTTACAGAAGAATGCCAAACAATAAATGAAGATGGAACAACAAAATTAGATAACAACCTTTTTGCAACCACCTATGCAGTATCAACTCAGTCAAGGATCATCAATAGATACTAAAACAGTGGAGAGGAAGACTGTTGGGAAAACAGGGTAGTCCCAGTCTGAGAGTCATCCCCACAGATTACTTATTAACTATAAAGGAGAAAAACAGGTGGACACTATCTTAACCAAATATTCAATTTTAGCATAGTCAGTAATAGGACAAACTAACATAATATGCCTCCTGATGTGACGCAATAGAAGACATAGCATCATCTATGTATTATTTCCAACAAAATAATCTGATTCTAATCACGACTAACCAACAACATAGGACACTCCGACTGGCATAAACTCTAAAAATGTCAATGTCATAGAATACCCACAAAAGGCGAAGGAACTGTTCTAGATAGAAGTCTAAAGAGACATGATAACCAAAGATAACATAAGATCCCTGAGAAGATCCTGCATTAAAAAAAGGAAGGTTGTAAAGGGCAATTCTGGGAACAAATTTAGAGATGGGCTATATATTAGATAATACTTTTGTTTCCATGTTAAATTCCTTCAGAGTGACAATAGTACTGTAGTCATGTAGAATGATGCTCTTGTTCTCCCAGGATATATTTGCTGAAGGGCTTAAAGGTGAAATCTCACAATCCTTGCAAGTTATCTCAAATGGTTCAGGAAAAAAAAAGTATAAAAGCTTGAGAGAACTCTCATACAATGCTGCTAAGAATGTAGAATGGTAATTACTTTGGAAAACAGTTTAGCAGATTCTTAAAAAGCTACATATAACCTTACCATACAAATTAACAATTCCCTTCCTATGTATCTACCCAAGATAAATTTAAAAATATGTCCACATAGTCTCACAAGTGAAATGTTCACAGCAGCTTTATTCATAATATAGCCAGTAAGTAAAAATTCAAATGTACATCAACTTATATATTGATATAATGATCTGTGATCCTAATGTCTCAAAATAGTCCCTCACATCAAGTAACATTCAGCCCACAGTGATGTTCACCCCTCAAATCGATAAACACATGCATAACAGACTGAGATGATAACACCTACTTTTCTTGTTACGTGGTGCCACCCAAGACCTAAAATAAACTGATAAAAAGTAAAAAGTGGCTAAAATAATAATAATAGGCCCATCTACAAAAGATCACAAAAACAGTCAAGACTCAGCCTTATCCAAGACGCCTTCAGAGGCTACCTGTGAGAACTCTGAAACCTTCTTTTCTTTTTTTGGAGACAGTCTCACTCTGTCGCTGAGGCTGGAGTGCAGTAGCAGGATTATAGCTCTCTGCAGCCTAAAACTCCTGGGCTCAAGCAATCCTCTCATCTCAGCCTCCCAAGTAGCTGGGACTACTATTTAAAAAAATTAATGCCTGGCTAATTTTTTTTTTTTTTTTTTTGGAGATGAAGTTTCGCTCTTGTCGCCAGGCTGGAGTGCAATGGCGTAATCTTGGATCACTGCAACCTCCGCCTCCCAAGTTCAAGTGATTTTTCTGCCTCAGCCTCCTGAGTAGCTGGGATTACAGGTGTGCGCCACCACACCTGGCTAATTTTTTGTATTTTTAGTAGAGGCAGGGTTTCACCATGTTGGCCAGGCTGGTCTCAAACTCCTGACCTCAGGTGATCCACCCATCTTGGCCTCCCAAAGTGCTGGGATTACAAGCATGAGTCTTTTGTTTTTATGAGACAGTCTCATTCTGTTGCCCAGGCTGGAAGGCAGTGGCATGATTATGGCTCACTGTAGCCTCAACTTCCTGGGCTCGAGTGATCCTCCTGCCTCAGCCTGCGGAGTAGCTGGGACTAAAGGTATGTACCATCACACCCAGCTATTTTTTTTTTTTTTTTTTTGGTAGAGACAGGGTCTCACTTTATTGCCCAGGCTGGTCTCAAACTCCTGGACTCAAGTGATCCTCCCATTTTGGCCTCCCAAAGCGCTGGGATTAAAGGCGTGAGCCACCATGCCCAGCCTGAGGCCTTCTTTTGACAGGGCAGCTGTTGTGGAGGCTCTGCCCAAGAGAAACAGAGACAAACACCCCTCCCACCAATTGCCAGCCAAAAGACTTCCAGAACCACACAACTTGTACATTGGTCTCCAGAACCATCGATGTGGTTGTTACTTTTATTACTGCCTGTGTATTAAATATTAATTACATGAATAATTGTGTGTGAAGGCCTCACAATTAACCATAAATTCAAACATACATAAAATTGACTACTGAGTCATCTGACTTCAGAGTTAACACACCTAGATGATACAAAACTAATTAACATAACATAAATAAGTAAACAAAATGTGGTATATCCATACCACAACTCAGCAATAAAAATGAATGATATACTGATATATGCTAAAGCACAAATGAACATCATAAACACTGTGCTAAGTGAAACAAGCCAGATACATGACTACGTATTATATGATTTCCACTTAAAAAAATGTGGAGAAAAGGCAACTCTTTTTTTTTTTTGAGACAGAGTTTCGCTCTTGTTGCCCAGGCTGGAATGTAATGGCGCAATCTCGGCTCACTGAAACCTCTGCCTCCCAGGTTCAAGCGATTCTCCTGCCTCAGCCTCCCGAGTAGCTGGGATTACAGGCACCCACTACCACACCCAGCTAATTTTTTGTATTTTTAGTAGAGACAGGGTTTCACCATGTTGGCCAGGCTGGTCTCGAACTTCTGACCTCAGGCAACCCACCCACCTTGGCCTCCCAAAGTGCTGGGATTACAGGCATAAGCAACCCCGCCTGGCCAAAAAGGCAAATCTTTAGAGACAAAAAAGATTAGTGGTTGCCCAAGGCTGGGGGGTGGGTATGGATTAACTGTAAATAGGCAGAAAAAAATCTTACTGGAGTAACGAAAGTGTTCTAAAACTGGATTGGGGTGATGGTTGCAGATGGATAAACTTACTAAAAATCACTGAATTATATTAAAATAGGTTAACTTATGGTATGCAAATTATACTTCAGTAAAGGTACTTAAAAGATAAAGCAAATGTGGCAAAATGGTGATAACTAGTGAATCTATGGGAAGAGTATACACAATCACCATGTTAGTATCTCAACTTTTCTTTGGTTTGAAAATCTTCAAAATTAAAAGATGAGGATAGGGCCAGGTGTGGTGGCTCACAAATGTAATCCCAGCACTTTGGAAGGCTGAGGCGGGCAGCTCACTTGAGGTCAGGAGTTCGAGACCAGCTTGGCCAACATGGTGAAACCCTGTCTCTACTAAAAAAAAAATACAAAACTTAGCCAGGTGTGGTGGCATGTGCCTGTAGTCCCAGCTACTCAGGAGGCTGAGGTGGTAGAATCACTTGAACCCGGGAGGCAGAGGTAGCAGTGAGCCACTGCACTCTATCCTGGGTGACAGAGTGAGACCCTGTCTCAAAAAAAAAAAAAAAAAAGAAAAGAAAAAAAAGGAGAAATGATATACACACCCCCTAAAACTAGTGCTTCTAATTGCAGATTACCTAAAAGAGGTAAAAGACACAGCACAACTCTTGAGATATTTAGGATTAAGTAACAGATGAGCACATTGATCCCTAAAGCCAACTTTCATCCAAGGATTTGATTAACTAGCAATTTTTTCTCTACTCAAATAGTATTTTTCCGAATTATACAAGTAATGCATATTCAATATAGAAAAATT
Organism: Homo sapiens; assembly: GCF_000001405.40. NCBI lineage: Eukaryota > Metazoa > Chordata > Mammalia > Primates > Hominidae > Homo > Homo sapiens. The sequence continues at coordinate 34,671,108 of NC_000006.12, forward strand.
TATGAATTAAAGTGAAAGCACAGAGGCTGGGGTCCGGGCGTGTAATCCCACCACTTTGGGAGGCTGAGGCGGGCAGATCACTTAAGCCCAGGAGTTCAAGACCAGCCTGGGCAACAAAAAATACACAAAGTAGCCAGGTGTGGTGGCATGCGCCTATAGTCCCAGCTACTCAGGAGGCTGACGCGGGGGTATCAACTGAGTCTGGGAGGTTGAGGTTGCAGTGAGCCATGATCGCGCCGCTGCGCTCAAGCCTGGGTGAGGATCAAGACCCTGTCCCAAAAAAAGCAAAAATAAAGTAAAAGCACAAAGAAACTGAAAAATAACTAATCCCATCAACCAGAGATAACCATCTACAGTTTGTTCTTTAGCCTTTCATTCTATTTGGAGAAAGAAAGTTATCTGTATAATATATGTGGCAATAACAGTTAGAACTTAATGGATCATTCAACTGGCATACCAAAATGTTACATCATATCCAAAAAACCATATAAATCCTAAGAATGAAAGGCAGAATAAAAACTTTTAGATGCAAATCCAGTACTTCCTTTTTAGTTTCCAGTTAAAGACTGAAGGCTGAATGCATGCATTAGCCTCAGCTCCCTTCCTAAGCCCTCCTAAAATACAGGGATGGGGGAAAAAGGCGTGAATTCACTAGGACAAAATGAACAAGTGAGGCAACTTAATTAAGGGAACTGGGAAGTAGACAAGTGGAAAATGTCTTAGCCAACCTGAAAAAGTTGAATCTTCCTTAGCCAGCAGTGGGAAAAGTAGAGCAGCAACCTGGTTAACAATGAGTAGCCCAAAACAGTTCAGGAATAAACACATGTACAAAAACAGGAGAGGTTACACATCTGCTTAACCCACTAGTTAGGCCTCATATCCCCTAATGTAGTCACAACACTGCATAGCCCAGGGACTGCCCCACCCTGGAGGAAATGGGTGGGGCTGTTAAGCCCACAGTTACACCCTATAGTCATAGTCATGCCCATAGCTTCCACCCCCTTTTTTTTTTTGAGATGGAGTCTCGCTCTGTCGTTCAGGCTGGAGTGCAGTGGCACAATCTCAGCTCATTTCAAACTTTGCCTCCCGGGTTCTCCTGCCTCAGCCTCCCGAGAACCTGGAACTACAGGTGTGCACCACCACACATGGCTAATTTTTGTAATTTTAGTAGAGATGGGGGTTTCGCCACATTGCCCAGGCTGGTCTCGAATTCCTGACCTCAAGTGATCCACTCACCTCTCAAAGTGCTGAGATTACAGGTGTGAGCCACTGTGCCCAACCCAAATCCTCTTTTTGTGTTCCACTCTTAAATAGGAGTACGTAGTGGGCCGGGTGTGGTGGCTCACCTCTAATCCCAGCATTTTGGGAGGCTGAGGTGGGAGGATCTCATGAGCCCAGGAGTTCAAGACCAGTCTGGGCAACAAAGAGAAAACCTGTCTCTTTAAAAAAAATTTTTTTTAAATAGGTGTATATAGTCAAGAACCACAATATATTTATGGTAAAGCATCAAATATGAAATAAACAAAACTAAAGTAATAAAAAAATGCAACTTGAAGGAAACAAAGCTGAGATCACCCAGAAAACAAAGCAAACATTTTGTCAAAAGGTAAAAAGAAAACATAATTACAGAACCAGACCAGAAAGTCCAATATCTGAAAAACAGGAGCTCCAATAAAGGAGAACAGAGAAAAGGAAGGAGAGGAAATTAAAGGATCAATTCAAGAAATTTTCCGATAACAAGAGAAGGGAGTTTCCAGACTGAAAGGGCTCACCAAAGCTGAACAAAATATAAGAAAATGAATGCTGAAATGCATAACCGTCAAATTTCAGGGCACTAGGGACACAGCAAAGTTACCAAAAGTTTTCAGAGAGGGAAGAAAACAGGATTCATTCAAAGAACAAAGAATCAGAATATTTCAACATTACCGCTGAAAACACAAGACAAAGGATCAGTGCCTTCAAAATTCTGAGAAAAATATTCTCAACCTTAAAAAACTGCTCCCCAGCAAAATCTGGGATATCAGCTAAGTATCAAGGTAAGAAAAATTTCAGAATGCAAAAGTTTCAAATTTTATCTCTCTTGCACTTTCAGGAAGCTTAAAAAAAATTGGGTCCAGGAAACAGAGGTTCCAACAAAGAAAGGCTAAAAGAAACCCCAGGGGTGAGATCTGTGCAGACCTAGAGCTCACCCAGTCCAGATCAGGGTAGGTCCAACGTTCTAGAAAAGAATTCTTCAAAAAGATAAAACTGACAGAACACCTACAGTGTCATAACCTACTACTGAGAATAAATTTTACATATATAGTTAGTAAGGAGTTTGAGGATAGTAAAAAAAAAGACTGAACAAACCAAAAATCAAGACAATTATCACCCTCAGGGCAGCAAAATATTGTGCTGAGAAAGAAAAGTAATCCAAGCACACAAATGGCTCAAGTGTTGATAAACATTTAAACATTATAATGAGATAAACAGTAAGATTGGTGACACATGCCTGTAATGCCAGCACTTTGGGAGGCCAAGGCAAAAGGATGGCTTGAGCTCAGGAGTTCAAAACTAGCCTGGGCAACACAGTGCAACACTGAGTGTGGTGGCACATGCCTGTAGTTCCAGGTACTAGAGTGGCTGAGGAGGATCACCTGTGCGCAGGAGGTCAAGGCTGCAGTGAGCTGTGATCATGCCGCTGGGTGACAGAGAGATCCTGTCTCAAAAACAGTAACAACCACATACACACACACACACACACACACACACGCTGGGTGACAGAGAGATCCTGTCTCAAAAACAGTAACAACCACATACACACACACACACACACACACACACACACACGAAAACTGATTTAGCCAAATTACAAATAACTAAAATGGGAGAACAGGAAATGGGGTGAGTGAAACAAACAATTACTATGGGTCAGGCAGAGGTCCAAATCTTTTTTTTTGAAACGGAGTCTTGCTCTGTCACCCACGCTGGAGGGCAGTGGTGCGATCTTGACTCACTGCAACCTCCGCCTCCGGGTTCAAGCAATTCTCCTGCCTCAGCCTCCGGAGTAGCTGGGATTACAGGCACACACCACCACACCCAGCTAATTTTTGTATTTTTAGTAAAGACGGGGTTTCACCATGTTGGCCAGGCTGATCTCAAACTCCTGACCTCAGGTGATTTGCCTGCCTCAGCCTCCCAAAGTGCTGGGATTATAGGCGTGAGCCACCGCGCCCGGCCCCCAAATCTTTATACTATCGATTTACCTAATTCCCATTTAACAACTGGTGCCCTTATGTTATATATGAGAAAGCTGAGGCACAGAGACAGTAACTTGCCATATGTCACACAGCAGAGGCTTTGAACTTTGCTCTTCACCACTACTTTGGCTATCACAAAGCAAAATCCTTATCTCCCTGTGTAAAGTCAACAGATAATGATTAAAGGTTAAAAAAAATTGAGAGAGAGGTAACAAAACCCAAAAATCAGTTGAAAGAATTGAAACAGATTGCCTCTGGGGAGTCAAGGAAGGAAGAAAAAGGTCTAGAACCCCTTGTTGCTTTTAACAAGCTGACAGAACTACTTTACTCTTTAAACCATACATTTGTAATTTGGATAAAATGAAAATTAAATAAGGAAATGTACTTCCCCTTTAAAAACACCTTTAAGTACACATTAAAACTCTGAGTTTCAGCTGGGTACAGTAGCTCACACCTGTAATCCCAGCACTTTGGGAGGCCAGGCAGGAGGATCAGTTGAGCCCAGGAGTTCACAACCAGCATGAGCAAGTTGGTGAGATCCCCCCATCTCCACACACATACACACAAAAAAATTTTTTTAATTAAATTCTGACTGAGGCCCTGAATAACTGGACATGCGCACCAATGCAACTCAAAAAAAAGTGCAAAAACAGGCCGAGCGCAGTGGCTCACGCAAGTAATCCCAGCACTTTCGGAGGCCCAGGTGGGCTAATCACCTGAGGTTAAGAGTTCTAGACCAGCCCGGCTAACATGGTGAAACTCTGTCTCTACTAAAAATGCAAAAATCAGCCAGGCGTGGTAGTGGGCACCTGTCATTACAGCTACTCAGGAAGCTAAGGCAGGAGAATCACATGAACCTGGGAGGCAGAGGTTGCAGTGAGCTGAGATGGCGCCACTGCACTCCAGCCTGGGCGACAAAGCAAGACTCCATCTCAAAAAAATAAAAAGCAAAAACAACAACAAAAAAGGTGCAAAACAAGCCCAAATATATATAAGCATTTGATATATGATAAAGATGGCATTTCAAATCATCAGGGAAATGTACATTTTTCAATAAATGGGAAAACTGACTAATCATCTGGAAAACATGTTAAGGTACTAACATTGAAAAAAATTCAGCTATATAAAATATTTATATGTAAATTGTGCAGTCATAAAGAAAACAGAAGTGAATTTTATATAACAGGGAAAGAATTATTTCTCCCCCTCCCACTGCCCCTCCCCGCCACACCGCTGCTGCACTTTAAAGCAGAAATCAAAAAGGAAAAGACTGCTGGAGTCAATGTCATAAAAATTCACCCAAAAAGTGCCACATAGTAAAAAACATTATAAACCAAGCGAGACAAACTGGAGGAACCATAAGAATCTAATAAGCTATTTTCCTTAATATACAAACAGCTCACATAAATCAATGAAGGAAAGAATGACAATCTGAGAGAGGTAGAGAGGAAAATACACAAGTTATAGAAAAATACAAAAGGCCAATAAAGATATGGAAAGATATCCAACCTCATTCATAATTACAGAAAAACAAATTAAAATGAATACATTTTAACCCACCAGGCCAGCAACAAGGAAGGTAAAGATACAGATAACTCTTCAGTTGGTTAAGAGTGTAGCAAAACTCTTGTCCATCAACAAAGTAGTGGTTAAATAAAATATGACCAACCACAATGGACATCCAATGCATCCAGTCAAAAAACAAAAACAGAAAACAAAAAACATGCTATCCATAACATACTGTGAAATTTAAAAATCAAGTTTGAGAACAGTATATATAGAGCTGGGCACAGGTAGCTCATCCCAGTAACTCCAGCATGTTGAGAGGCTGAGGTGGAGGATCACCCAGGAGTTCCAGACCAGCCTGGGTAACATAGCAAGACATTGTCTCTACAAAAAAAAAAATGCTGGGCATGGCAGCACATTCCTGTAGTCCCAGCTACTAGGGAGGCTGAGGCAGGAGGATAATTTGAGTCTGGGAGGTTGAGGCTGCAGTGAGCCATGATTCTAGGACTGTACTCTAGCCTGGGCAACAGAGCAAGACCCTTTCTCTCTCTCCATTTATATGTACAGATAGATATAGCTAGCTAGCTAGCTAGATAGATAGATATAGCTAGCTAGCTAGCTAGCTAGATAGGTAGATATGCAAAGATAGAGAGAGAGAGATTTTTTTAAAGACAAGGTCTCACTTTGTCACCTAGGCTCCAGAGCAGTGGCACGACCTCAGCTCACTGCAGCCTCGACCTCCTGGGCTCAAGTGATCCAACTGCCTCAGCCTCCCAAGTAGCTGGGACTACAGGTGCACACCACCTCGCCCAGCTAAACATACTTTCTTTGAAAATAAAAATTTCAGTACATATATAAAATATAGCCATCACACACACAAAAGAAATAAGACTTCACCAGCAATCAAGGAAACACAAAATAAAACAAGTAACACCTTTTATCTATCAGATAAATCTACCTGGTAAAGATAAAAACATAATTATCCAAAATCAGGCTTTCTACTGCCTGTTAAAATTAATTGGTACATACTTCTTGGGGGCAATCTGGCAATGTTTATCAAGAACCTTCAAAAGGGCATACCTTGACCTGCCAATTCCGCTTCTCGGAATTTGCCCCAAATAAATACATGGGTTTTATGTCACAATTAAAAAAAAAAAAAAAAAAGAATTGAAGGCTGGGCACAGTGGCTCACATCTATAATCCTAGCACTTTGGGAGGCCAAGGCAGGCAGATTACCTGAGGTCAGGAGTTCAAGACCAGCCTAGCCAAGATGGCAAAACCTCGTCTTTACTAAAAATACAAAAATTAGCCAGGCATGGTGGTGTATGCCTGTAATCCCAGGTACCAGGGAGGATGAGGCAGGAGAGTCACTTGAACCCAGGAGGCGGAGGCTGCAATGAGCTGAGATCACGCCACTGCACTCCAGCCTAGGTGACAGAGGGAGACTCTGTCTCAAAGGAAAAAAAGAGAGAGAGAGATGAAAATAATTAAGCAAGTGAACAGAAATATTTATAATAGTGAAAAAAACAATAAATGACTGATGAAGTTACAGAATACTCAAATAATGGGACGTTAGGAGTCATGAAAAACAGATATGGAAAGATAACTATAATATATTTAAGTTAAAAAGTAGGCTATAAAGCAGTATGTATCCATGATTATACTCCAATTTGAAATATATAATATGCATATGAGTAGCTATATATATGAACACACACTGACAAGTTATTAGCTTTTAGTATTACAAGCAGCTTTACTGTTTTTTGTTGTTGTTGTTCCCCAAAGTATAATGCCATTTATTAAAAACAAAACAGGGCCGGTCACCACGGCTCATGCCTGTAATCCCAGAACTTTGGGATGCTGAGGTGGGAAGATTGCTTGCACCCAGGAGTTCGAGGCCAGTCTGGACAATATGACAAAACCCCCTATGTACAAAAAATACAAAAATTAGCCAGGTGTGGTGGCACGTGCCTTTAATCCCAGCTACTTGACGGGCTGAGGTCAAAGGATCAGTTAAGCCCAGGAGGTCGAGGCTGCAGTGAGCTGTGATCACACCACTGCACTCTAGCGTGAGTGACAGTGAGATCCTGCCTCCAAAAAAAAAAAAAAAAAAAAAAGTGTTGCGATTACAGGTGTGCACCACTGTGTCTGGCCTGAGAATTGACATATTTAATATTACCTAATTTCACATTTTTAATTTTATTTTTTGAGATGGAGTCTTGCTTTGTCACCCAGGCTGAAGTGCAGTGGTGCAATCTCAGCTCACTGCAACCTCCGCCTGAGTTCAAGAGATTCTCCTGCTTCAGCCTCCCGAGTAGCTGGGATTACAGGTGCCCACCACCAGGCCCGGCTAATTTTTGTATTTTTTAGTAGAGACGGGGTTTCACCATGTTGGTCAGGCTGGTCTTGAACTCCTGACCTTGGGTGATCCACCCGCCTTGGCCTCCCAAAGTGCTGGGATATCAGGCGTGAGCCACCACACCCGGCTCTAATTTATTTTTATTTTTCAACTTTTATTTTAGGTTCAGGGAGTACAAACATGTGCAGGTTTGTTACATGGGTAAATTGCATGTCACTGGGGTTTGGTATACAAATGATTTCATCACTCAGAAAATGAGCATAGTACTATCCGATAGGGCTTCATTCTGAATTTGTTGGGTTTTTATATCCAACATTATTACTTTTACAATTGAGTATAAAAAAAAGAAATTTCAGCCAGGCGAGGTGGCTCACACCTGTAATCCCAGCACTTTGGGAGGCCGAGGCAGGTGGATCACGAGGTCAGGAGATAGAGACCATCCTGGCTAACACGGTGAAACCCCATCTCTACTAAAAATACAAAAATACAAAAAATTAGCCGGGTGTGGTGGCAGGCGCCTGTAGTCCCAGCTACTTGGGAGGCTGAGGCAGGAGAATGGCGAGAACCCGGGAGGCAGAGCTTGCAGTGAGCCGAGATCACGCCACTGTACTCCAGACTCCGTCTCAAAAAAAAAAAAAAAAAAAAAAAGAAAGAAAGAAAGAAATTTCATTTCCCAAGGTAAAGCTCTTCATGGAAAAAAGACAAAAGTGCAAGTTCAGTAAATTCATAAGATAAATACAACAGACCTTTAGCACATGAAAGTACTCATGAGAAATGACAAAACAGGGTGGGAGGAGGGTGAGGATCGAAAAACTACTTGTCAGGTACTATGCTTATTACCTTGGCGACAATCTGTATACCAAACCCCATGACCCGCAATTTATCCATATAACAAACCTGCACGTGTACCTCCGAATCTAAAATAAAAATTGGGAGGAAAAAAAAAAAAAAGAAATGGCAAAATACAAATTAAAACAGGATCACATTTTTTACCTATGAAATTGGAAAAAAAATATATTATGCGCTACATTGATGAGATGGTCAAAGAAATACTCACTTGTTACGGTAATGGCAGAAATACAAATGCGTCCAATCTTTATGAGGTGTAAGACAATTTGGCAATTAAGTATTAAGAGCATTAAAAGCCATGTTTATATTTAGCCCAGCAATCCTCAGCCCAGCAATCTAATTCTAGGAATAAATTGTAAGGAAACAGGGATGCAAGCAAAGATTTAACTACAAGAAATGTTCAATACTGAATTTATATTGAAAAAAAATTTTAAACAATCTAGATATCCAACAAAAAGATTATTAATCATATCTATGTAATAGAATACTACAAAATCTTTAAAGTGTTGAATTATATTTATTAAGACTGGGAAAATGGTTATATCATTCAGTGAAGAACAGATTACACAACAAGGTGTGCAATAGGTTAAACACTATCTCCCCAAAATTCACGTCCATCCAGAACCTCAGAATGCAACCTTATTTGGAAATAGGGTCTTTGCAGATGTAATCAGTTAAGATGAGGTCATACAAGATTAGGGTGGGCCTTAAATCCAACTGACTGGTATCCTTATAAGGGGAAGGAGATTTGGAGACACACAAGGAAAGCCATGTGACTAATAAGGCAGACACTAGAGTGATACAGCTACAAGCCAAGGAAGGCCAAAGATTGGAAGGAGCCACCAAAAGCCAAAAAGAGGCAAGAAGGGATGCTGCCCTAGAAACTTCAGAGGGATCATGGACCTGCTAACACCCTCAAATTGGAACTTCTAGTTTCTCAAACTATAAGGAAGTTAATTTCTGTAGGTTTAAGCCACCCAGTTTGTGTTGTTTCTTAAGCAACACTAGGAAACTTATACAATGTGTGAAACACAGTAATCAGAAGCACAGGCTACTTATGTTTGAATTCCATTTCCACCCATGTGACTTCAGGTTATTTAACCTCTCTAAGCCTCTTTTCCTTTTGTAAAAAATGAGGATGACAATATTCATTTCCTAGAATTATTGTATTAAATTATACATTAAATATAAATCACTTAAAACAGTATCTAGAATATAGTAAATGCCCCACTTTTATAAAGCAAGCACAAGTACAACACACACACAAAATATGTTATTAGAATATACATATAACAAAAGGTTAACATTTTTATCTCTGGGTCCCATTATTATCGCTTATTTTTTTGTTTATTTGTTTTGTTTACCAGTTCTTTCTAATTTATCTGCAATGAACATAAATCATGTCTTTTTTTGTTTTTTTTGGAGACAGAGTCTCGCTCTGCTGCCCAGACTGGAGTGCAGTGGCGCCATCTCGGCTCACTGAAACCTCTGCCTCCTAGGCTCAAGTGATTCTCCTGCCTCAGCCTCCTGAGTAGCTGGGATTACAGGCACCTGGCTAAATTTTGTATTTTTAGTAGAAACAAGGTTTCACCACGTTGGCCAGGCTGGTCTCGAACTCCTGACCTCAAGTGATCTGCCTGCCTCGGCCTCCCAAAGGTGTGAGCCATCACGACTGGCCTATTTTTTATTTTTATATTTTTTTCTATTTTTTTTAACTTTTTGCCAACATTCGGATCCTAACAATTTTTTTTTCTTCAGAGCAGGAGTGAAAGTTTATTTTAAAAGGCTTTAGAACAGGAAAGAAAGAAAAAGTACACCTGGAAGAGACCCAAGCAGGCAACTTGAAGGACAAGTGCTGTTTATGTCATAAAAAAATACAATCATTTTAAAAATTTAAAAATAAGGTAGGGCTTCCCTGTCACAGTTGCATGCAAACCCCAACCCCCAGCCAGTGGTTTCCACTCTTCTCAAGGCCTGTTATCAAAGGGTTTAAAAAAAAAAGTAAAAAATAAAATTTACTTTAGAAAATAAAATGCTGACCAGAAAGCACTTTAGAAGCACATCATGTATCATTCAATCAATCATTAGAAGGTGGTTGCTTCATAAGAGGCTGACCTCTTATGAATCACTGACCTCAAGCACAATAATTCAAGTGTGAACCCTCAGAAACACTTGACAGACCTCAGGCTCAAAACACACTAAAAAAAGCACAACTATTCATTTTAAAAGGTGGGTTTTTTAAACCTCAATACATAGTGGGGCTGACCCTCTATATTTGGGAATAAACTGCCCCCCCTCCCAAGACAAACATTAACTTTGGCAAATGAGAACACCATTTACTAAATCAATTACCCTTCCAACAAGTGAAAAACGTATTCATCTTCTCTGCACAAGGTGATTTAGAAAGAGTTTAAACCCTTTCACCGGGTGTGGCGGCTCATGCCTGAAATCCCAGCACTTTGGGAGGCCAAGGCAGGAGAATTGGTTGAGCTCAGGAGTTTGAGACCAGTCTGCCAACATAGCAAGACCCCGTCTCATTTTAAAAATAAAAAAATAAAAATAAAGAGTTAAACCTTTTCAGTTTTAGTCCTGTTGCATTTTGGGTTTCTTGTTCTCCAACAATATTGTAAATAATATTGTCAGACGAGCTTACTACTAGATAGTTTACTTATTAACAAAGCAAAACTAAGTTTTAATAAAATTATACATAATTACTGGGTAAGAATTTGTTGCTTAATCAGAAGGGATTTTACTATATTTCAAATGACCAAAGTCCACCACTACATTTTTTTTTTTTTTTTTTTTTTTTTGAGACAGAGCCTTGCTCTGTCTTCCAGGCTGGAGTGCAGTGCTGCGACCTCAGCTCACTGCAACTCTGCCTCCCAGGTTCAAGCGATTCACCTGACTCAGCCTCCCAAGTAGTTGGGATTACAGGTGCATGCCACCACACCCCACTAATTCTTATATTTTTATTTTTTTACTTTTTTTTTTTTTTCTAGAGACGGGGTTTCACCATGTTGGCCAGGCTGGTCTCGAACTCCTGACTTCATGATCCGCCCGCCTGGCCTCCCAAAGTGCTGGGATTACAGGCATGAGCCACCACGCCCAGCCTTGTCTGTTTTAAGACAGGGTCTTGCTCTGTCACCCAAGCTGGAGTGCAATGGGGCAATCTCAGCTCCCTGCAACCTCTGTTTTTTTTTTTTTTTTTTTTTTTTTTGAGACAGTCTCGCTCTGTCGCCCAGGCTGGAGTGCGGTGGCGCGATCTCGGCCCACTGCAAGCTCCGCCTCCCGGGTTCACGCCATTCTCCTCCCTCAGCCTCCTGAGTAGCTGGGACTACAGGCGCCCGCCACCAGGCCCAGCTAATTTTTTTGTATTTTTAGTAGAGACACGGTTTCACCATATTAGCCAGGACGGTCTCGATCTCCTGACCTCGTGATCTGCCCACCTCGGCCTCCCAAAGTACAGGGATTACAGGGGTGAGCCACCGCGCCCAGCCAATCTCTGTCTTCTGAAGTGATCCTCTCATCTCAGCCTCCCAAGTAGCTGGGACTACAAGTGCACGCCACCATGCCCAGCTAATTTTTGTATTTTTTGTAGAGTTGGGGTCTCCCTATGTGGCCTAGGCTAGCCTCAAACTCCTAGACTCACACAATTTGCCTGCCTCGGCCTCCCAAAGTGCTGGGATTACAGACATGAGCCACCACACCCAGCACATTGTTAATTCTTTAAAATATCGATCCTTTTGTAGTCCATAAGCGTGATGATTGAGTGTTCACACTTATGTGAGACACGTGCCCTCCCTCAAACCTTGTTATGACATTGGCACATTATTTCTCTGATGTGAAAAAAAATAAAGTTAAAAAAAAAATCCAGTCAGAGCAACACAGGGAGACCCCATCTCTAAAAAAATTTTAAAAATTAGCCAGGCATGGTGACACACATCTGTAGTCCCAGCTATTTGGGAGGTTGAGATGGGAGGATTGCTGTTACCCCAACAAAAAAAAAACAAAAACAGGACGTTGCCTATAAAAACCTACCTTTTTGACCCTGTCTCAAAAAAATATATATATACACACACACACATATAAATACACACGTGTGTTTATGTGTATTTGTATATATGTGTATGTGTATATATATGTATATATGAACAGCCTATCCAAGTACCTTGACAACTAAATTCAGTTCCCACTCAAACAATGGAGGTATAAGGGCCTTGTTATCTACTACCCTGAAGAGCAAAGACAATCAAAAGCAATAACCACAGCTGTTTAAAGGTTTATATATATAATTTTACATACATATTCATGCATAGAAAATTCTGTTATATATATGCACATATATACATATATATATACATATATATACATATATATATACATATATATATACATATATATACATATATATACACATATATATATACATATATATATACATATATATATATATACATATATATATATACATATTGCACAGAATATTCTGTGCAATGGGGCAATCTCAGCTCCGAATATAATGCACAGAAAGGTCTGAAGAAATTGTTAGCAGTGGCTATATCTGGAAACAGGAGGGGTTTATACTTCTCATCTTTAGTACAGGGGTTACAAATGAGTAGCCCAAGGGCTACATTCTGCCTGCAGATGTGCTTTATATTTGGTCTTCAGTGTTTTAAAAATACTTGAATTAATTGCCAACATTTAAAAATCAGGATATTTCAGCTGGTCACAGTGGCTCATGCCTGTAATCCCAGCACTTTGGGAGGACAAGGTGGGCAGACAGCTTGAGCTCTGGAGTTTGAGACCAGCCTGGGCAACATGGCAAGACCCTGTCTCTACTAAAAATACAAAAACATAACCGGCCATGGTGGCAGGTGCCTGTGGTCCCAGCTACTTGGGAGGCTGAGGTGGGAGGATCACTTAGAGCCCAGGGAGGCATATGGGGGAGGGGAGGTTGCAGTGAGCAGTGATCCCGCCAATGCACTCCAGCCTGGGTGACAGAGCTCTGTACCCCACCCCCCAAAAAAACAAAAAACCAGGACATTTCCTATAAAAACCTATATTTTTTACTTCTCTTGAAAAAAAATAGAAAAATCTAACACTGGACCCCCATTCTAGCAGGGCAATATTTAAGGCAAATATCAGACATGCTCTTTATAAAGGCAAGGCTTTCCAGTTCACACACCTTCAATTGTTACCCATCTGGCACCTAAACATATATTAGTTTGCAACCCCTGTTTAAACTATTCTAAACTATTTGAACTTATTATGCGCTTATATGACTTTTTAAAGTTTTTCCTCAATGGAAACACAATGGCAATGATCTAAGAGAACTTTAGAGAGCTTACAAAATATTTTTGTCCATTCACATCTAAATTACTGAGTAACATAGGCATAAGAAAAAAATTAAGCCTTTTCTCCCATCTACCCTTACACATTACTTCAACAAATGTTTACTGAGCACCTATGTACAAAGTAGTGCGTAAGAGGCTTAGGGAGAAACAAAGGCTGTTAGGGGGCACTGTCCTCTTAAAAGTGTGTTTCTATACATAATAAACACTATAAAAAAGGAAAGAGTGGAGTTCAAAGAAGAGTACACTGCTAAGAACAGGATCAGTATGTCAATTTCAGAAAAACGATAGGACTTCTTCAGGTAGAAAGGAAAGAATAGCATTCTAAGTAGGAGAAACAAGTTTAAAATTGGGAGAGCAAAAGTTTACGTGGGAATGAGCAGCAGCCTAGTTTGAACACAGCAGAGAAAAGCAGAATATTCACTACAAAGATACGCCAGGAAAGGTAGAAGTAGGTAAACTGGGACCAGTCTTTGCAGGGTCCTAAATGAATGTCAAGCTAAAGCTTGCTGTTCTGTATCTGGGAAGCAACAAGGCCCTGTTAGAGGTTTCTAAGAAGGGTCTAGATTGAAGCTGTGATTTAGAAAGACTGATCTAGCAGTGGTATGTCCACAAAATAGACTGGAAGGAAGAAAGCCACTTGTAGAAAACCGATTTGGACTATGCCTATGTTACTCTGTTAAACTAGTAACATAATCTGCAAACTAAGGCGGTGGCAGTGGGAATGGAAAAAAAGAGACATTTGGGAAGTACACTGTCAAATCCAGGTGGAAATTAACTGGATTTAGCAAATGAACTGGGGTGTCCAGAAAAGAGAGGGCCTTAAAGATAACTCAGTTCAAGTCTAATTTCTGGGAGACCAAAAACTGGCTGGAGTAAGGAAAAGGATAAATTGACCTTTTATTATTTTTATTTTTTAATTTTTTTGATTTTTTATTTTTTTAAAGACTGAGTCTTGCTATGGAGTGCAGTGGCTATTCACAGATGTAATCCCACTACTGATCAGCACGGGACTTTTGACCTGCTCCATTTCTGACCTGGGCTGGCTCACCCCCTCCTTAGGCAACCTGGTGGTCTCCTGCTCCCGGGAGATCACCATACTGATATCGAACTTAGTACAGACACCCAAATGGCATAGCACACTACAGCCCAGAACTCCTGGGCTCAAGCAATCCTCCCGCCTCAGCATCCCAAGTAGCTAAGACTACAAGCGTGCACCACCGCGCCTGGCAAATTGACCTTTTAAACACATCTAGTTTTGAATGCCAACAGAACATTCATAAGTTTCCTGCCCCAACCAGAAAATCCTGCACACTTTTTTTCTGCCCAACTTTTAGTGATGGCTGAAGAGAATAAAATATATATTTACTAAAAGTAAAGGATATATTTAATACAGAGCTAATGAGAGGCCAGTCCCAGAGCAGAAACATGATCAAAATTAAGCTCCACAAAATCAAGCTGGTTCCCACCTCATACCATACACAAAAATTAATTATACAAAATGGATATCCATATACAAAATGGACCAACAACCTAAATATAAAGAACTAAAACTATAAAACTCTTAGCAGAAAACAAAGGGATAAATCTTCATGACCTTGGATTTGGTAATGAATTCTAAGATATGACATCAAAAACACAAGCAAAGAAAAAAAGAATTGATATGGACCTCAGCACATTAGAAACATTTGTGAATCATAGGACATTGTCAAGAAAGTGAAAAGACAGCCTACAGAATGGGAGAAAACAGTGCAATTTATATACCCAATAAGGATTTCATATCCAGAATATATAAAGACTTCTTACAGGCCAGGTGTGGTGGCTCACACCTGTAATCCCAGCACTTTGGGAGGCTGAGGTGGGCGGATCATGAGGTCAGGAGATCGAGACCATCCTGGCTAACACAGTGAAACCCTGTCTCTACAAAAATACAAAAAAATTAGCCGGGCGTGGTGGCGGGCGCCTGTAGTCCCAGCTACTCAGGAGGCTGAGGCAGGAGAATGGCGTGAACCCAGGAGGCGGAGCTTGCAGTGAGCCGAGATCGCGCCACCGCACTCCAGCCCGGGCAACAGAGTGAGAGTCCGTCTCAAAGAAAAAAAAAAAAGACTTCTTACAACTGAACAACAAAAAGACAACCCAATTTAAAAATGGGCAAAGCCTTTTTGCGCTGACAGTGCTCCAGCAAACATAATGAACATTCCTAAAAGCCACCAGACTTTCTATAAGAAGTATGGCAAACACCAACCCCACAAAGTGATACAGTATAAGAAAGGCAGGCCGGGCGCGGTGGCTCACGCCTGTAATCCCAGCACTTTGGGAGGCAGAGGCGGGCGGATCACGAGGTCAGGAGATCGAGACCACGGTGAAACCCCGTCTCTACTAAAAATACAAAAAATTAGCTGGGCGCAGTGGCGGGCGCCTGTAGTCCCAGCTACTCGGGAGGCTGAGGCAGGAGAATGGCGTGAACCCGGAAGGCGGAGCTTGCAGAAAGCAGCATTATGACAGGAAGCAGGGTAGCTATGGTGGGCAGACTAAGCCAATTTCCCAGAAAAAGGTTAAAACTATAAAGAAGATTGTGCTGAGGCTAGAGTGCATGGAACCCAACTGCAGATGTAAAAGAATGCTAGCTTCTAAGACATGCAAGCATTTTGAACTGGGAGGCGATAAGACGAGAAAGGACCAAGTGATACAGTTCTAAATGTCATCTTTTATTTTATTATGAAGACAATAAAATCCTGAAGTTAACTTCACTCCATCTGGTTGCTCTTGGTCTTTTGGGAGGGAATAAACTAGAGCCATCAACAAAATTCCCCTGGGGGTGGGGGAAAGAAAATGCACAAAGGACTTAAATGGTTATTTCTCCAAAGAAGATATACAAATGGCCAAAAAGCACATAAAAATATGTTCGTATAATTAGTAATTAGAAAAATAAGAATCAAAATCATAATAAGGTACCAATCCATACCCACTAAGATGGCTATAGTTTTAAAAAGAAAAATATTGGCTGGGCGTGGTGGCTCACGCCTGTAATCCAAGCACTCTGGGAGGCCAAAGCAGGCAGGTCACCTAAGGTCAGGAATTTGAGACAGCCTGGCCAATAAGGTGAAACCCCGTCTCTACTAAAAATACAAAAAAAATTAGCAGGGCGTGGTGGCACACAGCTGTAGTCCCAGCTACTCGGGAGGCTGGGGCAGGAGAATCACTTGAATCCAGGAGATGGAGGTTGCAGTGAGCCGAGATTGCACCACTGCACTCCAGCCTGGGCAACAGAGCAAGACTCCATCTCCAAAAAAAAAAATATATATATATATATATTTATAAAATATATATTCCATTAAACTGGAAGTTTAAAAGAAGAAAGAAAAATAACAAGTGTTGGCAAAGATGTGGAGAAATTGCGACCAACTCATACACCGCGGTTGGGAATGTAAAATGATTCAGCCATCGTGGAAAAGAGTTTGGTGATTCCTCAAAAACAGATTGACCATATGACCCAAAATTTCCATTCCTAGATACATACCCAAAGGAACTAAAAAAAGGTACTCAAACAAATACAGGTACACGCACATATTCAAAACTTTACTACTCAGAATAGTCAAAAGATAGAAACACCCCAAATGTCTACCAACGAATGAACAGATGAAACAAATTGTGATATGTATATACAATGGAATACTATCAAGCCATAAAAAAAGAGTGAGGCCAGGGGTGGGGGTTGGGGGGTGGCTCATGCCTGTAATCCCAAAACTTTGGGAGGCCAGTGCAGGTGGATCCCTTAAGCCCAGGAGTTCTAAACAAGCCTGGGCAACATGGCAAAATCCTGTCTGTACAAAAAGCACAAAAACTGGCTGGGCATGGTGGCTCATGCCTATATCCCAGCTACTTGGGAGACTGAGGTGGGAGGATGGATTGAGCCCAGGAGTCAAAGCTAAGGTTAGCCATGATAGCGCCAGTGCACTCCAGCCTGGGCAACAGAATGAGACCCTGTCTCAAAAAAAAAAAAAAAAAATGAAGTACTGATACATACTACAACATGGATGAACCCTGAAAACATAATGCTAAATGAAAGATGCCATGGCAAGAAACTTACAGGCTTCATTAAAAGAAACCAAAAAAAAAGGCTGGGCACAGTGGCTCATGCCTGTAATCCCAGCACTTTGGGAGGCCAAGGTAGATGGATCACTTGAGGTCAGAAGTTCAAGACCAGCCTGGCCAACATGGCAAAACCCCATCTCTACAAAAAATACAAAAATTAGCCAGGCGTGATCTTGCACGCCTGTAATCCCAGATACTTGGGACGCTAAGGTAGGAGAATCGCTTGAATCCAGGAGGCAGAGGTTGTAGTGAGCCGAGATCACGCCACTGTACTCCAGCCTGGGCGACAACAACAACAACAAGATGCAGACACAAAAGGACAAATTCTATTTACATGACGTATCCACGGGAGGCTGAGGCAGGAGAATCACTTGAACCTGGGAGGCGGAGGTTACAGCGAGCCAAGATCACGTCATTTCACTCCAGCCTGGGCAACAAAAGTGAAACTCCATCTCAAAAAAGAAAAGAAAATATCCAGAATAGGTACATACATAGAGACAGAACTCAGACTGCTGGTTGCCAATGGCTGAGGAGAGAATAGTCCTTTACACCGGCTTAATGGGTGTAAAGTTTCATTTTGGGGTTATGAAAAAGTTTAGAAACAAGAGAGTGGTGGTGGTTGCACAACACTGTGAATGCGCTAAACACCACTGAACTGTTCACTTTAAAACAGTTAATTTTGCCAGGCACAGTACTGCACACACGTAATCCCAAGTACTCAGGTGGCTGAGGTGGGAGAATCACTTGAGCCTCAGAGTTCAAGGCCGTAGTGTGCTACATGATCATGCCTGTAAACAGCCATTGCACTCCAGCCTGGGCAACATAGTGAGACGTCTCTAAAAAAATTAAAATTAAATAAATGAAAATAAAATAGTTAATTTTACATGGTATCAATTTCACAATCTTACTTTAAAAATCAACAATATTCCAAATCAAAAATAAAAACCTTTTAAAAAATGTAATAGAGTACATAATACTCTATCACTGTTATGTAGCCCTTCCTTACCCTCTTCCTAAAACTACTATTTGACACACATTTATTTAAGGAAACCAATATTAATAGAAGTATTATCTCTATCATAAAGGAACTTTTTCCTAGATTTATACATATAAACCACAGCATAGATGAGAAACTCATTTAGCACGGGTGACTGAGAAATGGATTAACAGGCAAAGAAGGTAATACGTGATCAGGTAAGAGGTACAACTGATTTTCATATCTAGATTCTAATTTCATTTCATTGATTTGTGGTTATATCTTTATCTAGTAGGGTGTTTCTGACAATGTTGAGAAAATTAATAGGACATCATATTTTACAGAAATATTTTTCCCAAGTTACTTTTCTAGAAAACATCTGTTCCATCCATGGTGGATGCAAGTAGAATTCCAAAACATACACACTGCTCCCTGAAGATACCTGCAGGCAACCTAGGATGTTGCAATACCACAACTGCACAGCAGTAGCCTAATAGGAGGTAGAGAAACATTGTCTATATGCTATTAAAAGATATTTTATCTACTGCTATACTGAGAAATAAGGCCAATATTAACTCCTAAGTTAATGTATAAAAATCTAGAAGAGTTATTTGACTCTTGTTACTAATGCTAAACAACTTACAATGAACACCTAATGTAACACTGAACTGTACACCTTAAACTGATTAAAATGCGGGCCGGGCATGGTGGCTCACACCTGTAATCCCAGCACTTTGGGAGGCTGAGGCAGGCAGATCACCTGAGGTCAGGAGTTTGAGACCAGCCTGGCCAACATGGCAAAACCTTGATTCTACTAATAATACAAAGATTAGCCAGGCGTGGTGGCCCACACGTGTAATCCCAGCTACTTGGGAGGCTGAGGCACAAGAATCGCATGAACCCAGGAGGCAGAGGTTGCAGTGAGCCAAGATTGCGCCACTGCACTCCAGCCTGGGCGACAGAGTGAAACTATGTCTCAAAAAAAAATTAAAAATAAATAAATAAATAAATAAATTGATTAAAAGGGTAAATTTTGTTATATATATTTTACCACAAATTCTTAAAAAGTGAGGTAAGCTCTCCTCTGAATCTTGGTTTCCCATCAAAAAAAAGCCAATTAGACTACATTAAAAAATATGAACCCATTAAATTGAACATGTTTAAATTTTACATAGTTGAAAACTTTTAGTAATTTCAATTAATAGAAGCGTTCTGGCCTCTTAACAGAGTGTTTATTAGATATCCTCCACCTCCAAGGAGGACAAACACAAACGAAAAAGGCTTAAATTGTAGCAAGGAAGGTTTAAACATAATTCTAACCAGAAAGTAATTAAACATTATAATAAGGTATCATGCAAATCTCTGCCCGTAGGGATACAAGAATAGGACAGATGGCTATCTTAGAAGGGCTGGATGCAAATCTACAGGAAAAGTTGGAATAAACTAGGCTGGAGTGCAGTGGCGTGATCTCGGCTCACTGCAAGCTCCGCCTCCTGGGTTCATGCCATTCTCCTGCCTCAGCCTCCCCAGTAGCTGGGACTACAGGTGCCCGTCACCAGGCCTGGCTAATTTTTTTTTTGTATTTTTAGTAGAGACGGGGTTCCACCATGTTAGCCAGGATGGTCTCAATCTCCTGACCTCATGATCCGTCCGCCTCGGCCTCCCAAAGTGCTGGGATTACAGGTGTGAGCCACTGCACCTGGCCTAAACTAAAGAATCTCTTAAGTCAGTTTCCGGTTTTACAATTCCAAGTTCTGTATTCACAGCCCAATAGTATCTCTGAAAGACATTCCATCTATAGAACACTGCAGATATTAATCTACAAGTCATTTCAATTTGGTTTTAGATATTGGGTTTACTTTCACCATATCATTTATTCACTTTACATACTCACTTAGGAACTGAAAATTGACTACTTCTGTTAACAGACAGTTCCATCAATCTCCAGCAGCATGGCTGCCAGCTCAGGTATAAATGCTACAAACATGCTCAACTGAAAACAATATTTGGTTCTAAATTTAACAAATAGAGGCCAGGTGCGGTGGCCCACGCCTATAATCCCAGCACTTTGGGAGGCCAAGGTGGGTGGATCATTTGAGGTCAGGGGTTCGAGACCAGCCTGGACAAACATGGTAAAACCCCGTCTCTACCAAAAATACAAAAATTAGCCAGGTGTGGTCGTGGGCGCCCACAGTCCCAGCTACTCGGGAGGCTGAGGCAGGAGAATCTCTTGAACCCGGGAGGCAGAGGTTGCAGTGAGCCAAGATCGCACCACTGCACTCCGGCCTGGGCGACAGAGCAAAACTCTGTCTCAAAAAAAAAAAGAAGTATCTACACAATTTTGTCAACCTAAGACCAAACAAAATATGTGTTAACAGGGTAAAAGACTCACAAGGCCAAAACATTCCATTTAGTCAGTTTTTCAAAAATGACAAATTCTTACTTTTGATCACAAAAGCATAACCTTTCCAACTCAGGTTTTACTTTTATTTTATTTTTGAGACAGGGTCTCACTCTGCTACCTGGGCAGGAGTGCAGCAGCACAATCACAGCTCACTGCACCCTTCACCTCCCAGGCTCAATTGATCCTTCCACCTCAGCCTCCCACTTAGCTGGGACTACAGGTGAGCACCACCAAGCCCAGCTAATTTTTTTATTTTTGTAGAGATGGAGGTCTCGCTATCTTGCCTATGCTGGTCTCAAACTCCTGGGTTCAAGCAATCCTACTGCCCTGGCCTCCCAAAGTGCTGGGATTATAGGCGTGAGCTACTGCACTCAGACAGGTTTAATTTTAGAAGACTCAGGGTCTTCGCTTTTCAATAATGATTTTTAATTTACCACATTATTTTCTAATAGACAACTGAATGGTATTTATTACAACCCGAAGCAGGCACTTATGAAGTCATAGGAAGATTAATCATCTTCAATTCAACAGGTTAATCATCAGAGCAAGTTGAGAGATTTTTTTGTCAACCTGTATTAGGACTATGTCAACAGTTGCCCAGTTAGAAATTAAATGATGCGTAGAACAACACGTCTAGACTTTAGATTTTTACTTGGGCAACACACACAAATACTGTGATTAAGTATGCATGCATGCACATTATGTGTATATGTATTTACCTAGATTTCATTAATTATGATGGATGTTTGTTTGAAAAAAAAATATTGGCTGGACACAGTGGCTCATGTCTATAATCCCAACACTTTGGGAGACTAAGGCAAGATTGAGCCCAAGAGTTCAAGACTAGGTCTGGCAACATAGTGCGACCCATCTCTAAAAAAATGTTTAAATTGATCCTTTTGTAATTCAGATGCGTGATGATTGGGTGTTTACATGCATGTATGAGACGTGCCAACCTTGAATCTTGTTATATAACGTGCACATTACCCGTCTGACATGAGAAAAAGGAAAAAAATTAAATAAAAAGTAAAAAATAAAAAAATTAGCCAGTCATGGTGGCACGCATCTGTAGTCCCAGCTACTCAAGAGGCTGAGGTGGGAGGATTGCTTGAATCTGGGAGGTTGAGGCTGTAGTGAGCCACAGCTGTGCCACTGCACTTCAGCCTGGGAGACAGAATGAGACCCTGTCTCAAAAAAATAAAATAAAAATCTGTCAAGATGAATTAGGTAAACATAGGAATCAAAAATACAGTATTAGATTATGACGCTATCTTTCATAAGAAAAAAAAATGAAAAGCCTTCCTGCTTTTAGTTCACAAATGATTTTTCATTTTATAATCAAAGAAAATAAAGAACATGCCTTATGTAGCCAAAAAATAAGGTAATGTGACTTAAAGTTGAATTATCACTTAACTGCATGGATTTCTAAGAAGCTACTGACTTCCAACTTCTCAATTTCTCTAAAGCCAGAACACATTTTTTTTTCCAGACAGAGTCTTATTCTGTCGCCCAGGCTGGAGTGCAGTGGCATGATCACGGCTCACTGCAGCCTCGACCTCCTGGGCTCAGGTGATCTTCCTACCTCAGGCTCCCAGGTAGCTGGGGACTACACGCATGCACCACCACACCTGGCCCAGAACACATTTTCTTAACGGCTCACTCCTTTGCTCATATATGTAACTTGTTTTTATACAGAAATAACATGTCATCAACATATATGCTACTCCATGGCTTTGAGCATAAGTTTTTTATATAAAAACTCAAATAGAAGTTTTATTTTATTTTATTTTTTTTTTTTGAGACGGAGTCTCGGTCTGTTGCCCAGGCTGGAGTGCAGTGGCGCAATCTCGGCTCACTGCAAGCTCCGCCTCCTGGGTTCACGCCATTCTCCTGTCTCAGCCTCCCTCAAATACAAGTTTTATAATCCAACTATATTTTTAATTTTTTTTTTTGAGACAGCATCTCACCACTCTGTCACCCAGGCTAGAGTGCAATGGTGCGATTTCAGCTCACTGCAGCCTCAGCTTCCCAGGGTGATCCTCCCACTTCAGCCTCCCAAGTAGCTGGTACTACAGGTGCATACCATTAAGCCCGACTCATTTCGCTGTATTTTTTGTAGAGACAGGATCTCACTATGTCACCCAGGCTGGTCTCAAACTCCTGGACTCAAGTGATCCTCCTGCCTCACCTGGCCTCCCAAAGTGCTGGGATTATAGGCGTGCAGCCTTTTAAGTTATTTTTTTTCTTATCCACACTGGGCCTCACCTATTCACTTTCCACAACACCTAAGAAAAATCTTAGACATTAAATACATACCTCAAACATATAAAATTCATTACACTGCTTTTGTAGCCATAATAATTATACTAATAAAGACTGACTCTAAAGAACTTAAAACTTACTAGGGTAGTGTTTAAATGGTCCAATTCACAAGGGGTTGGGAGAAATAATGATCCTCTCCTACCAAACTAGCAGCAACAATATGCCAAGTTTCCTATGCTGAACTAGTGTAAACAAGGAAGAAAAAGAGCCAGAGGTGGGAAGCAGTCAGGCAAGAGAACTCTCTTCAAGATATAACTTTACTTCTAAATTTCACCAGAGTAATAGCTTTTCTCAGTGTGTTCAATAACCCATGTCTCTCTGACTAAACACCACAGGTTAGCTGTCAGAAAACTACAGTAGGCTATATTCCCTGCTTGAGATCATCAGACGTAACAGATACAAATGGAGATTACAAATGATTAATTCTAAAGACTATCTCCTGCATCCAGTCAAAGAGTTTTCTAAACATCTAGAAATTTAAACCTGCTCTTGCTGTAATAATTGACCTTAAAGATAAAATAGTAGGACCCATCAAAGATGATGCACAGAAAAAAAAAATGGCGGGGCATAGTGGCTCACACCTGTTCCCAGCACTTTGGGAGGCCAAGGCGGGTGGATCACATGAGATCAGGAGTTCAAGATCAGCCTGACCAATATGGTGAAACCCCACCTCTACTAAAAATACAAAAAAAATTAGCCGGGCGAGGTGGTGTGCACCTGTAGTCCCAGCTGCTGGGGAGGTTGAGACAGGAGAATTGCTTGAACCTGGGAGGCAGAGGTTGCAGTGAACCGAGGTTGCGTCACTGCACTCCAGCCTGAGCGACAGAGCGAGACTCCGTCTCAAAAAAAAAAAAAAAAAAAAATTTACACATTACCTTTGGTGCAGCCACGGCTACAACACTCCTACTAATAGATGAGCATCATCCAGGGTAGAACTAGGTAGGAGTGGGATAAAAAGTAGGCTTACAGCCTCTTTTCCAGCGTTGCTTGAGGCATTCAGTGGATAAGGAATAAAAGAGAGGTTGGTTGTGCAAGTGATGCCAAGAGAAACAAGATTCCACATGTCAGGAGACTGAATGCCCAACAGAGCAAAGGGCACTGAACCTTTTGCCTTTTGCCCAAAGAAATATTAGTTGCTTCACCTGAAATCCTTTCAAAGAAAGTCTAATCGTCTCCACTGCAACTCTGCCTCTGAGTGAATCCAACAACCTCTATTCAGAGTACAAGGGGAAGCGTTGCTTAACAACGACAGCAAGTGCTACTTCCAAAGCCAAGAAACACTCCTTTACGTCGGGTAGTCTTCTGTCCCAATTCAGCCTTCTACAAGGTGAAGCCAAAAATACTTGGCTCCCAGCCTAAGTTCTCCATTTTCCCAAACATCTGTCAACTTAGCTTTCTTTCAGATAAGCCCCTCTCCATTCCCAGCATTCTGGTGACCCCAGATGAACCCTCTGCCAGGAGTCCTGTCCCTTCAGAAAGTTCCTTCCCCCAAGATCATCTCATTTCCCCCACTTTTCCTAAGGTGGTTCCCAGGCCCTGTCCCAAGTCTAACACTCCGGGTCCTCCATGTGTCGATTTACTAGTAGATCCTACTCCTCCCTGGCATAACTCTCAAGAAAGTCATCTCCCTCACCATACCCCCTTGTCTTCCCCCATAATATCACCCCCTTTTCCCTATCTATCCTCAGATGGAAAGAGACAGACACATAAATTAATCTGTTCTCAGCTCCTAACTCCCAAGCTCTCCAGTGCTCAGGTTGTTCCACAGCACCTAATCCTTCCCTATAGTTTCCGCCCAATCCTGGCATCCTCAGCCCCTCACTCCAAACCCCAACCTTTTTCCCCACTCCCCAAATCCAGATCTCCTGTGCTTTTTACTCTCAGCCAACACCATAACCCTTTTCCTCCCAAGTCTACCCACTATGCCTGGATGCCCAAGTCTTTTCCCCTCATCCCACGTCCCTTGGCCCCTAATCCTCGAAAAACCTTAGGAGCTCGCCCCCACCATCTCCCTTCCGCCCCTCCTGCCTCCGTGGTCCCTAACTCTCCTTTAGCCCTGCTCAGCCCCCAAATACTCCCTATGCCCACGGGGCTCCCCGACTCGTCCTCCCCGTCCCGGGAAGGGGTGGCCCTCAGTACCCGCCTGGCTCGCCCTGCCGCCAAGCTCAAGTGTCCCTTCCCTTCCCCTCGGGGCCCCCGAGGCCGCTGCCAGCGCTGGCACTGCGGGGCCGGCTCACCAGTTGGTCATGTCCAGGAAGAAGGCGCAACCGGCAGGATTGAGCTGGAAGCCGAGCAGCCTCTGGAACTCGGAGATGAGCACGTCCTTGTCGGTGGTGCCCAGGCAGCTGAACTTCTGCATCAGCTCCGGGTCCAGGTCTACGTCCATGCCCTCCATGGCGGGGACCGGACACCCGCTTCCCCGCCTCTTCACAACCAAGCCGCCGCCGCGCCGCCGGGCCCGGGGACCTGGAGGGGGGCCGCTGCTAGCTAGCTTCGCGACCCCGCTCCTTTGAGGTAGGCCCCGGGCCTCTCACAGTCTCATAGGGGTAAACTCACTCTGCCACTCACTCACTCTCCCCCCCCTCCCACCCCCCCCAGCTCCGCCGCCTCCGCCGCCTCTCGCCTCTCGCCACTCCGCCGCCTCCGCCTCCTCCCGCGCCGCGCCCACTGCGCAAGCGTCGCCCGCCCAGGCCCCGCCCCTTCCTCTCCCGGACGCCCGCCTCTTAGTGTCGTCACAAACTCGTGACGTCCCCGCGTGACCTCACCGCTGCGGGGCGATGGAGCGAAAAGTAGGAAGGAGGAAAGAGATGGTCCAGCCGTGGGGGGCGGGGGAGGCTTCTGGCCAGACCATTACTCCGCCCCGTCCCCACCCTCAAGGAGAGCCGTTAAAGCCTGGGGCTGCGGGAGAAGTTGAGGGATTTTCGTTTATAACAACTCTACCATTTTGCAGGTGAGGAAACTGAAGTCCCGGGAGAGACAGTGGCAAGGTCAAGTAGCAAAGTGCACTCAGCCCTCCCAGCAAGGAGTCTGCCACTCGCGCTTGAAGGACGTGTTTGAAGAGCTGCTTTCCCAGTGGGATGCTGCCTTAAAGTCTTGATTCCCTGGCACTCTTTCCTATTACTACATTTTATCGGTGCTGTTTGTGTTATGCAACGGTAGCATCGTGTCTCCGGAAGATAAAAAAGGTCTCGATACAAACATCCATAACCTTCCACCCACTCCGTCAGGAACAACCCAATCAAAATAAAGTCATGAGAATTTAGCATGCCTTGTTCTGTGTTTAAAATAGAAGACAAAGTATTTCTGTATATATCGTACACCTTCCCGGTCAAGGTCTGTCAAAGAATGAGAAAGGAAGCATAGAGACTATCTTGTCTACCCTCTTCTGTTAGGAAATGTTTTTGAAATATCGCGAATTGCCCAGCACTGCTAGATCCAAGGCGGGGAGGGGTGGGGGGGGATGAGTGAGAAATGGTCTTCTGCCTTCAAGTAGCCCCCTATTTTGCAAATAAGGGAAGTAAGCTTACGTGCGTTGTCCAAAAAATACAGAGCCCCAAAACTAGAACCCAGGTTTCTGGTTCCTTATGAAGTGTGTTTTCCACAATTTCAATAACAGCTGGAATAAGTAGTAATGTGTCGGGGGCCAGGATGTTTTGGAAAGGGAACGCATTCTACCTCCTCTGTCCCACTACCAAGAGAGTAAACTACAGTGGCTTAAAAAGCCTAGGTTCTGGAGTCATGCACATTTGGGACTGAGAGGTGAACATGTTTTGTCCCAATCTTTTGGATAATGCAATAGAGACAGAAAGATTATAAAAATCTCAATGTAATAACTGAAAGGAACTGAGACTGTCGAGTCCAACCTCCCCATTCTACAGATGAAGACATTGAAATGGAGAGAGCGGAAATGACTCACTCAAGATTACACAGCTGGAAAGTGGGTTCCAAACTCCCAGTTTAGCACTCCATTCACTATACCCTGCTACATTCCCTTTCTACATTAAGTTCAATTGGGGCCTTACACAAAAATTAAAAATTTGACCCAAGAACTAATTTGATGTTAGGACCATAGACTTCTAGAAAGTGTTTTAACTTGCAGTATCCATGGATGAAAATTGTGTTGACCAAGGATCCAAAAAAAGATATTATTGGAACCTGGTGACTCCATCAGAATGCTGATTCAGGGAAAAATTCAAAACTCTCTGTCAATCCCGTACAGTACTAAGGTCTTAGCCCACACCTAAACGCTCTACATAATTCAATTTTTTTTTTTTTGAGACAAGATCTTGTTCTGTTGCCCATGCTGGAGTGCAATGGTAGGATCACGGCTCACTGCAGCCTTGAACTCCTGGGATCAAGCAATCCTCCCACCTCAGCCCCCCAGGAAGGCGGAACTGCAGGTGGGCGCCACCATGCCCGGCTAATGTTTTTTTTTTCAACTTTCTTTAGAGACAGGGTCTCACTGTGTTGCCCGGGCTGATCTCAAACTTCTGGGCTTGAGAGATACTCCTGCCTTAGCCTCCCAAAGTGTTGGGATTACAGGCATGAGCCACTATGCCCTAACATTTTTATGTAATAAATAAAAAGCTATTAAGGTCAATGAGGAGGTGGGAGGATAGCTTGAGCCCAGGAATTCGAGACCAGCCTAAGCAACATGGTGTGACCACCACGCCACAAAAAATTTAAAAATTGATCACACGTGGTAGTGCTCACCCATGGTCCCAGCTACATGGGAGGCTGAGGAGGGAGGATCATTTGAGCCCAGGAGGTTGAGGCTACAGTGAGCCATGTTCCTGCCACTGCACTCCAGCCTGGGTGACAGGAGATGCTGTCTCAAAAAAAAAAAATTAAAAAAATTTACATATAAAAATAAAAAGATCCATAAAATTTTATTTTATTGTAAAATAAAATTTACAATAAAAATAAAAAGATCAATAATGGGAGGATCACTTGAGGCCAATAGTTTGAGACCAGCCTGGGCAGGCAGTGTAGCAAGACCCCATCTCTACCAAAAAATTTTAAAAATAGCTAGGTTAACTGGTAGGCACCTGTAGTCCCACCTGCTCCAGGTGGTTGAAGCAGGAAGATAGCTTGCACCTAGGAGTTTGAGGCTGCAGTGAGCTGTGATCGTGCCACTGCACTGGAGCCTAGGCATCTGAGCAAGACTCAGTCTCCCTTTTTTTTTTAGGCAGAGTCTTGCTCTGTCGCCCAGGCTGGAGTGCAGTGGCGAGATCTCGGCTCACTGCAATCTCTGCCTCTGAGGTTCAAGCAATTCTCCCGCCTCAGCCTCGCAAGTAGCAGGGACTACATGTGTGCACCACCATGCCCAGCTAATTTTTGTATTTTTTGGTAGTGACGGATTTTCACCGATGTTGGTCAGGCTGGTCTGAAACTCCTGACTTCAAGTGATCTGCCATCGGCCTCCCAAAGTGCCGGGATTACAGGCACGAGCCACCTTGCCTGGCGAAGACTCTGTCTCTTAAAAATGTATATATTAAAGACTTGAAAATGAATGAAAATATTTTAAACTTCATGAATAATTAGGATATGCAAATTAAAACAAAGATACATTATCATTCTTACATATTTTTACATTTTTACATAAACAAGGTATTTTTAGTATAAATACGTCCCATACATTAACTAGGTGTCCTCTATTTTTATTTGCTAACTCTGGCAACCCAAACTATTGGGAATGTTTACTTTTATGTTAAGTTTCTATACTGCTTGAATGTTTACAGTGAGTATATATTAATTTGGTAGTTATTTTTTATTTTTTATTTTTATTTTTATTTTTTGTCCCCACGAAAGAAGACTTTTTTTTAAGGATAAACTTTTCAATGATTTTTTTAAAATGTTATTGGTGAGGTAAAAGTATATAGCTATTGGCCAAGCATGGTGGCTCATGCCTGTAATCCTAGCACTTTGGGAGGTTGAGGCGGATGAATCACCTGAGGTCAGGAGTTCGAGACCAGCCTGGCCAACATGGTGAAACCCCATCTCTACTAAAAATACAAGAAATTGGTGAGGCGTGGTGGCTCACGCCTGTAATCCCAGTACTTTGGGAGGCTGAGGCGGGCAGATCACTTGGGGTTGGGAGTTCGAGACCAGCCCGACCAACACAGAGAAACTCCGTCTCAACTAAAAATACAAAATTAGCCTGGCGTGGTGGTGCATGTCTGTAATCCTAGCTACTCTGGAGGCTGAGGCAGGAGACTCACTTGAACCCGGGAGGCAGAGGTTGCAGTGAGCCGAGATCGCGCCATTGCACTCCAGCCTGGGCAACAAGAGCAAAAGTTGCTCTCAAAAAAAAAAAAAAAAGAAATTAGCCAGGCGTGGTGGCAGGCGCCTGTAATCCCAGCTACTCAAGAGGCTGCAGCAGGAGAATCATCACTTGAACCCAAAAGACGGAGCTCACAGTGAGCTGAGATCCCACCATTGCACTTCAGCCTGAGCAACAGAGCGAGACTGTCTCAAAAAATAATAATAAATATTATTTTTATTTATTTATTTTGAGACAGTCTCGCTCCATTGCCCAGGCTAGAGAGCAGTGGCCCTATCTGGGCTCACTGCAACCTCTGCCTCCAGGTTCAAGTGATTCTCCTGCCACAGCCTCCCAAGTAGCTGGGATTACAGGCGCCTGCCGCCACGCCTGGCTAAATTTTTTGTATTTTTGGTAGAGACGGGGTTTCACCATGTTGGCCAGGCCGGTCTGAAACTCCCGACCTCCGGTGATCCACCCACTTCGTCCTCCCAAAGTGCTAGGATTACAGACATGAGCCACCAGCCCCGGCCTTTATTATTATGTACTATTATTTTATTTTTTATTTTTTTCTGAGACAGAGTCTCGTTCTGTTGCCAAGGCTGGAGTGCAGTGGCACAAGATCTGCACTCACTGTAACCTCTGCCTCCCAGGTTCAAGCGATTCTCCTGCCTCACTCAGCCTCCTGAGTAGCTGGGATTACAGGCATTAGCCACCATGCCTGGCTAATCTTTTTTTATTTTTTGTAGAGGTGGGTTTCGCCATGTTGGCCAGGCTGGTCTCGAATTCCTGATCTCAAGTGATCTGCCGCCCGCCTCGACCTCCCAAGGTGCTGGGATTACAAAGCCTCTGCGCCCGGCTTGCCTGCCTGCCTGCCTGCCTGCCTGCCTTCCTTCCTTCCTTCCCTCTCTCTCTCTCTCTCTTTTCTTTCTCTCTCTCTCTTTTTCTCTCTCTCTTTTTTTCTTTCATCTAGCTCTGTTGCCCAGGCTGGAGTGTGCAGTGTGCAACAGTGCAATCTCAGCTCACTGCAACCTCCACCTCCTGGGCTCAAGCAATCCTACCACCTCAGCTTCCAGAGTAGCAGAGACTACAGGCGCATGCCACCACGCCCAGCTAATTTTTGTATTTTTTGTAGAGACAAGGTTTTGCCATGTTCTTCAGGCTGGTCTTGAACTCCTGAGTTCAGGCTATCCTCCTGCCTCGACCTCCCAAAGTGCTGGGATTACAGGTGTAAGCCACTGCACCTGGCCCTGTTTGTTTGTTTGTTTTACATTTTCCAAGTTTTGACAATAAGCATGTATTGAAGAATTTTTACCATACAATTTGCCTATGCTACGTTAAGTGAAGAAAACAGTATGTCACTTAATATACTATATGAACTTATCCACATAGCAAAAGATTGGAAATATTAATAATTATTAATAATAATTTTACTTTTCTTTTTTATACTTTCCCGTATTTAAATAAATAAATATGGCAGCGTGCAGTGGCTCACGCCTGTAATCCCAGCACTTTGGAAGACCCAGGCAGGCAGATCACCTGAGGTTAGGAGTTTGAGACCAGCCTGGCCAAGATGGTGAAACCTAGTCTCTACTAAAAATACAAAAATTAACCAGGTGTGGTGGTGCATGCCTGTAATCCCAGCTACTCAGGAGGCTGAGGCAGGAAAATCGCTTGAACCCAGGAGGTGGAGATTGTAGTGAGCTGAGAACCTACTATTACATTCCAGCCTGGGCAACAGAGGGAGACTTCGTCTCTAAATAAATAAATAGAACCGGGCAAGGTGGCTCACGCCTATAATCCCAGCACTTTGGGAGGCCAAGGCAGTAGGATCACTTGAGCTCAGGAGCTCAAGACCAGCCCTGTCAACTAGTGAGACAAAAATAAAACATAAGAACAACTAACCGGGGGCGGTGTGCACGCCTGTAATCCCAGCTACTGGGGAGGTTGAGGTGGGAGGATCTCTTGAACAGAGGAGGTCAAGGCTGCAGTGAGCAGAGATTGTGCCACTGCACTCCAGCCTGGGGCAATGGAGCAAGACCCTATCTTAAAATAAAATAAAATAAAATAAAATAAAATAAAATAAAATAAATATTCAAAAAGTTTCAACTGGCTGGTCCACTAAGAATCATGAGACAGAGGCCGGGCGCGGTGGCTCACGCCTATAATCCCAGCACTGTAGGAGGCCAAGGCAGGCGGATCACCTGAGGTCAGGAGTTTGAGACCAGCCTGGCCCACATGGCAAAACCCCGTCTCTATTAAAAATACAAAAATTAGCTGGGTGTGGTGCTGCGCGCCTGTAATTCCAGCTACTGGGGAGGCTGAGGTAGGAGAATCGCTTGAACCTGGGAGGTAGAGGTTGCAGTGAGCCAATATTGTGCCACTGCACTCCAGCCTGGGAGACAGACTGAGACTCCATCTCAAAAAAAAAAGAATAATGAGACAGAATTATCTCTATTATCTCTGTTAACATGGATGATCTTTAAAGCTTTTATTTGGGAAGCAAGAATTACATGTCAATTTTTTTAAACGTTTGGGGTCTTGCTTTTCCACCAAGACTGAAATGCAGTGGCAAAATAACTCACTCCAGCCTGGAATTCCTGGGCTTGAGCAGTCCTGCTGCCTCAGCCTCCCAGAGTGCTGGTATTATAGGCATCAGCCACCGTACTCAGCGTCACAATGTATTCTTAAATGATAAAAGATACCCAGCCGGGCGCGGTGGCTCACGCCTGTAATCCCAGCACTTTGGGAGGCCAAGGCAGGCAGATCACCTGAGGTCAGGAGTTCGAGACCAGACTGACTAACATGGTGAAACCCTGTCTCTACTAAAAATACAAAAGTAGCAGGGCGTGGTGGCATGCACCTGTAATCCCAGCTACTCAGGAGGCTGAGGCAAGAGAATCACTTGAACCTGGGAGATGGAGGTTGCAATGAGCCGAGATCGTGCCATTGCACTGCAGCCTGGGCAACAAGAGCAAAACTCTGTCTAAAAAAAAAAAAAAAAAAAAAAAAGATATGACAAAGCAGTAGTATTACATATGATTCAGTTTCTAAGACAGGTTCATGAATAAGTGTGAGAGAGATGTCTGGAAGGATATACTCCAAGGTATAACAATGACAATCTCTAGGTATGGACAATGATGGATATTTTAATATTTTTTGACTGTACTTTTTTAATGATCATGTAATAAAACATAAAGAGACACTTCATTTTGAAGAAAAGAAAATTGGATGGCCTGGGGAGCTTTTC
The DNA here is from genome assembly GCF_000001405.40 of Homo sapiens. NCBI lineage: Eukaryota > Metazoa > Chordata > Mammalia > Primates > Hominidae > Homo > Homo sapiens. The sequence goes on from NC_000006.12 coordinate 34,703,721, forward strand.
AAACATTCGTTCATTTTAATTCTGTATAGTCTCCCTGTCAAGGGAGAAACCTCAAAAGCTGCAAAGCCAAGGAAGCAGCTAACAATGAGATGGGCTATTCAGTTGAGCAAGCAAATGTCTGCGGGCTTACTATGAGAAAGGCTGAGTTGGGGACAGTGGTCCGGAAAGAGAACCCTTATTCTTTTGCTGTGTGACTGTGACCAAATTATACAGCTTCACTCTAGACCTTAGTTTCCTCATCTCTATACAGGGAATGCTGTAAAAAGTTCGAAAGAATAAGTCAAACAAAACCAAAAAGATGTTTGGAATTTGGGCGGGGCGCAGTGGCTCTCACCTGTAATCCCAGCACTTTGGGAGGCCAAGGCGGGTGGATCACCAGGTCAGGAGATTGAGACCATCCTGGCCAACATGGTGAAACCCCGTCTCTACTAAAAATACAAAAATTGGCTGGGCTTGGTGGCGCATGCCTGTAATCCCAGCTACTCAGGAGGCTGAGGCAGGAGAATCGCTTGAACCGGGGAGTCGGAGGTTGCAGTGAGCCGAGATCATGCCACTGCACTCCAGCCTGGCGACAGAGCGAGACTCCAACTCAAAAAAAAAAAAAGTTTGGAATGTAATGTATGGCTACAACTAGCACAAGCCAAAATTTCCATTCTGTGTTTGTTTCCCAGGAATGGAGGTTTAAATGAGGTAGGCATAAGCACTTGTAAATGTAAAATATTAAAGTCTTATATGACATTGGGAGAGACAAGGACATACATTTCTATAAATAACTATATAAAGGCAGGCAACCGTGCAAAGCTGCATATGTTCAAGTGCCAAATGGGAAGTAGACAACGAGGCTGTAGGACTTGGGAGGAGGGAAGAGTAAAGGGTAGGTTGGGGTGCCCAGAGATGCCTTCCAGGAGACTTGACCCAGGAGGCCTGGATGATTCTCCACAGAGTTTGAGGAACAGGCTAGTAAGGAAATGCATTATGACAAAGTCATTTAGAAGCTTTGAACGGCTCCAAGACCCTGGCTCTTATTTACTTATTTTGAGACAGAGTCTCACTCTGCCGCCTAGGCTGGAGTGCAGTGGTGTGATCTTGGCTCACTGCAACCTCTGCCTCCTGGGTTCAAGAGATTCTCTTGCCTCAGCCTCCCAAGTAGCTGGGATTACAGGCGCCCGCCACCACGCCTGGCTAATTTTTGTATTTTTAGTAGAGACAGAGTTTCACTATGTTGTCCAGGCTGGTCTCGAACTCCTGACCTCAGGTGATCCATCTGCCTCTGCCTCCCAAAGTGCTGGGATTGCAGGCGTGAGCCACTGTGCCCAGCCAAGACCTGGCTCTTTTTGCTGCTTCCTGTTTTCTGTACTGAACACAAAAACATACCTAGAAGTCACTCCAGGAAAAGGAAATGCAATCTAAGTTCTACCTGGGGGGGTATATTTTCTCTGGGAAGTGAATAGGTGAGGTTGAAGAGCAGCCCTCCACTTTCAATATCCTCCCAAAGCATGATGGGAAAGGACCAGACCCCCACATTTGGGGTTTTTCCAGTTCTTCTACCCTACTACCCTACTCAAAAGATACTCAAATGGGAGGCACCGGCCTATTGTACTATTTTTTCTTCTGGACAAAGCATCTGAGACCCTGGGTCTCTTTTTTCCTACTGTGGTGAATGGGAGAATGCAGACGAAAACCTGACTGTCTTTATCTCACGTCCCTTGGCCTAGATTCATCCAGAAGTAGTCCATTCTTCTTTTTCTTTTTTTCCCCCCTTCTCTTCTTGGCCCTTTTAGTTTGCCAAGTCAAACATCCTCCAAGTAAACATGAACTCCTTATCTCTCCCTCATGTTAAAAAAACAAAAACAGAAACCCACAGCCTCTCCCATTTTATTATAATCATTCTCTTCACTCTTTTTTACCAACTGGGTTCCAATGTGTATAACATCTTGCTGTCTGCATCTCAGGTAAAGTTAAGAAAGAAAAGGAGAAAAAAGGGAACAAATATTTAACGAACTCTCCAGTGTGTCAGAGTCCATCACATTAAGTACTTTGGTTCATTTAATTTTCACAACAAAATGAGATCATTATTATTATTATTCCAATTTGCAGATCAGGAAATAGAAATTAAAAGTTTAAATACTGTGTTCAAATTTTTATTATTTTTATAATAGAGACAGAGTCTTGCTATGTTGGCCAGGTTGGCCTTGAACTCCTGGCCTCAAGCAATCCTCCTGCCTCAGCCTCCCAAAGTGTTGGGATTATAGACATGAGCCACTGCACCCGGCCTCTTTCAATCCTAAGGATTTTACATTTTCACTGTGTTCAGCCTGCTTGTGTTTGTAAGGAGCCATCATTACTTTCTTTTATGAGATTACTTTGATGATTTTCAAGATCCTTTTAGAGGAGACTAAGCTAATAAATACTAATATTAATACCAATACCTTAGCCAGGCACAGTGGCTCATGCCTATAATCCCAGCACTTTGGGAGGCCAAGGCCAGCCTGGCCAACATGGTGAAACCCCACCTCCACTAAAAATACAAAAATTAGCTGGGAGTGGTGGCACGTGCCTATAATACCAGCTACTCAGGAGGCTGAGGCAGGAGAATCGCTTGAACCCGGGAGGCGGAGGTTGGGGTGAGCCAAGATAGTGCTACTGCTATCCAGCCTGGGCAACAGAGTGAGACCCTGTCTCAAAAAACAAAATAAAACAAAACAAAACAAAACAAAAAAATACCAATATCTTAAATTTATGTAACACTTGACAGTTTACTTTTATCCTTATTTTTTCTTTTCTTTTTTTTTTTTTTTTTTGAGATGGAGTTTCGCCCGTGTTGCCCAGGCTGGAGTCTAATGGTTCAATCTCGGCCCACCGCAGCCTCAATCTCCTGGGTTCAAGTGATTCTCCTGCCTCAGCCTCCCGAGTAGCTGGGATTACAGGCCTGTGCCACCACTCCCAGCTAATTTTAGTATTTTTAGTAGAGGCGGGGTTTCTCTATGTTGGTCAGGCTGGTCTCGAACTCCTAACCTAAAGTGATCCACCCACCTCGGCCTCCCAAAGTGCTGGGATTACAGGTGTGAGCTGCCATGCCCGGCCTTCCTTATTTTTTCATTGTTTTAATGTTTTATTTTCTTTGGCCATGTCACTAGTAATACCTTATAGTTTTTCAATATATCCATATATTCTCTTATCTCATTCTCAGGAAAAACAAAATTACATTGGCTTATTTTTTAATAGCTTTATTATTTTTGAAAGACTCATACATGCTTGTTGCAACTAAAATTAAGCAATATAGAAATTGTAAAAAAAAGAAAGTAAAAATCACCCTAAATCCCACTACTCAGAGATAACCACTGTTAATATTTGAGTAAATATGTTTTTCATCTGTTTCTCCATTTGTATAATGTGACTAAATGGGATCATACTCTGCCTTTCTAGGCTGCTTTTTTTCACTGAGAGTATGCTGACAACAGCTTTCCACATCAGTAAATATATATGCATGTCATTATTTATATTTATTTTAATTTTGTTTGTTTATTTTCTAGTTTTTGTTTTTGAGACAGGGTCTTGGAACCCAGGCTGGAGTGCAGTGGCACAATCATGGCTCACTGCAGCCTTGACCTCCTAGGCTCAAGCAATCCTCCCACCTCAGCCTCTAGAGTAGTTGGGACTACAGGCACACTCCACCAAGCTCAGCTAATTTTTTAATTTTTTGTAGAGATGAGATCTCACTATGTTGCCCAAACTGGTCTTTAACTCCTAGGCTCAAACAATCCTCCTGCCTCAGCTTCCCAAAGTGCTGGGATTACAGGCATGAGCCACTGCACCCAACTCCATTATTATTTTTAATGATTGTATAGTATTCCAATTTAAGGATACATTTCCCTTGACCAGTGACCTGTTGATGAAGTTTGAGACTACTTCCAATTTCTGATTGTCATAAGAAATTATTAGCCCTAATTTAAAGATTAGGGAATTGAAGCTCTGAAGAAGCTAAATGACCCTCTTTTCAAAATTCAGGTCTAGAACTAAGCTACTTGGGCCAAGCCCCAGATTTCTGACTTTTTTTTTTTAAGACGAGGTCTCACTATGTTGCCCAGGCATGTCTTGAACTCCTGAGGTCAAGGGGTCCTGGCCCAGACTTCTGACTCAAAACAGTTCTCTCTCCAAATGAACCACAAGAATAGAAAGCTGGAATTCTTGAAATATAATAGGAGTTGACATTCTTGACATATAATATAGAATTGACAACAAAAAATGAGATGTTTTTAACTGTCCCATTTCTTTTTGTTTCCTTTTTTAATCAGTCTACATCATACTTTGATGCCCCATTTCTTTAAAAGTTAAGCATATGCTTACGCTTACTGCAAAACCAAAATATTCTGCTCCTATCTATTTACTCAAAATAAATGAAAGCATATGTCTGTACAAATACTTGTACATGAACATTCATAGCAGGTTTTTTTTGTTTTCTGAGATGGAGTCTTGCTCAGTTGTCCAGGCTGCAGTGCAGTGGCGCGATCTCAGCTCAGTGCAACCTCCGCCCCCTGGGTTCAAGCAATTCTTCTGCCTCAGCCTCCCAAGTAGCTGGGACTACAGGTGTGTGCTACCACACCCGGCTAATTTTTGCATTTTTAGTAGAGAGGGGGTTTCACCATGTTGGCCAGGCTGGTCTTGAACTCCCGACCTCAGGTGATCGGCCCATCTTGGCCTCCCAAAGTGCTGGGATTACAGGTGTGAGCCATCGCACCCGGCCCATTCATACCAGTTTTATTTGCAGTATTCAAGTAATGGAAACAACCTAACTGTTCATCAATAAGCAAATGGATAAACAAATTGTAATATGCCCACACAATGGAATACTACTCAGTAATTGAAAGGAATAAACTATTGATAGGTACAGCAACATGGATGAATTTCAGAAACATATTGAGCAAAAAAAGCCAGACACAAAGGAATATATACTGTGTAATTCCACTTATATGAAGTTCAAGAATAGGTAAAACTGAGCTATAGTGATGAAGTGACCCCAGTGGTGCCTCGTGGTGCAGGGAAGCTTGGAGGGGGCCCAGAGAATTGACTGGAAGGGGCATGAGTGGATCTTTTGGGTTGGGTTAATGGAATTGTTCTATAGCTTAATTGTGGTAACAGTTACATGGGTATATGCATTTATCAAATCTCATCAAACTGTACACTTTTTTTTTTTTTTTTGGAGACAGAGTCTCGCTCTGTCACCCAGGCTGGAGTGCAGTGGTGCAATCTTGGCTCACTGCAACCTCCACCTCCCAGGTTGAAGCAATTGTCCAGGCTCAGCCTCCCAAGTAGCTGGGATTACAGGTGCACACCACCACGCCCAGCTAATTTTTGTATTTTTAGTACAGATGGGATTTTGCCATGTTGGCCAGGCTGGTCTAGAATTCCTGACTTCAAGTGATCCACCCACCTCGGCCTCCCAAAGCGCTGGGATTACAGGCATGAGCCACCACGCCCTGCCAAACTGTACACTTTAAATGGGTGAACATTATTGTATGTAAATTATATTTCAACAAAGTGTTGTTTTTTACCTGGCCCTTTGGTTTTGTTACCATGAAGTATACTGCATGTGGCAGAGATAAACGTTTGGCATAAACAGAAAATATCTGTGAATGAATAATTTTATATATATATATATATAAAAGGATAAATGGCAGTCATCTGGTCCTTTCCCAGTAATAGGAGTCACTTATCAGAAAAATAAATTGTCTGCATGAACTTGACCCTGGAAAGATGAGACACAGTTCGGCTCTACATGCGTGGGTAGTGCTGCTCTGGCTGGACATGTGACAGCTGGCAGGGGGCCCTCGGCAGTGGGCCCAGGCAGGCATCTGGGTAGGGGCGAGGCCTCAGGGAGCAAGGAAGGCCTCAGCCCTCCCCTTAGCATACATTTTTCAAGGGCAGACCTGCCTAGGAGGGTCACATGTCTGACGCCTTTGCCAGGCCTCCAAACATAGAAAAGCTGCAGGGTTCTATGAAAAATGAAGCCTTTGTGTCAAAAATAGACCTTCAAGGAGAAAATTAAAAGCTGTTTCCTGAAGCTAGGCAAAGGGGAGCTATCCTGGAAAGGAAAATGCCTGGAAAGCAAGTTTGAATTTTGAAGGACCATGCTAACAAGTGATGATAACCCAGGGGCCTCCTCTCAGAGACCCCGTAGAATTTCACTGGACTCATTTGCCTCCAATCTCCTCGAATCTCACACTGCAGAACTTCTGGGATGATTTAAAGTGAGTTTCTACAGAAAAGGAAAAATCAAGTGACTGTCAGGTGCTTAACTGGTTAGGAACATCGAAGATGGCTGCTTGATAAAGAAAGCAAATCAGAACAAAACAGAAAGCCCTAAACAGGAATCGCTAGAAAGGAACTCTTTGTAACTGATAATAGCAGCCTGCTGTAAAGGCATCCCCAAAGGTAAAATGCTCATTTCCTCCACAAAAGAGTGTGTGTGTGTGTGTCTCTGTGTGTGTCTGTGTGTCAGAGAGACAGAGACAGAATGAGGTGGAAGAGGCCAAGACTAGAGAGAATAAGTGAATATTTCCTTTCTCTCTCCAGACCTCATGTGGCCAAAAGCTAAACAGGTCCATAATCAGCACACTATTGACCTATCGTTGTGTGTATCCTTAAGCTAGTATCTCAAGGGTCTAATTCCCTAAATCACAGTCACTTGGGAGCAGGTGGGTCTTGTTAAAAATGCCCATTCTTGGCCGGGCGCGGTGGCTCACATCTGTAATCCCAGTACTTTGGGAGGCCGAGGTGGGCGGATCACGAGGTCAGGAGATCAAGACCATCCTAACTAACACGGTGAAACCCCGTCTCTACTAAAAATACAAAAAATTAGCCGGGCGTAGTGGCGGGCGCCTGTAGTCCCAGCTACTTGGGAGGCTGAGGCAGGAGAATGGCGTGAACCCGGGAGGCGGAGCTTGCAGTGAGCCGAGATCCCGCCACTGCACTCCAGCCTGGGCGACAGAGCGAGACTCCGTCTCAAAAAAAAAAAAAAAAAAAAAAATTACCCAGGTGTGATGGTGGGTGCCTGTAGTACCAGCTACTCGGGAGGCTGAGGAAGGGGAATGGCGTGAACCCAGGAGGCGAAGCTTGCAGTGAACTGAGATCACACCACTGCACTCCAGCCTGGTCGACAGAGTGAGACTCCATCTCAAAAAAAAAAAAATGCCCATTCTTGGCCGGGCACACTGGCTCATGCCTGTAATTCCAGTACTTTGGGAGGCCAAGGCGGGCAGATCACCTGAAGTCAAAAGTTTGAGAACAGCCTGGCCAACATGGTGAAACCCCTTCTCTACTAAAAATACAAAAATTAGCTGGGTGTGGTGGTGCGTGCCTGTAATCCCAGCTACTTGAGAGGCTGAGAAAGGAGAATCGCTTGAACCCAGGAGGTGGACGTTGCAGTGAGCCAAGATCGTGCCACTGCACTCCAGCCTGGGCAACAAGAGTGAAACTCTGTCTCAAAAAAAAAAGAAAATAAAAGCCCATTATTGGCCGGGCGCAATGGCTCATGCCTATAATCCCAGCACTTTGGGAGGCCAAGGGGGATGGATCATTTGAGGCCAGGAGCTCGAGACCAGCCTGGCTAATATGGCTGAAAACCCGTCTCTACTAAAAATTAAAATTAAAATAATGAGCCACGGTTGCGGGCACCTGTAATCCCACCTACTTGGGAGGCTGAGGCATGAGAATCATTTGAACCTGGGAGGCGAAGGTTGCAGTGAGCCGAGAGTGTGCCACTACACTCCAGCCTGAGTAACAGAGCAAGACTCGGTCTCAGGGAAAAAAAAAAAAAAAAAAAGCACATTCTTGGGTCCCAGACCCCTACAGTATAAGTCAGTGTGTCTATTTCAAATAGAGCCCGGGAATCACCATGTGATTCTAATGCACATTAAAGCTTGAAGGTCATTACCACTTCTTTTCTTTTCTTTCTTTCTTTCTTTCTTTTTTTTGAAACAAGCTTTTACTCTGTCGCCCAGGCTGGAGTGCAACGGCATGATCTCCGCTCACTGCAGCCTCCACCTCCTGGACTCAAGTAGCTGGAGCCACAGGTGCGTGCCACCATGTCCGGCTAATTTTTTGGTTTTTGGTAGAGACAAGGTCTCACTTTGTTATCCAGGCTTGTTTTGAACTCCTGGGCTCAAGCGATCCTCCTGCCTCAGCTTCCCAAAGTGCTGGGATTACAGGCATAAACCACTGAGCCCAGCAGAAGATTAAGTTAGTTGTTTATTAATGGTTTGCTCAATAGTTCAACTTGATTACAAGTCAGCAAATTAGGCCGGGCGCGGTGGCTCACACCTGTAATCCCAGCACTTTGGAAGGCCGAGGCGGGCGGATCACGAGGTCAGGAGATTGAGATCATCCTGGCCAACACGGTGAAACCCCGTCTCTACTAAAAATACAAAAAAAATTAGCCAGGGGTGGTGGCGGGCGCCTGTAGTCCCAACTACTCGGGAGGCTGAGGCAGGAGAATCGCTTGAACCCAGGAGGCGGAGCTTGCAGTGAGCCGAGATCGCGCCATTGCACTCCAGCCTGGGTGACAGAGTGAGACTCCATCTCAAAAAAAAAAAAAAAAAAGTCAGCAAATTAAACTCTGTATTTTCACTGGTGTGTTTGAATTCCGTTTGTCTCAAGAAAAACAACTATCAATTGGTGGGAAAAAAAACCCAACTGGATGGTTGAGAATATAAATCCATAAATTTCTGAGATTGGTGGCAATATGTAGCAAAATTCTTCTAAATGCTTTGACCCAGATTTTCCATTCCCAGTCATGAATCCTAAGGAAATAATGAATGAGCCAAGATACAAGAAAGTTTACTTTGCTATTGTTCATAGTTTTGAAAAATTGGAAACCATCTAAATGCTTAACAAAAGGAGATCAGTTAAATTAGTTACAAGAGTGCCATATAATAAATGCAGATCTGAATTTATTGACACGGGCACATGTTTAAACTACATAATTCTTCAAGAGACAAAGAAGATTACAAAACTATGTCATATGTTTATTTTTGTAAAAAGAAATTTAAAACAGGCCGAGCATGGTGGCTCACGTCTGTAATCCCAGCACTTTGGGAGGCCGAAGCAGGCAGATCACGAGGACAAGAGATAGAGACCATCCTGGCCAACATGGTGAAACTCTGTCTCTACTAAAAATAAAAAAATTAGCTGGGCATGGTGGCCTGTGCCTGTAGTCCCCGCTACTTGGGAAGCAGAGGCAGGAGAATCGCTTGAACCCAGGAGGCAGAGGTTGCATTGAGCCGAGATTACGCCACTGCACTCCAGCCTGGCAACAGTGCAAGACTCTGTCAAAAACAAAACAAAACAAAACAAAACAAAACAAAACAAAACAAAACTTAGCTCGGCATGGGGGCGTGCACCTGTAGTCCCAGCTACTTAGGAGGCTGAGGCAGAAGAATTGCATGGGCAACAGAGAGACTCCGTCTAGAAAAAAAAAAATTAAAAACAAAATTTTGAAGAATAATATACAAAATGTTAACTATACCTACCTCTGTGTGGTGAGGTCACATTTTTCTTCTTTGTAATTTGTTTAAATTGTTTTAAAATTATATACATATATTATTATTTTAGAGACAGGGTCTCATTCCGTCACCCAGGCCGGAGTGCAGTGGCATGATCATGGCTCAGTGTAACCTCAAACACTTGGGCTCAGGAGATCCTCCCATCTCAACCCCATGAGTAGCTAGGACTACAGGGGCAGACCACCATGCCTAGCTACATTTTTTGTTTGTTTGTTTGTTTTTAAGTAGAGATACGGTCTCACTGTTTCCCAGGCTTATTTTTATAATCAGAAAAAGCATAGGGCTGTAACCATTTTGAATAAAAGGAGCAGATCACTGAATTCCATGTTTAAAAACTGGGTTAAAGTCCCAGATCTACTGCTTTGAACTTCTCTTTTCTTTTCTCTGAAATGGAGTATTATCATCTCAGAGGTACTCTCCATCTACCTCTGAGAGTAGTTGTGAGATAAAGTCTGGAAATATTTTGCCAACTATAAAGTGTTTTATAAAGATGCTATATTACTAAGTTTTGATTTTCACATCAGATACCCAAACTCATTCAATACCTAAATCTGCAAATATATAATTAAACATGATGCTAGACCTTTTTTAAAAAAAAAAATTTTAAAAATATATATTTTAAAAATATATTTTCCCTTTTTATTATGGAAATTTTTTATTTTATTTATTTATTTATTTTGAGACAGAGTTTAGCACTTGTTTCCCAGGCTGGAGTACAGTGGTGCAATCTGGGCTCGTTGCAACCTTTGCCTCTGGGGTTCAAGTGATTCTCCTGCCTCAGCCTCCCAAGTAGCTGGGATTACAGGTGTGCACCACCACACCCAGCTGATTTTTGTATTTTTAGTAGAGATGGAGTTTCACCATGTTGGCCAGGCTGGTCTCGAACTCCTGACCTCAGGTGATCCACCCGCCTCAGTCTCCGAAAGTGCTGGGATAACAGGCGGGAGCCACCACACCCGGCTGAAAGACCCTGTCTCTACCAAAAAAAAAAACTTAAAAAATTACCCAGTTGTGGTGGTACATGCCTATAATCCTAGGTACTCAGGAGGCTGATGCAGGGGGATCACTTGAGCCTGGGAGTTCAAAGTTTCAGTGAGCTATGATCATACTATTGCACTCCAGCCTGAGCACAGAGAGAAACTCTATTTAAAAAAAAAAAAAAAAGTAGGCTGGGTGCAATGGCTCATGCCTGTAATCCCAGCACTTTAAGAGGCCAAGACAGGTGGATTGCTTGAGGCCAGAAGTTCAAGACCGGCTTGGGCAACATGGTGAAACCTCATCTGTACAAAAAAGAAAAAGGAAAATATGCTAACTCAATAGAACTTTACAGAAAAAAAAAAAAATTAGCTGGGTGTGGTGGTGTGCAGCTGTAGTTCCAGCCACTCAGGAGGCTGAGGTGGGAGGATCACTTGAACCTGGGAGGTTGATGCTGCAGCAAGCTGTGATCACACCACTGCTCCACAGCCCAGGTGAACAGAACAAGGCCGTCTCAAAGAAACAAACAAAAAAGTGAATAGAATAGTATATGCACTCCCATGTATGCGTCACCCAGCTTCAATATTATCAACTGACAGCCAGCCTTGTTTTGTCTACACCTCCCACTCACTCCCAGCCTCTCCCATATTAACATAGTGCCAGACTTTTAGTTGAGCTCTGTAACTTTTTTTTTTTTTTGGACTGGCTGTCGCTCTGTCACCCAGGCTGGAGTGCAGTGGCACAATCTGCGCTCATTGCAACCTCTGCCTCCTGGGTTCAAGTGATTCTCCTGCCTCAGCCTCCCAAGTAGCTGAGACTACAGGCATGCACCACCACACCCAGCTAATTTTTTTTTTTTTTTTTGAGACGGAGTCTTGCTCTGTCGCCCAGGCTGGAGTGCAGTGGCGTGATCTCGGCTCACTGCAAGCTCCGCCTCCCAGGTTCACGCCATTCTCCTGCCTCAGCCTCCCGAGTAGCTGGGACTACAGGCGCCCGCCACCACGCCCGGCTAATTTTTTTTGTATTTTTTAGTAGAGACAGGGTTTCACCATGTTAGCCAGGATGGTCTCGATCTCCTGACCTTGTGATCCACCCGCCTCGGCCTCTCAAAGTGCTGGGATTACAGGCATGAGCCACTGCGCCCACGCCCAGCTAATTTTTATATTTTTAGTAGAGACGGGGTTTTACCATGTTGACCAGGCTGGTCTCAACTCCTGACCTCAGGTGATCCGCCTGCCTCGGCCTCCCAAAGTGCTGGGATTACAGGCGTGAGTCACTGTGCCCGGCCAAGCTCTATAACTTTCATGTACACAAAAGTACATTCCAGTTCTCAACTCCTCATCTAAAAAGACAGTTTGGAGACCAGGACACGGTGACTGCTTTCCTGCCGGGTGGCATAGGGGAGCTTAACAAGAACTACTATCCCAATTTCCTGATGGTGGAGAAGCATACAACCATCAGTGAGATCAAAGACACTTTCCAGCAGTTTCTGAACGGGACAACATTGGCATCATCCTCATCAACCTGTACATTACAGAGATGGTGTGGCACGCCTTGGATACACACCAGTGCCCCATTCCAGTCATCCTGGAGATCCCCTCCGAGGAGCACCCGTATGACACTGTGCCAAGGAATCCATCCTGGGCAGAGCCAGGGACATGTTCTCTGCCGAAGACCTGCGCTAGGGGATTCCTCACAGCCCAAAGCCCCTCCCTCATTTCCAGGCCTCTCCCCAGGCTTGCCATCAGCCTTCTTTAAGTTCTGAGCCTCTGACTTCCAATTCCCACCTCTTCCCACTTCATTAAGAGGCTAGGTGAGGCGCTCCTAGGGTGCTTGGGCTCTGCTGTTAAAGTCAAGGCTAGTTAAGGAACAGGAAGCCAGACCATCTTCTACCTCCACTACCTCTTCCTTGTGCTATTGGTTACACAGTGTCATTGTTGATGTAAAATTAAAGTATAATATTAATAATATTCTTGCTTCTCTCCAAAAAAAAGAAACACAAAAAGTTGATGTAGTGCTGTTTCTACAGATTATGTATGCAGCTCAGCACTGGGGCAACAAAAGGGCCCTTGAAGTCCGACAGACTTGAGTTCAAATCCTACCCTGTCACCTACCTGTCATGTGACATCAGATAAATTAATTACCCCTTTTAAGTCTTGTTTCCTAATACCTGCCTTCTATAGTTAACATGAGACTTAGGCCGGGCGCGGTGGCTCACGCCTGTAATCCTAGCACTTTGGGAGGCTGAGGTAGGTGGATCATTTGAGGTCAGGAGTTTGAGACCAGCCTGGCCAACATGGTGAAACCCCGTCTTTACTAAAAATACAAAAATTAGGCAGGCATGGTGGCAGGCGCCTGTAATCCCAGCTACTCAGGAGGCTGAGCAGGAGAATCGTTTGAACCCAGGAGGTGGAGGTGAGCCAAGATCACGCCATTGCACTCCAGCCGGGGTGACAGAGTAAGACTCCATCTCGGAAAGAAAAAAAAAATGAGACTTAAATAAGAGAATGTATGTAAAGCATGATGTCTAACACATAGTGGCAGCGGCGGGGGCAACAACAACTCACCAGATGTTCCATTTGTTTATAGAAGACCTTTAGGAATAGATATTGATTTCCCTTTGACAGATGAAGAAACTGACAACATTAATGAGTATTGCTAACAGTGGAGAGACAAAGAACTGCTCATTTTCTACTGGGAAAGTGAAAATTGGGACAACCACTAAGCACAGCCACAATTTGGCAGTATCTAGGAAAGTTGAAGAGGCGTTTTTCCCTACATCCCAGCAATTCTGTTTCTAGATATATGCTCTAGAATACTCTCACACGTGTACCCAAGAAGACATATAAGAATGTATATTGCAGCTAGGTATGGTGGCTCACCCTTATAATGCCAGAACTTTGGAAGGCTGGAAGATCATTTGAACCCAAGAGTTTGAGACCAGCCCGGGTAACATAGTGAGACCCCCCTCTACCAAAAAAAAAAAAAAAAAATCAAAAAATAAGCCAGGCATAGCGGTATGCACCTGTAGTCCCAGCTACTCAGGAGGCTGAGGTAGGATGATCGTTTGAGCCCAGGAGGTTGAGGCTGCAGTGAGCTGTGGTTGCACCACTACACTCCAGCCTGGGTGACAGGACAAGACCCTGTCTCAAAAACAATTTTATTTTAAATTAAAAACATGTACACTGCAACAATGCTTATGAGAGCAAACAATAGGAAGCAGTCTAAATGTCCAATAGTATAGAAAATGTGATATAATCAAGGAAGATAAATTGTGATATAGTCATGAATGAAACACCTACACCAATTAAATTGGCTGAAGTAGCTACATGTGGCAACATGAGTAAATACCATAAAGTTGAGTGAAAAGAGTGGTGGCAAAATGATCCCTCAATATGATACCATTTTTTTTTTTGAGATGGAGTCTCGCTGTGTCACCAGGCTGGAATGCAGTGGCGATACCATTGTTTTTTAATAGCTTTATGGATGTGTAACTGATATACAAAAACCTACACATATTCAATATGTACACTCTGATGAGTTTGGACATATGCACACACCCATGACACTGCTTTGTCTCTGTCTCAAAAAAAAGATAAGTAATAGATTCATAATAAATCATACATTCAGGATAATCAATATTCAGGATAATGGTTATCTCAGGAAAGAAAAGGAAGAAACATAATAAAAGAGGGATACTAGGAGGGTGTAATTGTTTCTGTAATATTTTACTTCTTTTTTTTTTTTTTTTTTTTTTTGAGACAGAGTCTTGCTCTGTCACCCAGGCTGGAGTGCAATGGCGCAATTTTGGTTCACTGCAATGCAATCTCCGCCTCCCAAGTTCAAACAGTTTTCCTGCCTCAGCCTCCAGAGTAGCTGGGATTACAGGCATCCACCACCAAGCCCGGCTAATTTTTGTATTTTTAGTAGAGACAGGGTTTCACCATGTTGACCAGGCTGGTCTTGAACTCCTGACCTCAGGTGATCCACCCACCTTGGCCTCCCAAAGTGCTGGGATTACAGGCATGAGCTACCATACCTGGTCATATTTTAGTTATTTAAAAAATAGCTAAAGCACATATGGCTTAATGTTAGGATTTATGTGTAAAGACTCAGATTTTGTTATATTATTCTTCATACATATGTGTATGTATATGTATACATATGTATATAAGCAGAAAACGCTTACTATGTGACAGGCACTGTTAGATTCTTTACGTGTATTAACTAATGTAATCATTTCAATAACCCTACGACCCTACAGTTACTATGATTATCTCTGTTTTACAGATGAGAAAACTGAAGTACAGAGATTAGAAACTTGCTCAATGTCACAAATCTAGTAAGTGGTGATCCTGGGATTTGAAGATGGTCTGGCTTCAGAGTCTGATCTTTTCTTTTTATTATTTTTTATTATTATTTTTTAATTTTTCTCTTTTTGAGCCGGGTGCAGTGGCTCACGCCTGTAATGCCAGCACTTTGGGAGGCTGAGGCAGGTGGATCACTGAGCTCAAGAGTTTGAGACCAACCTGGGCAACATGGTGAGACTCTGTTTTTACGATAATAATAATAATAATTTTTCTTTTTTATTTTAAAAAATCTTTTACTTATTAACTTTATTTCTTTTTCTCCCTGGTAACTCCCAGAACAAGAGTCTCATCTCTTAACAACCATATCCTACTACCTCTTCAAATATTTCAAAATTTTAAGAATATAAGAAGAGGGCACTACTGAGCAGGGAGGTAAAATTGCCAACATCACACAGGCCGTATGCCGAAAAGGCGGTTCAACAATCTTTCCTAACCTTCTTTTGCTTCTGAGAGTCATACATACCCGTGACTTGTGATGAGAAGGATAAATCAAACAGCAAACTGAGAAGTCTCTTCTCAAGTCTTTAAGAAATTCTCTGGAAGTCAATGCAAAGGAGAATAATTACTTCCATGAATGAAGAGTTTTTCATTTAGAGTCTGAGCTAATAATCCTGAGGGTTATCATTGTTGTTAAATTATTATCTACATTTGGGCAGGACCATTTGCATGGACAAATCCCCAGTGAGTCATAACCCACACATGAAATAAAAATTAACTCTGCTCTTTCCATATTATAAAAGAGCAAAATTAAGACTAGAAATCAAATGTAATATCTGCCTCTGGAAGATCTATTGATGGATTCAGCCTGTGTCTTTGGGGCACGTCAAAGACCACTGAAGGGGTGGGTTGCCCCTCCACACCTGTGGGTGTTTCTCGTTAAGTGGGACGAGAGACTTGGAAAAGAAAAAGACACAGAGACAAAGTATAGAGAAAGAAATAAGGGGACCCAGGGAACCAGCGTTCAGCATATGGAGGATCCCGCCAGCCTCTGAGTTCCCTTAGTATTTATTCATCATTCGTGGGTGTTTCTCCGAGAGGGGGATGTGTCAGGGTCACAAGACAATAGTGGGGAGAGGGTCAGCAGACAAACACGTGAACAAAGGTCTTTGCATCATAGACAAGGTAAAGGATTAAGTGCTGTGCTTTTAGATATGCATACACATAAACATCTTAATGCTTTACAAAGCAGTATTGCTGCCTGCATGTCCCACCTCCAGCCCTAAGGCGGTTTTTCCTTATCTCAGTAGATGGAATGTACAATCGGGTTTTATACCGAGACATTCCATTGCCCAGGGACGGGCAGGAGACAGATGCCTTCCTCTTGTCTCAACTGCAAGAGGCATGCCTTCCTCTTATACTAATCCTCCTCAGCACAGACCCTTTACGGGTGTCGGGCTGGGGGACGGTCAGGTCTTTCCCTTCCCACGAGGCCATATTTCAGACTATCACACGGGGAGAAACCTTGGACAATACCTGGCTTTCCTAGGCAGAGGTCCCTGCGGCCTTCCGCAGTTTTTGTGTCCCTGGGTACTTGAGATTAGGGAGTGGTGATGACTCTTAACGAGCATGCTGCCTTCAAGCATTTGTTTAACAAAGCACATCTTGCACCGCCCTTAATCCATTTAACCCTGAGTTTGACACAGCACATGTTTCCGAGAGCACGGGGTTGAGGGTAAGGTCATAGATTAACAGAATCTCAAGGCAGAAGAATTTGCCTTAGTACAGAACAAAATGGAGTCTCCTATGTCTACTTCTTTCTATACAGACACAGTAACAATCTGATCTCTCTTGCTTTTCCCCACAACCACTGTTGGTGGCTGGGCCTGAGGGAGGGGCTGGTGGCCTCCTTTTACCGTCCTCCATGGCTCTGCCTCTGTGTTTCACATCCAGACCCAGCATGGCTCCAAGGTTTGGGGGAAACTGTCGACTTGGACAGGGTAGTGGCAAGTCTCATGACAAAGAGAACTTAGTCTAGCAAATAAAAAGCTTTTGGAGAAAAGTCAACTGAACATTTTTAAAGGAGGTTTTGTATCTATTATATCATTTGAAGTTTATGCTATTTGATTTGTAGGGGCCAGGCACGGTGGTTCACGCCTATAATCCCAGCACTTTGGGAGGCCGAGGCAGGTGGATGGCTTGAGCCCAGGA
This sequence comes from Homo sapiens, assembly GCF_000001405.40. Lineage (NCBI taxonomy): Eukaryota > Metazoa > Chordata > Mammalia > Primates > Hominidae > Homo > Homo sapiens. The sequence goes on from NC_000006.12 coordinate 34,720,774, forward strand.
GTTCGAGACCAGCCTCTGCAGCATGGCAAAACCCTGTCACTACCAAAAATACAAAAATTAGCAGGGTGTGGTGGCGCCCGTCTCCGTAGTCCCAGCTACTCAGGAGGCTGAGATGGGAGGATTGCTGGAGCCGGGGAGGTTGAGGCTGCAGTGAGCCAAGATCGTTCTACTGCACTTCAGCCTGGGAGACAGAGTGAGACTGTCTCAAAAAAAAAGTAAAGTAAATTTAATTTTTTTTTTCAGACGGAGTTTCACTCTCTCCCAGGCTGGAGTGCAGTGTCGTGATCTTAGCTGATGGCAGCCTCCACCTCCTGGGTTCAAGCGATTCTCCTGCCACAGCCACCCGAGTAGCTAGGATTACAGGCATCCACTGCCATGCTCGGCTAATTTTTGTATTTTTGGTTGAGACGGGTTTCACCACATTGGCCAAGCTGGTCTCGAACTCCTGACCTCAGGTGATTCACCCACTTTGGCCTCCCAAAGTGCTGGGATTACAAATGTGAGCCACTGCCCAGCCCAACTTTTTTTTTTTTTTTTTAAGATGGAGTCTCCGTCTGTCGCCCAGGCTGGAGTGCCGTGGTGCAATCTCGGCTCACTGCAACCTCCGCCTCCCCGGTTCAATGATTCTCCTGTCTAAGCCTCCTGAGTAGCTGGGACTACAGGCGCCCGCCACTACTCCCAGCTAACTTTTTTGTATTTTTAGTAGAGACGGGGTTTCACCATGTTGGCCAGGCTTGTCTCGAACTCCTGACCTTGTAATTTGCCCACCTCGGCTTCCCAAAGTGCTGGGATTACAGGTGTGAGCCACTGCGCCTGGCCTCTATTTGTTTTTTAAATAATGTATAGGAAATAGGAATAACTGCAACAACAATATCCAGTATTAGATGGTAATGGAAGATGCCCATCACAAAAGACCACATGTTGTAGATTCCATTTATATGAAATGTACAGAATAGGGAAATTCATGAAGATAGAAAGTAGATTAGTGGTTGCCAGGGGCTAGGGGTAACAAAGTTAATGAAGAATGACTGTTAATGGGCCCAGGGTCTCTTTTTGGGGTGATGAAAATTGGGTAGTTCTGGAATTAGTTAGTGGTGATGGTTGCATAGTCTTGTGAATATATGAAAAATCACTAAGTTGTACAGTTTTAAAGGATGAACTTTATGGAGTATGAATTTTTTTTTTTTTTTTTGAGACAGAGTCTCGCTCTGTCCCCAGGCTGGAGTGCAGTGGTACAATCTCGGCTCACTGCAACCTCCGACTCCCAGGTTCAAGCAGTTCTCCTGCCTCAGCCTCCCCAGTAGCTGGGATTACAGGCACGTACCACCACGCCCAGCTAATTTTTGTATTTTTAAGAGAGACGGGGTTTCACCATGTTGGCCAGGATGTTCTAGATCTCCTGACCTCGTGATCTGCCCACCTCAGCCTCCCAAAATGCTGGGATTACAGGCGTGAGCCACCGCGCCTGGTCGGGATTATGAATTTTATCTCGATATTTTATTTTAATTTTAAAATAATTTTTACTTATTTATTTTTTAGAGACGGGGGTCTCTCTGTGTTGCCCAGGCTGGTCTTGAACTCCTAGGCTCAAGCAATCCTCCCACCTCGAACTCCCTAAGTGTTGGGATTACAGATATGAGCCACTGTACCTGGCCTCAATGTTTTTAACTGCAAAAGAAAAAAACCTTAGCGCTTACCACATGCCAGGACTGGCTAAGAACTTTACTTGCCTCAAGCCTCTTATCTCCATAGTTATCTCGACAAGCTTGTGTGATACTATCATTTTTTCATTTTACAGATGGTACAGATGGAGACACAGACTCAAAGAGGTGATTGGTCCACAGCAACGTGGTAAGCAAATAAACACCAACCAAAATTCACATTTCTGACCCTCACTTTCCAAATCAGACCCTTGACTATCATCCTGGTAATTCAAGGTGACATTTCTGAGTGGAGTTCACCTAGTATTTCCTCTGCTCAACGCCTTTTTTTTTTTGAAACGGAATCTCACTCTGCCATCGAGGTTAGAGTGCAGTGGCGCGATCACAGCTCACTGTGGGCTGAAACTCCTAGGCTCAAGTGATCTGCCTCCCAAAGTGGAATTACAGGTATGAGCCACTGTGCCCGGCCCTCAACCCCTGTAATAATAGGTCTTTGCAATGCCTTACCCTTGTACCTTTTATGGCATCTTTTTAAATTTGGGATTCTTCCCCCAACACCACCACCCCCTGCCGCCGGTGGCGTTTTTTTGTTTTTTTTTTTTTTTTTTAACAGAGACAAGGCCTCACTCTGTGTCCCGGCTGGTCTTGAACTCCTGACTTCAAGGGATCCTGTCACCTTGGCATCCCAAATTGTTGGCATCCCAGGCATGAGCCATCACATCTCGCCTCCTCAACTTTTGAGAGTTAAACATAGCAGTGATTTTCCCTCCTTAAAGTCCTTAATTCTTCAAATCACTTTTCTTCTGACAAAAAGCAAAGTTTCACTTCTTAGCTCCTCCCTAGGGAAGCCCTTTCAGGTCACACAAGGGCAGCTGGTTTTAAGCAAAGCTGTGCTGTTTATCCCTTGCACTTATTCTGCTCCAAGGACATGATTACCTTGCCACCGAGTTTCCCAAGGGTTTTTCTTATGTATACATGTTTCCTCTGACCTGATGGAGCATTTGGGTCACAAGTGAGTCAGCGAAAACACTACAAAAGGAAAAGACACATTGCAGCAGCCTCAGTTATGGGTGAATCCTCAGACATTCAGAGTTGGAGCAAACCTCAGTGATTATTTGCTCTGAGACCTCCTCTCTAACATGGAGAATTCCAGGGTAGAGCAACATTAGGTGACTTTCCCATGGCCATGGAGTCAGAAGTATAACTGAGCCTAAAATTCTGACGCTATATACAACTGGCTTGGTGGATTTCTCAAATGATCCTCAATCAAAGGAAACTCCTAAAAAGTTCCATTTAGTGTTACTGATGTTGCTTGTTTACATTTTACTGTGTAAAATCTACTAGTTAAAAAGGACACTTCTGGGTTTCTTGTTTTTGTTTTTGTTTTGTTTTGTTTTGAGATGGAGTCTCAAAACAAACTCTTGTTTTGAGTCTCTCTCTGCTGCCCAGTCTGGAGTGAAGTGGTGCGATCTTGGCTCACTGCAACCTCCACCTCCTGGATTCAAGCGATTCCCCTGCCTCAGCCTCCCGAGTAGCTAGGATTATAGGCCCACGCCACCACCACACCCGCCATGTTGGCCAGGCTGGTCTTGAACTACTGACCTCAGGTGGTCCACCCACCTTGGCTTCCCAAAGTGCTGGGATTACAGGTGTGAGCCACAGTGCCTGGCCTGACACTTTTGGTATATCCCTATAATGGAATATTATACAACCATTAAAATGTATGAAGATAAGTATTTTTAGATAAAATGTTAAGTTTTAAACAATTAACTAGGCCAGGTGTAGTGGCTCATGCTTATAATCCCAACACTTTGGAAGGCTGAGGTGGGAGGATCACTTGAGCCCAAGAGTTCGAGACCAGCCTGGGCAATATAGTGAGATTGCATCTATTATTTAAAAAAAAAAAAAATTGGCTGGGCGCAGAGTTTCACACCTGTAATCCCAGCACTTTGGGAGGCCAAGAAGGGCAGATCATCTGAGGTCAGGAGCTCGAGACCAACCTGGCCAACATGGCAAAACCCCCTCTCTACTAAAAATACAAAAATTAGCCAGATGTGGTGGCGGGTACCTGTAGTCCCAGCTCCTTGGGAGGCTGAGGCAGGAGAATTGCTAACCTGGGAGGCAGAGGTTGCAGTGAGCCAAGATCACGCCACTGCACTCCAGCCTGGGTGACAGAGTGAGACTCTATCTCTAAATAAAAAATTTTTTAAAATTAAATTAAAAATTTAAAAAAAGTTTACTAAAAGCAAGGACAGTATCATCCTTTTTTTTTCTTTTTTCTTTTTAAGAGACAGAGTCTTATTCTGTCTACCAGGCTGGAGTGCAGTGGTGTGAACACAACTTATTGCAGCCACTAATTCCTATGTTCCAGCAATCTTCCCATTTCAGCTTCCTGAGTAGCTTGGACCACAAGTGCACACCACTGGACCTGGCTAATTTTCCATTTTTATTTTTGTAGACATAGGGTCTCGTTTTGTTGCCCAGGATGTTCTTGAACTTCTGGCCTCAAGTGATCCTCCCAACTTGGCCTCCCAAAGTGCTGGGGATTAGAGGTCATTTTTTTTTGAGAAAAAAAAAAGTGTGTATAAACATTTATAAATACTAGAATATGCACCAAAATGTTTATAAAGCTTCTGTCTCTGAATGTTGCATTATAGGTATTATTTTTCTTCTTTTTGATAATCTATAAGTCTATAAGTTTTAATTTTTTTTAAGAAGACATAAGGTCTCACTATGTTACCCAGGCTGGTCTCAAACATCTGGGATCAGATGATCCTCCCACCTCGGCCTCCCAAAGTGCTGGGATTATAGGTATTGAGGCACCAGGCCAGGCCGTACATTTTTTGCAATTTTTTTTGTTGTTGTTGTTTTGTTTTTTTTGTTTTTTGTTTTTTTGCCAAGATCTCCCTCTGTCACCCAGGCTGGAATGCAGTGGCATGATCATGGCTCACTGCAGCCTCAACTACCAGACTCGAGTGATCCTGCCAATTCAGCCTTCCAAGTAGCTAGGACCAGAGGCCCATGCCACCACATCTAATTTTTTAAATTTTTTGTAGAACTATGTTTTGTCTCACTATGTTGCCCTGGCTTCAGGCAATTCTTTCACCTCGGTCTACCAAAGTACAATTTACCTTGGAAAAGAATAATTTTCTATTTTTAAAAAAGTGAGAATAGGCTGGGCATGGCAGTTCATGCCTATAATCCCAGCACTTTGGGAGGCCGAGGTGGGCAGATCACCTGAGGTTGGGAGTTCAAGACCAGCCTGACCAACATGGAGAAACCCCGTCTTTACTAAAAATACGAAATTAGCCAGGTGTGGTGGCCCAGGCCTGTAATCCCAGCTACTCGGGAGGCCGAGGCAGGAGAATTGCTTGAACGTGGGAGGCAGAGGTTGCAGTGAGCCAAGATCGTGCCATTGCACTCCAGCCTGGGCAACAAGAGTGAAACTCTGCCTCAAAAAAAAAAAAAAAAAAAAAAGTGAGAATAGGCCAAAGTTTTCTTAAACAGGACACAAAAAATACCAAGTATAAAAAGAATAATTGATAAGTTGGACTATATTAAAACTAAGAAAAGCAGTTCATCAAAATACTATTGTAATCCCCTGATGGGTTCTTCCTGCCCCAGTGTACAGACAAAATCAATCCACTGAGACCATGGCATTGCAGTAGAGAAAGAGTTTTATTGATATGTGGCTGGCCCACACAAGAGAATTGGAGTTATCACTCAAATCAGTCTCCCAGACAGTTTGCCAGGCAGGGGGTTAAGGAATGGGTATTGCTGACTGGTTGGGGATGAACTCATAGGGGCAGAATCACAGGCGTCCTCATGTGCTGAGTGCACCCCTGGATAGGGGGGCCACAGGATCTGGTGAGTCATGAATCACAATTCTGGATAGGTTCAGTCTGAAAAACATCTCAAAAAAAAAAAAAATCTTAGGCTCTACAATAGTGATGTTATCTATAGGAGCAATTGGGAAAGTCACAAATCTTGTGACCTCTGGCCACATGACCCCTGAGCAGTAAGGGCTCATAGAAACTATGCCTATATTTTAGCAGAGTTCAGGCCCCTCCCATAATCCTATTATTGTGGCCTTTCGTTAGTCTTATAAAATTAGGTTTTGATTCCTGAGCATGGAGGGAGTTAGTTTCAGGGAGGGACTATTATCATCCACCCTTGCTTTGCTTTCTTTTCTTTCTTTCTTTCTTTCTTTTGGATTTTGATTTTTTAAAAATTTTTATTTATTATTTTGAGATAGAGTCTCACTCTGTCCACCCAGGCTGGAGTGTAGTGGCATGATCTTGGTTCACTGCTGCCTCAACCTCCTGGGCTCAAGCTATCCTCCCACCTCAGCCTCCCAAGTAGTTGGGATTACAGGTTCACTCCACCATGCCGGGCTAATTTTTGTATTTTTTATAGAAACGGGGTCTCCCTACATTGCCCAGGCTGGTCTCAAACTCCTGGGCTCAAGGGATCCTTCTGTCTCAGTCTCCCAGAGTGCCGGGATTACAGGGGTGAGCCACCATGTCCAGCCTAAAAATAATTTATACATTTACATGTATAAATTATGCGTATCTTACAAGAGAGGAAAATAAACAATTCTAACCCTTTAGATAGGAATTGGCACATACAACAAAATTGTTGAAATATGGCCCTGTTCTGTTAGGTTTTTCCCTCAGAAAAATTGGGAAGTCGACCAAGTTTGCCTTCTGCTTAGTCTGCCATCAGCTTTCTGTATCTCTTTACAGAGTTTAAGCCTCCAGGGGGTCCTCCCTTCCCTCTCAAGGGCCCAACTCCTATGCCATTCCAGCTCTTAACTGAAGCATATATGAACCATTAAGGTGTTATCTGGAGATAAGTCAGCTCTTGTCTCTTCCCCAGGGACGTTTGTATTATAAGAGGGAACTTATAGGGACTTTCTAGACAGGGATATATGTTGGGAAGAAGAAGGGGAGGTTAGAAAGGAATAAGTTGGATTTGAAATGATTGTCAGTTTCCCTAAACTTTTTATCGGAAATTCCAAGAAGCTCAGAAGCTTTTAGGTAAACTGAAATTAAAATACCAAACTAAACTACAGCACCTATTATACACTCACATCCTTATCTCATTTGAACCTCACAACAACCCTGTGAGGTAGTCTGGGTCATTGGCCCTAATGGATAGATCAGGAGAGTCACTATTAAGAAATGCTCATAGGAGGCCGGGGTGCGATGGCTCACGCCTATAATCCCAGCAGTTTGGGAGGCCGAGGTGGGCAGATCACAAGATCAGGAGATCAAGACCATCCTGGCTAACACGGTGAAACCCCGTCTCTACTAAAAATACAAAAAATTAGCCAGGGATGGTGGCACGCACCTGTAGTCCCAGCTACTCGGGAGGCTGAAGCAGGAGAATCGCTTGAACCCAGGAGGCGGAGGTTGCAGTGAGCCGAGATCACGCCACTGCACTCCAGCCTGGGCGACAGAGTGAGACTCTGTCTCAAAAAAAAAAAAAAAAAAAGAAAGAAATGTTCAGAGTTACATAAATGGAACTAGAAGGTCTTAGAATGTGAAGTTGGGTCACTTGATTCATGGCCGCATGTTGCACTCTTCTTCCAGAAAAGCGTTTTTAACAACAGGGTTTCTTTAGCCAATCTCCCTAGAACCAGTAGAGAGGGATTCAGTGCCTTTAAATGTAGATTTGCTTTTGGCAACTTCGTCCTCTTTCTTCTTAACTTTTCTCGCTTTCCTTGTAGTCTCAACTTCTGCTATATCGCTTCTTGACTCTTCAGAAAATGCTGGTGGTAACTGCAGTGTGCCACAACCTTTGATTTAATTTTTAAATTTTTTTTTTTTTTTTTTTTTTTTTTTTTTAGCAGAGTGTCTCTCTGTCACCCAGGCTGGAGGGCAGTGACACGATCTTGGCTCACCGCAACTTCTTCCTCCCAAGCTCAAGAGATTCTCATGCCTCAGCCTCCGGTGTAACTGGGATTACGGGCATGCGCCACCACGCCCAGCTAATTTTTGTATTTTTAGTAGATGGGGTTTCACCATGTTGCCCAGGCGGGTCTCTAGTGATCCATTCACCTTGGCCTCCCAAAGTGCTGAGATTACAGGCATGAGCCACCGTGCCCAGCACAACCTTTGATTTCCAGTGCTCTCCACACATTTATTTTCATGCCTGGTCGTGGGTGGTAGCAGTGGCACCATGGGGTGACTTGGAGACAGCTTTAGTCTCTCTATGCAGCAAACCATTCCAAATAAACACATTATTTATATAAAAACAGTGCTAGGCAGTCTGGGCACTGTGGCTCATGTCTGTAATTCCAGCACTTTGGGAGGCAGAGGCAGGCAGATAGCTTGAGCCCAGGAGTTTGAGACTAGCCTGGGCAACATGGCAAGACACTGTCTCTATGGAAAAAAAAGTTTTTTCTTAGACATAAAAATTAAAGCTGGGAGCAGTGGCTCATGCTTGTACTGTAATCCCAGCACTTTTGGAGGCCAAGGCGGGTGTATCACTTGAGGTCAGGAGTTCAAGGCCAGCCTGGCCAACATGGTGAAACCCCGTCTCTACTAAAAAAACAAAAATTGGCTGGGCGTGGTGGTGCACACTTGTAATCTTAGCTACTCAGGAGGCTAAGGTGGGAGAATCGCTTGAACCTGGGGGGCAGAGGTTGCAGTGAGCCAAGATATCATGCCACTGCACTCCAGTCTGGGCAACAAAGTAAGACTCCGTGTCAAAAAAAAAAATATATAAAAATTAGCCAGGTATGGCGGCAGGCACTTATAATCCCAGCTACTAGGGAGGCCGAGGTGGGAGAATCACTTGAACTGGGGGGCAGAGGTTGCAGTGAGCTGATATGGTGCCATTGCACTCCAGCCTGGGCGACAAGAGTGAGACTCCATCTCAAAAATAAATAAATAAATTAATTAATTAATTAATTTTTAAAAATGGATCTAGAGTCTTGAGTTTTTACTTTACTGTGTTCCGAAATCTGCTAGTTTTTCTGCTTCCCAGCTTCCAGCGATTCTCCTGCCTCAGCCTCCCGAGTAGCTGGGACTACAGGTGCGCACCACCACGCCCAGCTAATTTTTGTATTTTTAGTAGAGAAGGGGTTTTACCATGTTGGCCAGGATGGTCTTGATCTCATGATCTGCCCGCCTCGGCCTCCCAAAGTGCTGGGATTACAGGCGTGAGCCACTGCGCCCAACCCAAATCTGCTAGTATGTAAAACAAAGAAAACTTGGACATCTACTAACCTAAAAGAGGATTAATTTGGCTACACCAGCATGAATTACATTGTTTGCCAAATGTGCTGAACTTCTCAACTCTGGTCACAAACTAGAAAGTTAAGCAGCCTTCTGTGTTGAGGGGCCAAATCATGGTTTGGCTGTGTGTCAGAAATGGGGTAAAGTCTATGAGGGCTTCGGTTCCCAAATTGTGGCTCTCAGTCTCCATTTCCAAACTGAAAGGGACATTTCTACCCAGCAGAAAATAAACGGTCATGCATGACTCTTTGCAGGGAGTCCACCCTACATCCTGCTCATGAATCTCCATGTTCTGTTTTTGGGAGGTGCAGAGTGTTCCTCTGTGGGCCTTTTTGGACAGGCCTTAGTTGAGCCACTTAAATTACAGTGCCATTGAGTATGGAGAAAGCTGTAAGCTCTGGACAGCTGTTGCCCCTCACCTCCTGTGGACACCACCCTGTCCTCTCCCTTTAAATTCCAGAGAAAATAGACTCCTTGGCAGCTTTATTGGAAGTCTGCCAACACCTGTTGTTAAGAACAACAAGAGGGGCCATCTCAGCCACCCCTGGGGGATTCATGGGTGCCTCCACTGTTCCCAAGCCGCTGCATTAGGGCATATCTTGCAAAATGACACTTGTAACCCACTGCTCTTCACATTACATCCTGCCAAGTGGGCCCTGCTCCAAGGCCTTAATCTTTCCTTTTGATGAAACCAACATACATTATATTGTGGGCAGAGAGCAAGGAACAAATGGATACCACGTGGAAAGGTTTGGCATCTCCACTACTGGCCAGGGAATTGACATAACCAGGACTGTAAGAGACATGAGAAATTCTATAATACTAATAACTGGCCGGGCCCGGTGGCTTACGCCTGAATTCCCCCATTTTGGGAGGCTGAGGCAGGAGAATGGCTTGAACCCAGGAGTTCACGACCAGCCTGGGCAACATAGTGAGACCCCGTCACTACAAAAATAAATAAATACATAAATACATAAATAAATAAAATTAGCTGGGCATAGTGGAGTGTGCCTGGAGTCCCAGCTGCTCAGGAGGCTGAGGTGGGAGGATCACTTGAGCCAGGGAGGTCAAGGCTGCAGTTAGCTGTGGTTGTGCCACTGCACTCCAGCCTGTGTGGCAGAGGGAGAGCCTGTCTTAATAACAACAAACAAACAAAAACTAATAACTCCTATTTATGATTTACAGTGCCAGGCACTGTGCTATACATGCCATGTACATTTTGTCCTTCATTCAATACAACTACTCTCTGTGGTATTATTGTCTGCATTTGACGAATGAGAATATTTAGGAGATTAAATAAATTACTCAAGTTTACAATAGCTAGTATGGCAGAGTCAAACTTAGGTATGCACTGAACTGGGTTTTTTGTTTTGTTTTGTTTTGTTTTTTGAGATGGAGTTTTGCTCTTGTTGCCCAAGCTGGAGTGCAATGGTGCAATCTCAGCTCACTGCAACCTCCGCCTCCCGGGTTCAAGTGATTCTCCTGCCTCAGCCTCTCAAGTAGCTGGGATTATATGCATGCGCCACCACACCCAGCGAATTTTTTTGTATTTTTAGTAGAAATGGGGTTCCACCATGTTAGCCAGGCTGGTCTTGAACTCCTGACCTCAGGTGATCCGCCCACCTTGGCCTCCCAAAGTGCTGGGATTACAAGCATGAGCCACTGCGCCTGGCCTGAACTGTTTTATTTTCCCCCGAGCACACAGAAAGACTGCATTTCCCAGAACTCCACGCTTGGAGGTGGACACATGTGACTAAATTCGGGTCCATAGATTTTAGATGTGCTATGCCCCATTTCCAGGTTTAAAACATTCCACACAAAGTTCCACTTTCTCTTCCTTATCTGCACAGCTGGAAACAAAGGATCCACCCCAGCCACTCCTCCTAAGGGCAGAGCCTAGATCCCTGAGTAACTGCTTGGAGGAGAGCCACTCAAGAGAGCTGACTGTCTAGCCTGGTCAACACAGGGAGACCCCATCTCTACAAAAAATACAAAAATTCGCCGGGTGAGGTGGTGTGCACCTGTGGTTCCAGCTACTTGGGAGGCTGAGATGGGAGGATTGCTTGAGCCTGGGAGGTTGAGGCTGCAGTGAGCTGTGATCGTGCCACTGCATTCCAGCCTGGGCTACAGAGTAAGACCCTGTCAAAAAAAAAAAAAAAAAGAGCTGATGGGCCCACATTACACTGTAAATGGGAACAACAAATAAACCTTTGTTCTGTTAAGCTGTTGATATTTCAGGGTTTATTTGTCACCACTACATAACCTTGCCTACCCTGAGTAATACAGCCAGACAAGTTGTAGCCAGGACTCAAGTGGATTTCAGTACAGGTCTGTCTTAAGCTGTACCTATAACCACTCTTGACTACTCTTTTACACCTAGCATAGGAGAATCAGAAGAGAGTTTCTAATCTAGAACTCTGCCACTTACGTGTGTGGAATCTTAGGTGATTCAATTAACTCTTCCATGCTTCATTTTTTTTCATTTGTCCAACAGGAATAAAAATATCTGCTCTCCTGACTTCCTGTGGTTATTGCAAGAAGCAAATAAGGCAATTGCTGTGAAATGATTTGGAAAATAAGCATCCTCCAAATGCAAAGAAGTGTTATTATTTAACAGAGTTTTCTGACTCTAGTTAGGAACTCATCCCATTGACTTTAGAATTGACATGAAAATTTATGCTTATATCCCTGCCTGTAAATAATACTTACTCTTTTGATCCATTTAAATTTTAACATAATCTCAAACTTACAGATGAGTCGCAAAAATGGTACCTTTACCTAGCTTTCCCACGTGTTTATATTGTGCCTAATTTTGTATATATTTCTGAATTATTCAAGAATAAACTGGTGGCTGGGCACAGTGGCTCACACCTGTAATCCCAGCACTTTGGGAGGCTGAGGCGGGTGGATCACCTGAGGTCAGGAGTTAGAGACCAGCATGATCCACATGGTGAAAACCCGCCTCTACTAACAATACAAAATTAGCTGGACGTGGTGGCACATGTCGGTAATCCCAGCTACTTGGGAGGCTGAGGCAGGAGAATCACTTGAACCTGGGAGGCAGAGGTTGCAGTGAGCCAAGATCATGCCATTGCACTCCAGCCTAGGCAACAAGAGTGAAACTCCGTATCAAAAAAAAAAGAGTAAACTGGAGATAATGTGTGCTTTACCAGTCCACAGGGAGTTCAACCCTGTTAACATCTTGATTTCAGCCCAGTGAAACTGGCTTCATCCTCCTGACCTTCAGAGCGATAAGAAAATAAATGTGTGTTATTTTAAGCCACCAAATTTGTGGTAATTCACCATAGCAGCCGTAGGAAACGAATATAGTCCATAATCAAATTTTGGCAATTGTCTAAATAGTATTCATTTAACCCATTTCAGTTCTCAAGATAATTTTCAATTCAGGATCATATTTTTTCAATTCAGGATCATGTGTTTTTAGTCTAATCTGGAACAGTTCTCCAGCCTTACTTTGTCTTTCTTGACTTGGACATTTTTGGAAAGTACAGCTATTGGCCACATGTGGTGCCTCATGCCTGTAATCTCAATACTTTGGGAGACTGAGGAGGGAGGATCACCTGAGGCTAGGAGTTCAAGACCAGCCTGGCCAACGTGAGGAACCCCCCCGTCTCTACTAAAAATACTCAAGATCCACCTGGACAACATAGTGAGACCCCGTCTCTAAAAAAAAAAAGCTGGGTGTGATGGTGAGCACCTGTAAACCCAGCTACTCAGGAGGCTGAGGTGGGAGAACTGCTTGAGCCAAGGAGGTAAAGGCTGCAGTGAGCCATGATCATACCACTACACTCCAGCATGGGCAACAGAGCGACACCCTGCCACAAAAAAGTACAGCTATTTATTTTGCAGAATGTCACTCAATTTTTGTTTGGCTAATGTTTCCTCATCCTTAGGTTCAAATTATGCAGTTATACAGGACTATAGTATCATTTCAGGAGGTATATAAAGCTGGTTTGTTCTAAAATTGATAGTTGGTTTTAATCACTTGATTAATGGTGGGGCTACCAGATTGCTCTCTGTAAAGTTATTAATTTCCTCTATATAATTAAAAAGTAATTTGTGGGGATAGTCCTTGAGGCTGTTCCTCATTATGATTTAACCCTCAAGTTTTAGCATCCATGATTATTTTTTCTTTTTTTGTTTTTTTGAGGCAGAGTCACCCAGACTGGAGTGCGGTGGAGCGATCTCAGCTCACTGCAATCTCTGCCTCCCCGGTTCAAGTGATTCTCGAGCCTCAGCCTCCCTAGTAGCTGGGACTACAGGTGTGTGCCATCAGGCCTGGCTAATTTTTGTATTTTTAGTAGAGACGGAGGTTTCACCATGTTGGCCAGGCTGGTCTCGAACTCCTGGCCTCAGGTGATCTGCCTGCCTTGGCCTCCCAAAGTGGTGGGATTACAGACATGAGCCACCAAATCCGGCCTCCATGATTATTTTCTAACTCCATTGTTTTTTCTATATTTAGTAGATGTAAGTCTACCATAAGGAAGATCTTTTCCTTTTTCGCCATTTACTTATTAATTTATTTATATCATAATAGATTTGTAGATCTATATTTTATTAATTGGGTTATAATTCACTACCATCTTTTATTGATTTTTATTTTATTTTATTTTATTTATTTTTTTGAAACAGAGTTTCACTCTGTCACCAGTCTGGAGTGCAGTAGTGTGATGATCTCAGCTCACTGCAACCTCTGCCTCCTGGGTTCAAGCGATTCTCCTGCCTCAGCCTCCCAAGTAGCTGGGACCACAGGCACACACCACCACGCCCAGGTAATTTTTGTATTTTTAGTAGAGACAGGTTTCACCAGGTTAGCTAGGATGGTCTTGATCTCTTGACCTCGTGATCCGCCCACCTCAGCCTCCCAAAAGTGCTGGGATTACAGGCGTGAGCCACTGCGCCCAGCCTTATTTTTCATTTTTTGAGGCAGGGTTTTCACTCTGCCACCCAGGCTGGAGTGCAGTGACACAATCATGGCTCACTGCAATCTTGACCTCTTTGGCTCAAGTCATCCCCCATCTCACCCAGCTCCCAAACTGCCCTGAGTAGCTAGGACTACAGGTATGTGCCACCACACCCAGTCAACTTTTTAAAATTTTCGTTCAGAGCAAATCTCGCTATGTTGCCAGAGCTCATCTTGAACTCGTGGGCGCAAGTGATTCTCCTACCTTAGCCTCCCAAAGTGTTAGGATTATAGGTATGAACCACTGCACGGACTTGTCTTTTTTTATTTTGTTTATTTATTTATTCATTTTGAGACGGAGTCTTGCTCTGTCACCCAGGCTGGAGTGCAATGGCGCAATTTTGGCTCACTGCAACCTCTGCCTCCCTGCAACCTCTGCCTCCTGGGTTCAAGCAATTCTCCTGCCTCAGCCTCCAGAGTAGCTGGGATTACAGGCAACCGCCACCATGCCTGGCTAATTTTTGTATTTTTGTAGAGATGGGGTTTCACCATGTTGGCCAGGCTGGTCACGAACTCCTAACCTCAGGTGATCTGCCTGCCTCGGCCTCCCAAAGTGCTAGAATTACAGGCATGAGCCACTGCACCCAGCCTTGGATTGTCTTTTATTTTTGATGGCCAGATTGTCCCAGATTTGGTGAGCAGGAGCCGCTTAAACTGGCTTCTTTGTTCTTTTGATATGTCCCCAACATTCTTTGAGCATTTTCTTACTTTGTAGCATAAGAAGATATTTCAGGTTCATCTTACACTTTCTCTGCAGCAGTCTGTTCTCCCAGAAGCCCTGGTTCCTTTTGTTGGAGAATGGAATTCAGAAACCAAGATCTGGGAGCTAGGTATGCTCTGTGGCTGCTTCTGTAGGCTCTGTCAGTGGACAAAGCCAGGAAATTTGTATAAAGCCGAGAGTTCATGTTGATACCTCCAAGTCTAATCCAACATCACATAGTACTTTCCTTCTCCCCATTTTTGTCACTTCCTTTTCCAACAGTAGGAGCACTGGTTTCCATTACCTTCAGTATGTTTTCTCATTTACTCAAGCCTAATCTACCAACTATAGTCAATATTTATTTACAGGGCCTTTTTTCGGGGGCAGATGGACATGAAGTGGAGAAATCTTTTTAGTTTTTTGGATTATGTTAGGGAAGCAGGAGCATAGGAGAGCCAAGGTGACACCACTTTAAAAACTGACTCACGTTGTGCACATGTACCCTAAAATTTAAAGTATAATAATAATAAAATTTAAAAAAAAACTGACTCCATCCGCCAGTTATGGTGGCTCACGCCTGTAATCTCAGCATTTTGGGAGGCTGAGGTGGGTGGATCACGAGGTCAGGAGTTCAAGACCAGCCTGACCAAATGGTGAAACCCTGTCTCTACTGAAAATACAAATTAGCCGGGCGTGGTGGCAGGCGCCTGTAATCCCAGCTACTCAGGAAGCTGAGGCAGGAGAATCACTTGAACCCGGGAGGTGGAGGTTGCAGTGAGCTGAGATCACGCCACTGCACTCTAGTCTGGGCAACAGAGCAAGACTCCATCTCAATAACAATAATAATAATAATAATTATAGGCCTGGCGCGGTGGCTGACACCTGTAATCCAAGCACTTTGGGAGGCCGAGGCAGGCAGATCACCTGAGATCAGGAGGTCAAGACCAGCCTGGCCAACATGGTGAAACCCCATCTCTACTAAAAATACAAAAATTAGCTGGGCATGCTGGAGGGTGCCTGTAATCCTCAGCTACTCGGGAGGCTGAGGCAGGAGAATTGCTTGAACCCGGGAGGCAGAGGTTGCAGTGAGCCAAGATCGCACCACTGCACTCCAGCCTGGGCAACAAAGTGAGACTCTGTCTCAAAATAAATAAATAAATAAAATTATAGGTCGGGCACAGTAGCTTACACCTGTAATCTTAGCACTTTGGGAGGCCAAGGCAGGAAGATCTCTTGAGCCAGGAGTTCAAGACCAGCTTAGGCAACATGGCAAGGCCCCGTCTTTACAAAAAAAAAAAAAAAAATTAGCCAGGTGAAGTGGTGATAGCAACAAGAGGCAGCCAAATGCCTAGGTAGATAGGGGCAGATACCCAGTGAAACCCCACCTCCAACCTGAAGGCAGTTTAAAGTCTGAAAGCCAAGCTACAAGTTAAATCCTCAGACCAGATTGAGAGCTTGTCTTCCAGTTTGATATGCCTTCCTCTGTTTGACCTCTACCCTTCCCCTATTTTACATATAACTACCCTTTCCTAATTGGTTTTCTACACTGTCACGCCCACCTTTGAGTGGTGTCTTCACTTTAACCTTTTTTGCATGCTCACAAACCAATCAGCAGGTACTTCCCATTCTAAGTCCATAAAATGCCCCAGACCCAGCCACACAGGGGACTTTCCTGCCTTTGGGTAGGGGGACCACCCAAAGTGATGAAAGCTGTTTCATCACTCAATAAAACTCCCCGCCTTGCTCACTCTTTGATTGTCAGCGCATCCTCATTCTTCTTGGGTGCATGACAAGAAGTTGGGAACCAGTGTGCAAACCAGACCTGGCTTGGGTGGGCCAAGTGAGTGGGCTGTCTCCTGCAGCAGGTAGTGTGCCCGAGCAAGGCTTGGCGGGGGCATTGCCGGCCAGAGGTCCCTGGCTTACAGAGTGACCCAGAAAAAATTCCTAGGCCGGGTGCAGTGGCTCATGCCTGTAATCCTAGCACTTAAGGAGCCCGAGGCGGGCAGATCACTTGAGGTCAGGAGTTTGAAACCAGCCTGGCCAATATGGTGAAACCCCGTCTCTACTAAAATACAAAAAAATTAGCCAGGCATGGTGGCGGGCACCTGTAATCCCAGCTACTTGAGAGGCTGAGGCATGAGAATTGCTTGAACCTGGGAGGCGGGTGTTGCGGTGAGTCGAGATGGCACCACTGCACTCCAGCCTGGGCAACAGAGTGAGACTTCATCTGAAAAAAAAAAAAATTCCTGCATTGATGGCATGTGCCTGTAGTCCTAGCCACTCAGGAGGCTAAGAGGGGAAGACTGCTTGGACCTGGGAGGCCAAGGCTGCTGTGAGCTGTGATTGCACCACTGCACTCCAGATTGGGTGACAGAGCAAAACCCTGTCCCCAAAAAAGAAAAAAAAGTTTATGCTGGGTGCAGTGGCTCACGCCTGTAATCCCAGCACTTTGGGAGGCTGAGGTGGGAGGATCAACTGAGGTCAGGAGTTCAAGACCAGCCTGGCCAACATGGTGAAACCTCATCTCCACAAAAATACCAAAATTAGCCAGGCATGATGGCGGGTGCCTGTAATCCCAGCTACTCGGGAGGCTGAGGTGGGAGAATCGCTTGAACCTAGGAGGCTGAGGTTGCAGTGAGCCGAGATCGTGCCACTGCACTCCAGCCTGGGTGAGAGTAAAACTCCTTCTCAAAAAAAAAAAAAAAAAAAAAAAAAGAATTTAAAACCAGAAGTTCCTCCTCCTGCTCTCTGAGGGCATTGTATGCTGTAACTCAGTAGTTATCAATAAACCATCTCTTCTAACTGCACTCTGCAACTTACCTTGAACTCTTTCTGTGCATGATTCAGACCTCTTGTGGTCTGGACCTGGACTCTTTTTCCAGTAACATTTTATTTTGGTTTGGTTTGGTTATTTTTGAGTCAGGGTCTTGCTCTGTCATCCAGGATGGAAAGCAGTGGCATGATCACAGCTTACTGTAGCCTCAACCTTCTGTGCTCAAGTGACCCTCCCTGGTCAGCCTCCTGAGTAGCTGGGACTACAGACATGCACTAGCACACCTGGCTAATTTTTAAAACATTTTTTTTTTCGTAGAGACAGGGTCTCACTATGTTGCCTAGGCTGGTCTGGAACTCCTGGGCTCAAGCCTCCTTCCTCAGCCTCCCAAAATGTTGAAATTACAGGCTTGAGCTACTGCACCAGCACAATTTTTTTTTTTTCCGGAGACAGAGTCTTGCTCTGTCTTGCTCTGTTGCTCAGGCTGGAGTGCAGTGGCGCAATCTTGGCTCACTGCAACCTCTGCCTCCCAGGTTCAAGCAATTCTCCTGCCTCAGCCTCCCAAGTAGCTGGGGTTACAGGTGCCCACCACCATGCCCCGTTAATTTTTTTTTTTTTTTTTGAGACGGAGTCTCACTCTGTTGCCCAGGCTGGAGTGCAGTGGCTTGATCTCGGTTCACTGCAACCTCCACCTCCTGGCTTCCAATAATTCTTCTGCCTCAGCCTCCTGAGTAGCTGGGACTACAGGCGCACGCCACCATGCCTGGCTAATTTTTGTATCTTTTAGTAGAGACGGGGTTTCACCATATTGGCCAGGCTGGTCTCAAACTTCTGACCTCCTGATCTGCCCGCCTCGGCCTCCCAAAGTGCTGGGATTACAGGCGTGAGCCACTGCGCCCAACCAATTTTTTTTATTTTTTAGTAGAGATGGGGTTCCACCATGTTGGCCAGGCTGGTCTCAAACTCCCGACCTCAGGTGATCTGCCTGCCTAGGTCGACCAAAGTGCTGGGATTACAGGCGTGAGCCACCAGGCCTGGCCTGCTTGCACAAATCTTAAGTGCACAATTTGATCGGTTTTGACAAATGCCTACCTTCATGTAATCCATACTCTTATCAACATACAAGACACTTCCATAATTTTCATTACCTTAGCAATTTCCCTAGTGTTCATTCCCAGTTGACAGCCCAGACACAGCTAGTGGCCACCATGCCCAGCCCTACTTTTTTTTTTTTTTTAATGAGTCTTGCTCTGTCGCCCAGGCTGGAGTGCAGTGGTGCAATATCGGCTCACTGCAACCTTTGCCTCCTGGGTTCAAGCAATTCTGCCTCAGCCCCTACTGGTAGCTGGGATTACAGACGCGTGCGCCACCACGCCCGGCTAATTTTTTGTATTTTTAGTAGAGACGGAGTTTTGCCATGTTGGCCAGGCTGGTCGTGAACCCCTGATCTCAGGTGATCCGCCTGCCTCGGCCTCCCAAAGTGTTGGGATTATAGGCGTGAGCCACCACACCCAGCCCCTACTTTCTATTTTTAAAATTGTAGCCATTATGGTTGTGATAATATCTCTTTGTGGTTTTGCTTTGCACTTCCATAATGATTAATATTATTTTCAAGTGCTTTTTAAATGGGCTTTTTGGCCTTTTGTATATTTTCTTTTGTGAAGTGTTCAAGTCTTTTTTTTTTTTTTTTTTTTTTTTTTTTTGAGACAGAGTCTTGCTCAGTTGCTCGGTTGCCCAGGCTGGAATGCAGTGGCACAATCGCAGCTCACTGCAGCCTTAACCTCTGCGGCTCAAACGATCCTCCCATCTGTTTTTATTCTGTAGAGATGGTGTCTCACCATGTTGCCTGGGCTGATCTCAAACTCCTGGGCTCAAGTAATCCTTCCTCCTTGGCTTCCCTAAATGGTTGGATTACAGGTGTGAGTCACTCTGCCTGGCCTGTTCAAGTCTTTTCCCATTAAAAACTTTTTATGTTTTTTTTTAATTTATTTCTAAGAGTTTAAAAAATATATTCTGGATCCAACTCCTTTGTGAAATAAATGTTTATGAATATTTTCTCAGTCTATGTCATGAGCTGAAGTTTTATTAATAGATTCTGATGAAGTTTAATTTATCCAATTTTCAGATGACTGTTGTTTTCTATGTCCTAAGAAATCTTTGCTTACCCCCAGATTACAGGTCCCTAGTACTTCACATTAGTGTCGAATCAAACAAGCACCCACTTCTTTAAACTCAGGGGTTGAGAAGTCCAAATAGACTTCTTTGGTGAGCAAATGAAGGATTTTAAAGGACATCCAAGGTTAGGAACAAGAGCCTGGAGTTCTTGGGACTTAAATCTAAGGTTGAGTTCACTGCCTCCTTTCCCAAGCAGAATAATCCTCACGTGTCACTGACACAGCCTAGATTAGAGTCATCAACCAAGCCGAATCACCTGCACTCTGCTGACCCAACAAAGCAGCCCTGCCCCATTGCACAATTGCAAGGATTTGGGAAGAGCGGGGAGTAAGTACAAGGTTGCTAGTCTGGGAGTGAGTACAAGGTTGCTAGTCTGGGAGTGAGTATAAGGTTGCTAGTCTGGGAGTGAGTACAAGGTTGCCAGTCTGGGAGTGAGTACAAGGTTGCCAGTCTGGGAGACTGCATGTCACTTCTTCCAATGATGAGCCTGTCTGATGAAGAAGGCAGTTTGTAGGGTGTGGCTTTTTTTTTTTTTTTTTTTTTTGAGACGGAATCTGGCTCTGTCACCCAGGTTAAAGTGCAGTGGCGTCATCTCAGCTCACTGCAACCTCTGCCTCCTGGGTTCAAGTGGTTCGCCTGCCTCAGCCTACCAAGTAGCTGGGACTACAGGCGTGCACCACCATGCCCGGCTAATTTTTGTATTTTTATTAGGGACGGGGTTTCACCATGTTAGCCAGGCTGGTCTTGAACTCCTAACCTCAAGTTATCCCCCTGCCTCGGCCTCCCAAAGTGCTGGGATTACAGGCGTGAGCTATCACGCCGGGTCTGTAGGGTGTGGTTCTGGGAAATGGTCCCACAATGGCAGCCATGACATGTGGTGGGCCCCTCCCACCATGTTATTTTCTTTTTATTTCCTTTCTTTATTGTTTAACAATGATTAACTTAATTTTTAAAATTCATAGTTTAAACATCAAACTTTTGAAAAAGTATAGAGTGAAATATATCCCTCCCACCTCTACCCTTCACAACAGATAACCACTATTTCTAGTTTCTTAGCTCCTTGGAGAGTTTTTTTTTTTTTTCTTTTTGAGACAGGGTCTCACTGGATCAGGGTCAGGATGGAGTACAGTGGTCCAATCATAGCTCACTGTAATCTTGAACTCCTGGGCTCCAGCGATTCTCCCACCTCTGCCTCCCAAGTAGCTGGGACTACATGTAAGTGCCACCATGCCCAGCTAATTAGAAACAAAAAACAAAGAACTTTTTTGGGCTGGGTGCAGTGGCTTATACCTATAAGCCTAGCACTTTAGGAGGTTGAGGAGATAGGTCACTTGAGGCCAGGAGTTCCAGACCAGCCTGGCCAACATGGCAAAACCCAATCTCTACTAAAAAAAAAAAAAATTAGCTGGACATAGTGGCACGTGCTTGTAATCCCAGCTATTTGGGAGGCTGAGGTGGGAGAATCACTTGAATCCAGGAGACAGAGGTTGCAATGAGCTGTGATCATGCCACTGAACTCTAGCCTGGGCAACAGAGTGAGACTGTCTCAAAAAAAAAAAAAAAACCCAAAACTTTTTTGTAGAGATGAAGGTCTCCCTATGTTGCCCAAGCTGGTCTCAAACTCCTGGGTTCAAGTGATGCTCCCACCTTGGCTTCCCAAAGCTCTGTGATCCTTTGAGATTTGTAATGCATTTATAAAATAATATAAATAGTATCTCTCTTATTAATATAAATGGTATCTACTATAAACACTGATCTGCACCTTGCTTTCTTCAATTAATATATCTTTGAGAGTTCTTCATGTCAGTATACACAGATACTTCTCATTGTTTCCTATAGGTGCGTACTATTCTGCTATATGCATGTCCCATAATGTATTTAACCAGGCCCTTGTTGATGGGGATTTAAGTTTACAGACTTTTGCTCTCTTTTCCAAAGAGTGCTTCAATGAGTAATCTTGTATACACATCATTTTGCAATCCTGTAACTATAACTGTAGGATAAATTCCTAGAAATGGAATTGGTGAGTTACCAGGTATATACACAGGGAATTTTCGTAGACACTGTCGAACTGTCTTCAACAGGAACTATTTCAATTTACACATGTATGACGGTTCCTATTTACCTATAATCATGGCTATTCAAAGTGATATCAATTTTTTGGATTTTTACTAATCCAGTAAGTGATAAATGGTATCTCAGTAATTTTTAATTTAAATTCATCTTGTAGTGAGGATGACTATTTTTTCAGATGTATAAAGGACATTTATATATACATTTCCTTTTCATTTGTATTTTTCTATTGAGTTGATGGTAATTTTACTGTTATTTTGTAGGAGCTCTTTATATAATATATCCAACATCTTTTAAAAAGTCAGGCTAGGCCGGGCATGGTGGCTCATGCCTGTAATCCCAGCAATTTGGGAGGCCGAGGCGGGCGGATCATGAGGTCAGGAGATGGAGACCATCCTGGCTAACACAGTGAAACCCTGTCTCTACTAGAAATATAAAAAATTAGCCGGGCGTGGTGGCAGGCGCCTGTAGTCCCAGCTACTCAAGAGGCTGAGGCAGGAGAATGGCGT
Organism: Homo sapiens; assembly: GCF_000001405.40. Taxonomy (NCBI): domain Eukaryota; kingdom Metazoa; phylum Chordata; class Mammalia; order Primates; family Hominidae; genus Homo; species Homo sapiens. The sequence goes on from NC_000006.12 coordinate 34,742,893, forward strand.
GAACCCGGGAGGCGGAGTTTGCAGTGAGCTGAGATCGTGCCACTGCACTCCAGCCTGGGTGACAGAGCAATACTCTGTCTCCAAAAAAAAAAAAAAAAAAAGTCAGGCTAGTCCCGGCTGGGTGCGGTGGCTCACGCCTGTAATCCCAGAACTTTGGGAGGCCAAGGTGGGCCAATCACCTGAGGTCGGGAGTTGGAGACAAGCTGACCAACATGAAGAAACCCAGTCTCTACTAAAAATACAAAATTAGCCAGGCATGGTGGCGCACACCTGTAATCCCAGCTATTTGGGAGGCTGAAGCAGAAGAATCGCTTGAACCCAGGAGGCAGAGGTTGCAGTGAGCTGAGATCATGCCATTGCATTCCAGCCTGGGCAACAAGAGCGAAACACCATCTCAAAAAAAAAAAAAAAAAAGGCTAGTCCCAAGGTAGTGAGTTACCTTAATCGATTGCTCCCACTAAGTTACAGATCAAACTCCTTGTTTACTCTTTTTTTTTTTTTTTTTTTTTTTGGTAGAGAAGAGATCTCCCTATGTTGCCCAGGCTGGTAACTCCCGGGCTCAAGTGATCCTCCTATGTCAGTTTCCCAGAGTGCTGGAATTACAGGTGTGACCCACTGCACCTGGCTGTTCTACTCTTTCCTTCTTCCTCACTGCTTTGACTACACTTAAATAAATAGGCTGGGATGGTGGCTCATGCCTATAATCCCCAAAATTCAAAAATTAGCTGGATGTCCAGCCAGGAGTGGTGGCTCACTCCTGTAATCCCAGCACTTTGGGAAGCCAAGGCAGGAGGACTGCTTGAGCTCAGGAGTTCAAGACAAGCCTGGACAACACAGTGAGACCTCTTGGCTACAAATAATAAAAAAAACTAGCTGGGCATGGTGACACATGTCTGTGGTCCCAGGTACCCAGGAGGCTGAGGGTAGGGGAATTCCTTGAGCCCAGGCAGTTGAGGCTGCAGTGAGCTGTGATCCCGCCACTGCACTCCAGCTTGGGCAACAGAGTGAGATCATGTCTCAAAAAAAGAGAAAAAAATCCTAAAAACAAAAAACAAAAACAAATGTGGTGGTGTGACTGTAGTTCCAGCTGCTGCTCTTAGGGAGGCTGAGGCAGGACGATTGCTTGAGCCCAGGAGTTCAAGGTTACAGTGAACCATGATCATGCCACTACACCCCAGCCTGGGCAAGAGAATGAGACCCTGCCTCTAAATCAGTACATGAATAAAAATAAAAAGTCAGGTTTAGCTTTTCCAGCCCCGGCCCCGGCCCCTGCAGCCGCAGAGATGTTGATGCCTAAGAAGAACCGGATTGCCATTTATGAACTCCTTTTTAAGAAGGGAGTCATGGTGGCCAAGAAGGATGTCCACATGCCTAAGCACCCGGAGCTGGCAGACAAGAATGTGCCCAACCTTCATGTCATGAAAGCCATGCAGTCTCTCTAGTCCCGAGGCTACGTGAAGGAACAGTTTGCCTGGAGACATTTCTACTGGTACCTTACCAATGAGGGTATCCAGTATCTCCATGATTACCTTCATCTGCCCCCGGAGATTGTGCCTGCCACCCTACGCCGTAGGCATCCAGAGACTGGCAGGCCTCGGCCTAAAGGTCTGGAGGGTGAGCAACCTGCGAGACTCACAAGATGGGAAGCTGACAGAGATACCTACAGACAGAGTGCTGTGCCACCTGGTGCCGACAAGAAAGCCGAGTCTGGGGCTGGGTCAGCAACTGAATTCCAGTTTAGAGGCGGATTTGGTTGTGGACATAGTCAGCTACCTCAGTAAAATTGGAGAGGATTCTTTTGCGTTGAATAAACTTACAACCAAAAAGAAAAAAAAAAGTCAGGTTTAATGAGGGTATAATTTACATACAATAAGATACACCTGCCAGGTGTGGTGGCTCACTCCTATAATCCTAGCACTTTGGGAGGCTGAGGCAGGAGGATCACTTGAGGCTAGGAGTTCAAGATCAGCCTGGGCAACATAAAAATCCCATCTTAAAAAAAAAAAGTTAAAAAAAAAGACATAAAATATATACCTTTTAGGGGAGCTATCCCTTTTATGTGGAAGGCGTTCCAGCTGGGGGCTACATGTTGGTGATTTGAAGTCTCTATGTGAAAAAAATGAGCTTCAGCCATTGCAGCAAAGGAGTTACTTGGGGCAGGTTGCACTCGGGTCTGGACTGTGGCGGTCTCAGGTGTACAGGCAGTGTATTCAATGGAAAGTGGGTAAGCGCTGGACTCTATTTGGGCTCAAATTCTCTTTTTCCCACATATTAACTATGCAATCTTGTTCAGATTATATCATCTCCTTCAGTCTCAGTTTCCTTATCAGTAAAAAAAGCTTCAAAATCAAATCCCATCAGATAACATAATGAAAGCACATTGCCTAGTGCTGACACAAACTAGGTGCTTAATAAATGTTAGTTTCCCTTCTCTCCCAGTAAAAGCCAAGCCACTAAAAGATAACATGCCATAGGGCAGCAGAATGGCGTATGTGTGTGGGTGTGTTTGTGTGTTTGTATGTGTCTCATTCCCAACCACAACCTCAGGTTCTGCTGGAGTATGAAGCCATATAGAGGCCACTCATGATCCTGTTTCCAGCTTGCCACCCCTAGAATCAGACTGAAAGCTTCCTGCGCTAATAGAATACTCCCTGACCAAAGATCATATCTATCTAAGAAAAGACATTTCAAGAGTGAGTCATAGGGCCGGCGGGGTGGCTCATGCCTGTCATCCCAACACTTTGAGAGGCTGAGGTGGGCAGATAGATTGGGCCCAGAAGTTCAAGACTAGCCTGGGCAATACCGTGAAACCCAGTCTCTTCAAAAAAATGCAAAAGATATGGTGGCATGCATCTGTAGTCCCAGCTACTCGGGAGGCTGGGGTGGGAGGATCACTTGAGCCCGGGAGGCAGAGGTTGCAGTGAGCTGAGATCGTACCACTGCATTCCAGCCTGGGTGACAGATTGAGAACTTGTCTCAAAAAAATAAAAAATAAAAAAGTGAGTAATAACACCTCTTCAATAAGCTGCTACTCAAAACTACCCTGCCAAACCCGTTCTTCTGCCTTAGTGATTAGTGCCTGCCCAGCTTCCGCCTAACACCACAACCTGTTGGTCCAACAGCTTTAGATTAATAAAGAGGTTCAACAAAGAACATGTTCCCCAGGCCCTGGGACTTTGGCCTTTTCTATTCTCAGTAGTGAGCCCTTTGTTTACTGTGAGGGAGCCAGGACAGTAACAGCAGAACTAACGAATAATTATTTCCTTCCCACATAGCCAGGCAAAGATGGGTGGTGTCTGCCACCACCTTGTAGGTGCCAGATGGGCATCCTCATCGTAGTCTTAGTGTTGTTCTCATTTGCCCAGGCTAGGTGGAGAAAGCTTTGTCTCCAGATACCCATGGCCTTGGAAAGCAGCAGCTAGGTCACCTCCCAAGCGATTTCACTTGCAGGGTAGAGTGGGATGAAGATTGCCAGCCACAGTCATCCCAGCCACAGCTATGTTTACACCTACCTGGGAGGCCTGGCGTGAGCTTTTACATCCCTACATCCAGCTGTTGTTTCCAAATAGAAAGATCCAGTTTTAGCCTTCTGAGTCCACTTCATGGCCACAAGCTCTCAGTTCAAAATGAAAAGTTAGCAGGGAAGGCCACAATGGTATGATCTTTCTCAGTGAGGCATCCATCAACAGATCAACAGCTCTGGAAGTATCACTCAGAGTACAGAAGCAAGTCTGTCTTTGGAATTCAGCCTCTCCCCTGCACTTCAGGGCCCTGAGGTTTGGCAATGGAACTAAGAATTGTAGATTCTGAAGAGTGCTTAACAGATGGAGGAGTCAACAGCCAACGATGGCTACAAAGCGAAGCTGATATGATGGAGTAGAAACAAGGTGTAAAAACAAACAAAACAACAAAGTGAAGCTGAAGTATCTTATTGGGAGAAGAAAAATGCCTCTCCAGTTCCACAGCTCATCCCCTGTGTGACCCTGAAGAGGTTTGGAGGGATTCCTGGATTTGGAATTCAAGAGACCTAGGTTTTGGGTACTTATTCTTACTGACAGTCCCAACACTATCCACCAATTACTGCATGCTTACCATGCAGTGCTAAGTGCTTTATTATTCGTTTTTTGTTTGTTTGTTTGTTTTTTGAGACGGAGTCTCGCTCTGTCACCCAGGCTGGAGTGCAGTGGCGCGATCTCGGCTTACTGCAAGCTCCGCCTCCCAGGTTCACTCCATTCTCCTGCCTCAGCCTCTTGAGTAGCTGGGACTACAGGCACCCGCCACCACGCCCGGCTAACTTTTTGTATTTTTAGTAGAGATGGGGTTTCACCGTGTTAGTCAGGATGGTCTCAATCTCTTGACCTCGTGATCCGCCTGTCTTGGCCTCCCAAAGTGCTGGGATTACAGGCATGAGCCACCACACCCTGCCAAGTGCTTTAAGAGAATGATCTTAATCAGCCCTCACAGCCATGACCCTCTGAAGGAGGTACTATTATCATCTCCATTTTACAGATGAGAAAGCTGAGACACAAAGAGGTTAAGCAACTTCCCCAAGATCAAAGCAGCAGCTTGTGGTGATACTGGGATTCAAACACAGGCAGACTGGATCTAGAGGCTGTGCTCATGACCACTGTGCTACTGCCTTTTGATAAAGTTGTCTTATCATAGTCCTTACCAAAAAAGGCTGCAATTCTTTGTTTAAATGCTTATGTCCCACACTAAACTTGAAGATGGGCACAGTGTGTTACTCATTTTCCTATTAATGGTGGCCAACAGAGACCTGAACACAAAGAGAATGCTCAGTAAACATTTGTTGAATAACTATTACTTTTTGTGTTTCAGCATTGTGGAAAGATATAGGAGAGTTGAGGAAGGTGTAGTTTACTATGGAACTAAGGACTCAAGTCTTCTGGTGGTGACAATGGAAATTACCACCTTAAACTGGTACCTCCTTTGAGTTAGGCTTTGCAGACTGGGTTAGGCAAGACCAGTGGTTGCAGCTGTACATACCATTTTGGGCCCAGGATGCGTTTTTATACTTCTTCTTTGACAACAGTACTCCCCCAAGTTTTGGGTATTCCTCCTTCTCTCCCTAAGGTTTAAGTGGGACTGGCAATCACAGTTTTCTACTCATCCCCAACCAAGGAGGATTCTTGATGTATAAGTGTGCCCATTTAGGTCCTTCCCTGGCTTCTGGCATTATGTGCTAGAAGAATGGAAGTTTGGAGATAAATGAGGCTGTCCCATCTGTGTGGAGGAAACCAGGCTGCAACGTGGGACAATGAGGCCAGTGTGCAAAGAGAAGCAAACAAGCAGAGATGAGAAAAGGAGAGAGACCGAGTGACATTATTTCAGGCCCTAAGTCAATCACACCTGAGGATAAATCTACCCTTCAATGTCCCAGCTTGCTGAGCCTCTATATCCTATTTACCTAAGCAGGTTTAAGTAGGGTTTTGTCATATGCAACTAGAAAATTTCTTCCAGGCATAAGCCACCACACCCGGCCTACTGGAAGAATTTTTTAGGAAGGGATAAAGCTAAGTAACTCAACTGGTTAATTTACATAGACTGTTATATTAAAATAGCAGATATGAGTTGTAATAATTAAAACACTTGGTAGAGGCAAATCAATAGACCAATGAAACAGACCAGAAAGCCCAGAGGTTAAATAGAATGTAGAGGAGTTTAGCCTATAATAAAATAGGATTTCAAATTGGTAGGAAAAATGATAGATTTTCAAAAACTGGTGCTAGGATAACTAGGTTGATGTTTGTGAAAAGAAAAATTAGCATAGATCCCTCTTCCACACCTTACTTTAAAATAAGTTCCAGATGGATAAAGGATATAAACATGAAAAAAATAAAATAATAAAAGAATCAGAAAAAATGAGCTAGGCATAGTGGCTCACACCTATAATCCCAGCACTTTGGGAGGCCAACGCGGGAGGATCACTTGAGTCCAGGAGTTCAAGACCAGCCTGGGTAACATAGCAAGACTTTGTCTCTAAAAAAATTTTTTTTAATTATTAGCCAGGCATGGTGGTATGTGCCTATAGTACCAGCTGCTTGGGAGGCTCAGGTGGGAGGACTGCTTGAGCCCAAAAGGCCAAGGCTGCAGTGAGCTATGACTGCACCACCACACTCCAGCCTGAGTGACAGAGTGAGACTGTCTTTCTTTTTTTCTCTTTCAGTGAGATGCAGTTAGAGGTCCTTCTCAAAAGAAAAAAAAAAAGAAGAAAGAAAGAAAGAAAAAAAGAAAAGAAAAATATGTGGGAGAATTTATTTTTTTATTTTTTTTGAGATGGAGTCTTGCTCTTTCACCCAAGCTGGAGTGCAGTGGCATGATCTCGACTCACTGCAGCCTCTGCCTCCCAGGTTCAAGCGATTCTCATGCCTCAGCCTCCTGAGTAGCTGGGACTGCAGGCATGTGCCACCATGCCCAGCTAATTTTTGTATTTTTAGTAGAGACGGGGTTTTGCCATGTTGGCCAGGCTGGTCTCAAACTCCTGACCTCAGGCAATCTACCTACCTCTGCCTCCCAAAGTGCTGGGATTACAGGCGTGAGCCACCATGCCCAGCCAATGTGTGAGAGAATTTAAACAAATAATCTTAGAAAGGTGAAGGCCTATCTACATGTGACATAAAACCCAGAAGTCAAAAAAGAAAAGATAAATAAGTTTGACCAACATACAAATTAAAACCTTTTTTTCAGGATAAAAACTACCCAAAATAATGCCAAAGACAAATAACAAGTGGAAAAATATCTGCAAATCATATAAGAGGCATGGAGTTAATTTCCTTAATATATGAAGAGCTCTCTACAAATCAATAAGAAAAGGATGAGACTAGGGCCAGGCATGGTGGCTCATGCCTGTAATCCCAGCACTTTGGGAGGCCAAGGCAGGCAGATTACGAGGTCGGGAGATCGAGATCATACTGGCTAAGATGGTGAAACCCTGTCTCTCCTAAAAAATACAAAAAAATTAGCTGAGCATGGTGGTGGGTGCCTGTAGTCCCAGCTACTCGGGAGGCTGAGGCAGGAGAGTGGTGTGAACCCGGGAGGCAGAGCCTGCAGTGAGCTGAGATCCCACTACTGCACTCCAGCCTGGGCGATAGATCGAGACTCCATCTCAAAAAAAAAAAAAAAAAGAAAGAAAAAGAAAAACGAAAAAGAAAAAAAGGATGAGACTAACAATATAACAGATAAAGGGGCAAAGAATATAAAAAGGCAGTCAGGCAATCCCAGTACTTTAGGAGGCCAAGGCAGGTGGATCATTTGAGGTCAGGAATTAGGACACCAGCCTAGCCAACGTGGTGAAAGCTCGTCTCTACAAAAAATACAAAAATTAGCCAGGTGTGGTGGCGGGCGCCTGTAATCCCAGCTACCTGGGAGGCTGAGGCATGAGAATCACTTGAGCCCAGGAGATGGAGTTTGTAGTGAGCCAAGATCACACCACTGCACTCCAACCTGGGTGACAGAGTGAGACTCTGTCGCAAACCAGCCTGGGTGGGACAGAGTGAGACTCTGTCTCAAACCAACCTGGGTGACAGAGTGAGACTCTGTCAGAAAAAAAAAAAAGGCAATCTACAAAGAAGGATCTGTGAAATATTTTTTTTTTTTTTTTGGGACAGGGTCTCATTCTGTCGCCTGGGCTGTAGTGCAGTGGCACAATCACGACTGAGTACAGCCTTAGTCTCCTGGGCTTAAGTGATCCTCCCACCTTAGCCTTCTGAGTAGCTGAAACTACAGGTGTGTGACACCATGCCTGGCTAATATTTGTATTTTTTGTAGAGACAGGGTCTCACCATGTTGCCCAGGCTCATTGGACTTTTTAACATATGAAATATATTCACCTTTATTCATATGGAGAAACACAAATTAAAATTATAATACAGCCAGGCACAGTGGCTCACGCCTGTGCACTTTGGGAGGCCGAAGTGGGCAGATCACTTGAGGCCAAGAGTTCAAGACCAGCCTGGCAAACATGCTGAAATCCCAACTCCACCAAAAATACAAAAATTAGCCAGGTGTGGTGGCGTGCACCTGTAATCTCAGCTACTTGGGAGGCTGAGGCATGAGAATCACTTGAACCCAGGAGGCAGAGTTTGCAGTGTGCCAAGACTCGGCCACTGCACTCCAGCCTCGGTGACAGAGTGAGACTCTGTCTCAAAAAAGAAATGATAACACAATGCCATTTTTTATTTATCAGATACGGTAAAAAAGCACTCTCAAATATAACCACAATGAAGGGCGATTTAGCATTATTTTTCAAAATTACAAATGCAAAGAAAGCTCTTCAACCTAGCAATTTCACTCCTAGAATTTTATCTTTTTTTTTTCCTTTCTTTTTTTGAGATGGAGTTTTGCTCGTTGCCCATGCTGGAGTGCAATGGCACGGTCTTGGCTCACTGCAACCTCTGCCTCCCGGGTTCAAGTGATTCTCCTGCCTCAGCTTCCCAAGTAGCTGGGATTACAGGTGTGTGCCACCACGCCTGGCTAATTTTTCTATTTTTAGTAGAGAATGTTTCACCATGTTTTCATGGTTTCATCATGTTGGCCAGGCTGGTTGCGAACTTCTGACCTCAGGTGATCCACCCACCTTGGCCTCCCAAAGTGCTGGGATTACAAGTGTGAGCCACCGCACCCAGCCAATCTTTTTTATTTATTTTATTTATTTTTTTGAGACAGATTCTCACTCTGTCACCTAGGCTGGAGTGCAATGGTGCCGTCTCCCCTCACTGCAACCTCCACCTCCTGGGTCCAAGTGATTCTCCTGCCCCAGTCTCCCGAGTAGCTGGGATTACAGGTGCGTGCCACCACACCTGGCTAATTTTTCTACTTTTAGTAGAGACAGGGTTTCACCATCTTGGTCAGGCTGGTCTTGAACTCCTGACTTCAGGTGATCCACCCGCCTCGGCCTCCCAAAGTGCTGGGATTATAGGTCTGAGCCACAGTGCCCAGCCCAAACTTTATCTTATAAACATATTTGCATGTCTGTGAATTAATGATGTACTGCAGCATCACTAAATTAGAAAGAGACAGGAAACAATTTAAGCATTCATCAATAAAGGACTGATTAATATATGGAGGTACATCTACACAACGAAATACTATGCATCTGTAAAACAGAACCAGGAAACATATTTTTGTTTGCATATGGATAATCTTTTTCTGGAAAGATATGTAAGAAACTGGGAACAAGGGGCTGGGTGCGGTGGCTTACGCCTGTAATCCCAGCACTTTAGGAGGCCAAGGCAGGTGGATCACTTGAGGCCAGGAGTTCAAGATCAGCCTGGCCAACATGGTGAAACCCTGTGTCTACTAAAAATAGAAAAATTAGCTGGGCGTGGCAGTGCACACCTGTAGTCCCAGCTACTGGGGAGGCTGAGGCAGGAGAATCACTTGAACCCGGGAGGTGGAGGTTGCAGTGATCCAAGAGCACACCATTGCACTCCAGCCTGGGCTACAGAGTGAGACTCTGTCTCTATAAAAAAAAAAAAAAAAAAAGAGGCCGGGCGTGGTGGCTCATGCCTGTAATCCCAGCACTTTGGGAGGTTGAGTTGGGTGAATCACGAGGTCAGGAGATTGAGACCACCCTGGCTAACACAGTGAAACCCCATCTCTACTAAAAATACAAAAATTAGCTGGCCATGGTAGTGGGCGCCTGTAGTCCCAGCTACTCGGGAGGCTGAGGCAGGAGAATGGCGTGAACCTGGAAGGCGGAGATTGCAGTGAGCTGAGATCGCGCCACTGTACTCAAGACTGGGCGACAGAGCAAGGCTCTCTCTCAAAAAAAAAAAAAAAAAAAAAAAAAAAAAAAAAAAGAAGAAGTAAAGAAAAAGAAAAGAAACTGGGAACAAGGGTGTGGCTAGGAAACATTTTTGTGGTTTTCTAATTTTCTACCATGTGTATACACTACCTATTCAAATATAAGTAAATAAAATACATTTTAAATGTAAAATACCTTAAGAACAACATAGATGTGTTATGAAGTAGATTACTAACTGTGAGTTTTTAGGACACCACGCAAGAGCACAAGATTTCAAGGGCATTTCAAGCTCAGGTGGGCACTAGGGATTTTGGCTATAGACCTAGAGGAATGAGGGTGACAAATGAACTCTCTCAGTTGCCTTGGACATTCAGAGAAAAAGTGTGAAAAGCACTGCTTTACAAGATAGCAGGGCCTATGGGCAGGAAATGATGGAGATACCCCTTGGGACTTGGAGATAAGGTCACTCTGAGCATATATACATATGTATATATACATATATGTCAAGGTCCAACCTGGAAAACCATTCTAAGTCTTTAAAACACAGGGAACAGGCTGGGCGCGGTGGCTCACGCCTGTAATCCCAGCACTTTGGGAGGCCGAGGTGGGCGGATCACGAGGTCAGGAGATCGAGACCATCCTGGCTAACATGGTGAAACCCCGTCTCTGCTAAAAAATACAAAAAATTAGCCGGGCATGGTGGCGGGCGCCTGTAGTCCCAGCTACTCGGGAGGCTGAGGCAGGAGAATGGCGTGAACCCGGGAAGCGGAGCTTGCAGTGAGCCGAGATTGTGCCGCTGCACTCCAGCCTGGGCGAGAGTGCGAGACTCCGTCTCAAAAAAAAAAAAAAAAAAAAACACAGGGAACTTAATCCAGATAAATGGTTTATACAGGTGTTGGCAGAGACAAAAAGCCAAACAGAATAGTCAAATAGCCCAGACAGAGATGAGTGACAGCAAGAAGCTACTGCCACCCTTACACTAGAGGGACAGGACAACACTGTGCTACCAGAGCTCAGGGTCTAGGATCAACTACTACAAGTTAGATCCAAGTAGGTTGTAGGAGACAGCCTGATGTTGAGGGGTGGGGAGAGGATGGATACTCTGGCTTGGAGGTGGTGTCAGGGTAGGAGATACTCTGGCTTTTTCCTTGATCTCTCCAATCTCCAGAAAATGCCTCCAATTGATGGAGCCCAGCAATTCAGCTTGGAAGTCAACCAGTATTGGAGTCCAGCCCATGCAGCCTTCATGGAGTCAGTCCACCACTGACTTTTTTTTTTTTTTATTTGAGTCGGAGTCTCGCTCTGTTGCCAGGCTAGAGTGCAGTGGCATGATCTCAGCTCACTGGAACCTCCACCTCCTGGGTTCAAGCCATTCTCCTGCCTCAGCCTCCTGAGTAGCTGGGACTACAGGTGCACACCACCATGCCCAGCTAATTTTTGTATTTTTAGTACAAACGGGTTTTCACCATGTTGGCCAGGATGGTCTTAATCTCTTGACCTCGCGATCTGTCCGCCTCGGCCTCCCAAAGTGTTGGGATTACAGGTGTGCGTGCCACCATGCCTGACCTTTTTTTTTTTTTAATAGTGATGGAGTCTCGCTCCACTGCCCAGGCTGGAGTGCCGTGGCCAGACCATAGCTCACTGTAGCCTCCAACTTCTGGGCTCAAGTGATCCTTCTACCTCAGCCTCCTGAGTAGCTGGGATTACCAGTGTGAGCTACTGAACCCGGCTTCCACTGCCATTTTGAAAAGAGCAGGGGAAAAGTGAAGAATAGACTTGAAAGCAAAAAAAAAAGGCCAGGGTCAGCACAGAGGGAAATCAGGAAGAAATCAAAACATTACTGATGGGCCGAGCATGGTGGCTCATGCCTGTAATCCCATCACTTTGGGAAGTTGAGGCTGGCAGATCATTTGAGGTCAGGAGTTCGAGACCAGCCTGGCCAACGTGGTGAAACCCTGTCTCTACTAAAAATACAAAAAAATGAGCCGGGCACGGTGGCACACAACTGTAATCCCAGCTACTCGGGAGGCTGAGGCATGAGAATCTCTTGAACCCAGGAAGCGGAGGTTGCAGTGAGCCGAGACAGTGCCACTGCACTCCAGCCTGGGTGACAGAGTGAGAACGTATCTCAGAAAAAAACAAAAACCAAAACAAAATAAACAACATAACTGATGAATCCATTCCCTTGAGGAAAATCAACTGAAGGTACCTGGACAAAGGTGGGTTTCTGGAAATGCAACATCAAGACCCAGGCATTTTCTGCAAAATGTCCTTTATAGCTGGTTTGTCCAAACTAGGATCTAGATGTAGATGATACACTACATCTGGTTGTTATGTCTCTTAATATTTAAATTTAGAAAAATACCTTTTCCTAAATTAGTGAAGGAAAGAGGCCAGTTGTCCTTACAACATCCTACTGCCAGAATTTGTTTGCTGCCTTTTGCTTTCCTTTAGCTGATCCTATAGACTATCCTGTTAACTTGATTAGATCTAAGTTAAACATTTTTTAAAAATTATTTTTAATTTTTGTGGCTACTAAACATTTTTTATAATATGTCATAGTTGTTGGGTATAGAGGCTAACTAACACATGTAATCCCAGAACTTTGGGAGGCTGAGGTGGGAAATTGCTTGAAGTCAGGAGTTTGAGACCCTTTTTCTGCAAAAAATTAAAAAAATTAACAAGGGTATGGTGTCAGGTGCCTGTAGTCCCAGCTACTTGGAAGGTGAAGAGGGAGGATTGCTTGATCCCGGGAGGTTGAGGCTGAAGTGAGCTGTGATAGAACCACTGCATTCCAGCCTGGGCAACAGGGCGAGACCCTCTCTCAAAAAAAAAAAAAAAAAAGTCATAGTTGATGGTAGCTACTTAATATTGTCATCCCAGCAGGAGACACATAATATCTGGTTGTTCTGCCATTATGTTAAGATTTACCACGGTGTTATGGTGGTAAGAGCCGGGGCACAGTTAACTTACCCCTTAGGACCAGGAAGTAATCTTTGTGGTACTTACTCTTTCTAAAGGTCAGTTTCCTCATCTGAAATGTGAATAAATAGGGTTGTTGAACGGATTAAGTAAATCAATGCATTTAAAGAACCTATGACATAGTAAACATTCAAATAAACTAGCAATTATTATTATTATTTGGTTGCAATTCTACCATCAGAGAACATAGGGTAGAAGAACAAAAACAAAAACTCCCTCTCCTCAGGTCCCAACGCTTGCTAATATTTCCCTTTTCTAAAAGGAGGAAGGCCATTTTGGAGTCTGACAGACCAGGCTGGAAGTTTGGCCTTATTGCTAGAACAGGTGATATCTGTGGACAAGTTACTTCTATCAATTTTCTCCTATGTAATAATTACCTTTTGTGGAGGGGTTAGTGTGTATATTGTATTAAACACTTACAAGGATCTTCACATGTAATTCTTCCTTGAATCCTACAATAATTATTACCTGCCGGGCGCGGTGGGTCACGCCTGTAATCCCAGCACTTCGGGAGGCCGAGGCGGGCAGATTACTTGAGGTCAGGAGTTGAAGACCATCCTGGTTAACACGGTGAAACCCCGTCTCTACTAAAAATACAAAAAAATTAGCCGGGCGTGGTGGCATGCGCCTGTAATCCCAGCTACTCGGGAGGCTGAAGCAGGAGAATGGCGTGAACCCGGGAGGTGGAGCTTGCAGTGAACCGAGATAGCGCCACTGCACTCCAGCCTGAGCGACAGAGTGAGACTCCGTCTCAAAAAACAAAACAAAACAAAAACAAAAATAAATTTAAAAAAGACGAGATAACCTTTCTCTATCCTCTGTAAAGTTGGACTCCCCTCTTCCCTGCTTCACTTTGCTCCACCTAACCCACTACTATAAATATTTACCATTTTTTTGAGACAGGGTACCACTCTGTCACCCAGCCTGGAGTGCAGTGGTGCGATCACGACTCACTATAGCCACGACCTCCTGGGTTCAAGCGATCCTCCCATCTCAGTCTCCTGAGTAGCTAGCTGAGACCACAGGTGGGCGCTATCACGTCCAATTTTTTTTTTTTTTTTTGATACGGAGTCTCGCTCTGTCGCCCAGGTTGGAGTGCAATGGTGCGATCTCGGCTCACCGCAACCTCCGCCTCCCGGGTTCAAGCCATTCTCCTGCTTCAGCCTCCCGAGTAGCTGGGATTACAGGGGCCCGCCACCACGCCCAGCTAACTTTTGTATTTTTAGTAGAGACCGGGTTTCACCAGGTTGGCCGGGCGTATCTCGAACTCCTGACCTCAGGCGATCCGCCCGCCTCGGCCTCCCAAAGTGCTGGGATTACACGCGTGACCCACCGCGCCGGGCCAAAGTCTGGCTAGTTTTTAAATTTTTTGTAGAGACAAGAGTTTCGCTATGTTGCCCAGGGCTGGTGTCCAACTCCTGGGCTCACGTGATCCTCCCGTCTCAGCGTCGGGAGTACCTGACATTCCAGGCGCGAGCCACGGCGCCGGCTCCTGTTGGTTTTAGTATCTGTCTTGTTCCACTAGAATCTCAACCCCACAAGGACAAGAATTTTTATCTGTTTTGTTCACTGCTGTTTTTTCAGCATTTATAGCAGCTCCAGGCGCGTAGCAGAGAATCATTAAATATTTATAGAAAGATTAAATACGCTCTTCCGGAAGCACCGACAAACAAGATTAAATGAGCTTGGATTGAACCTCGTAGCGGCCCGTAGTACTCCTCCTTCCCGCCATCCTATAGATGAAAGGAAGAAAAGGAAAAGCCCCGCCCCTCGCTCGGCTGCTGGAGGCGAGGGCTTCGGAAGTCTTCATGCTAGTCTCGTGGGGTTCCGCGGTGTCGTCGCTGGCTGTGCGCGTCATTTCCGGGCGTCACGTAACGGAGTGGCCAACGGCCTGCAGAGCAACATGCCCAAGTGAGTGGGGCCCCGAAATCTGAGGGTGATCGTAGTCACTAGTTGTGGCCCCCATGCAGGAGCGGAGAGCGGGTTCTGGTTTCTGAAACCTCGAGGGATGGGAGAGTATCTGGGCCGGGTGGACGGAGGCAGGGAGATGGAGAGCGCTAGACACCCCATTTTAGAGTGCAGATGGATCCCGCTTAAGGCAACAAAAAAAAGCCTGGTTTATGTGTCGACGCTTTGATGCTTTTGAGTCGTGAGGCGGTCTGGCTTTTTGTTTTGTTTGTTTGTTTTGTTTTTATCTTCCATGAACAGCGCTTCCGTGGATGGGCATCTCAGTGGTTGTCGTCTTTTTCTCTTCCTTTCACCTCTTTTCAGGTTTTATTGTGACTACTGCGATACATACCTCACCCATGACTCTGTAAGTGGCATATCTATTCATAGTTTCAAAAAGCCTTATGTGTAATAATTAAATGAGTTTTGTGTTTTTTTTAAGTTGCAAGTTGTGCTTTCCCACCTGCTGAGGTTTAAGGTCTACTCCTTGAAGAAAATAATTGGAGGTTATTTTCCCACCCTTCCAGTAACTTTGATTAAAAACTGCTTAACAAGTCAGGCATGGTGGTGTGCCTGCAGTCCCAGATACGCAAGAGGATGAGGTGAGAGAATTGCTTGAGGTCCAGGCTGCAGTGAGGCATGATCAGGCACTGCACTCCAGCCTGGACAACAAAACAAAAAAAGCTGCTTGTCAAATAATAACAACAGTTAAAGCAGAATGTTTTGTTAGTACTTTTTTTTTTTTGAAACGGAGTTTCGCTCTTGTTGCCCTGGCTGGAGTGCAGTGGTGCAATCTCGGCTCACTGCAACCTGCTCCTCCCGGGTTTAAGCGATTCTCCTGCCTCAGCCTCCCGAGTAGCTGGGATTACAGGCATGGGCCACCACGCCCGGCTAATTTTGAATTTTTAGGAGAGATGGGGTTTCTCCATGTTGGTCAGGCTGGTCTCGAACTCCCGACCTCAGGCGATCTGTCCTCCTCGGCCTCCCAAAGTGCTGAGATTACAGGTGTGAGCCACCATGCCCAGCCAACCCCGTCTCTTAAAAAAAAATTTAGTGGTCTATCTTAAGAGCACTTGAGTGGATCTTTTACCATGCATGATTTTGTAATGTGCATTGGTTATTTGGAAAATGTTGATTGACTTGAGTTAGTGCCAGGGTTCAAATGTAGACACATTTGATTATGTAATGAAAACCCTTGGGAGGCCGAGGCGGGCGGATCACGAGGTCAGGAGATCGAGACCACGGTGAAACCCCGTCTCTACTAAAAATACAAAAAATTAGCTGGGCGCGGTGGCGGGCGGGCGACTCTATAGTCCCAGCTACTCGGGAGGCTGAGGCAGGAGAATGGCGTGAACCTCGGAGGCGGAGCTTGCAGTGAGCCGAGATCCCGCCACTGCACTCCAGCCTGGGCGACAGAGCGAGACTCCGTCTCAAAAAAAAAAAAAAAAAAAAAAAAAAGAAAAGAAAACCCACGTTAATTAATGTCACAATCTAATCAGAACCACCTTTAAGTATTGGGAAGCTGTCAAGCTTATGGTGGCAAATAATATTTTCCAAAATTCTGATTTTTGCTTAATAGCTCAAATTCTATCATTGGCAATACTTTCCATTGCTCTCCTTGAAGTGACAGGCTCACTCCATTCATTTTTGAGAAGTCTGAATATACAGTTTGTGTCTCAGTCACTCTCAAATAAAAATGGTGTTCCATCAAAGAGGCAGCTGGGCTGGATATGGTGGCTCATGTCTGTAATCCCAGCACTTCGGGAGGCCGAGGAAGGAGGATTGCTTGAGCCCAGGACTTCAAGAGAGGCAGCTAGTAGAGCTCACAATTTGAACAATTACATGCCTGCTTTTCCTTGAAAGAGCATCATATTTTGGCATGCAACACAAGTGGCTTTGTCTATACTTCCCATTTTGTCACTCAGAATATTAAAAAGAATTGAACTTAAGGGTTTTTAATAAAAATTAATAATTTTGTTGCTTCATTAAGGACACTCAGTGGAACTGGCTTTTTTTTCCCCCATGAGTACATACGTTGAAGAATACAGTGATCACTAATACAGTAGGTTGCCATTGCCTTGATTCATTCTAAAGTACCAGGAGTTTGGCATCATCAGTGAAAATGTCAATACAGTGAAAAAGGAAAGTAATGGCTTAGTAGTATTATGAAAACACTTTGACCTTGCAGACCTCATGAAAGAGTCTCAGAGACCCTTAGATGTCTGTCTGTGAACCATACCTTGAACACTGCAGCTCTATGCTTTGCTGTCTCTGTAGAAATCTGATTAAATCATAACTCTTTTTACAGCTGAGGCCTCACTGTGTTTCCCAGGCTGGTCTAAATTATGATTCTTGATCATCTTGAATAGTAGCTGGAAGAAACTGGCCAGTGATTTTTCTATTGTCACCTTATTTGAAATTCTTTCTAACATATGGTCAGATGTAGTACAGCATTAATAGAGATGTGGAACATTTAAGTTGGGTGGTTCCTCTTGAAGACATTATTATAGTTCTGTATATTATCTTTTTTTTTTTTTTTTTTTGAGATGGAGTCTTGCTTTATTTCCTGGGCTGGAGTGCAATGGCGCGATCTTGTTTCACTGCAGCCTCTGCGTCCCAGGCTCAAGCAATTCTCCTGTCTCAGCTTCTCCAGTAGCTGGGATTACAGGCCTGCACCACCACACCTGGCTAGTTTTCTTATTTTTAGTACAGACGGGGTTTCACCATGAAAAAACGGTCCCGCCTCAGCCTCCCAAAGTGCTGGGAGTGAGTCACTGTGTCCGGCCAAGTTCTGTGTATTATCATACATTGTCCTAGAATAGAGTGCTCTGATAAATTGGTATTTTTAGTAGCTAGTCAGTTCTTCCTTATAGGTCCCTAGTCCTTTTTTTACCCCTCTCTAGGTAAAACCCCTCGACATAATTTTCTGAAATTGTTAATGAGGGGGCTGTGCCTTTCTGCCCTTTTTTGGCATTATAGTTTAATATACCTATTATTCACCTTCTTGCTAATGCCAGAATTCAGAGAACTGAGAAGTATTTCTTTATATTATAAATATCTTTTCATGAGAAATGTCATGAACCCTTGTTCCTTCTAAAATGATGTCTTGCAAAAATAGAAAATGTCTATGGTGATTGATTTTACAGATCCCTGCAGTGGACTTAGAAATGTGTAAAATCAGCTGGGTGTGGTGGCTTACACCTGTAATCCCAGCACTAGGAGGCCAAGGTGGGCAGATCACGAGATCAGGAGTTAAAACCAGCCTGGCCAACATAGTGAAACCCCATCTCTACTAAAAATACAAAAAAAAATTAGCTGGGTGTAGTGGCACGCGCCTATAGTCCCAGGTACTTGGGAGGCTGAAGCAGGAGAATCACTTGAACCTGGGAGGGAGAGGTTGCAGTAAGCTGAGATCTTGCCACTGCACTCCAGCCTGGGTGACAGAGTGAGACTCCGTCTCAAAAAAAACCAAAAAAAAAAACAACAAAAAAGAAATGTGTAAAAACATTCAGTAGTGCTGTAATTTTTGGACTTTGGTTGATTTTTAGTCATGTTTTTGTCTTTTTTTTTGAGATGGAGTCTCACTGTGTTGCCCAGGCTGGAGTGCAGTAGCATGATCTCAGTTCACTGCAACCTCCACCTCCTAGATTCAAGTGATTCTCCTGCCTCAGCCTCCCGAGTAGCTGGGATTACAGGCGCGTGCCATCATGCCCAACTAATTTTTGTATTTTTAGTAGAGACAGTTTCGCCTTGTAGGCCAGGGTGGTCTTGAACTCCTGACATCAGGTGATCCGCACACTTTGGCCTCCCAAAGTGCTGGGATTATAGGTGTGAGCCACCGCGACTGGCTGCTAGTCATGATTTTGTTATTAGGCTTAAGGCATCATTGTATTAATGTAAGCAGTGGTTGGGAAGACAAGGAACAATTTTTTTTTTTTTTTTTTTTTTTTTGTGACGGAGTATCTCTGTGTCGCCCAGGTTGGAGTGCAATGGCATGATCTTGGCTCACTGCAAGCTCCGCCTCCTGGGTTCACGCCATTCTCCTGCCTCAGCTTCCTGAGTAGCTAGGACTACAGGTGCCCGCCACCATACTTTTTTGTATTTTTAGCAGAGACGAGGTTTCACCATGTTAGCCAGGATGGTCTCGATCTGACCTTGTGATCCACCCACCTCGGCCTCCCAAAGTGCTGGGATTACAGGCTTGAGCTACTGCGCCCAGCCAGGAACAATTTTTTTTATTTTGGAGATAGGATTTTGCTTTGTCACCCAGGCTGGAGTGTAGTGGAGTGATCTTGGCTCACTGTAGCCTTGATCTCCTGGGCTCAAACGTGCTTCCCATTTTAGCCTCCCAAGTAGCTGCAACCACCACCTTTGCTGCAGTTACTCAACTGTTCCTTGTAGAGAGAAGCTGTAGCCAATATATAAATAAATGTGCTGGGCTCTGTGGCTCACACCTGTAATCTCACAGCACTTTGGGAGGCCAAGATGAGAGGATCACTTGAGCCTAGGGGTTTGAGACCAGAATGGGCAACATTGTGAGACGTCATCTCTACAAAAAATTAAAAAGTTGGCTGGTCATAGTGGCTTGTGTCTCTAGTCCCAGCAACTCAGGAGGCTGAGGTGGGATGATTGCTTGAGCCCGGATGGTTGAGGCTGCAGTGAGCCGAGATCGTGCTATTGTATTCCAGCCTGGGCAACAGAGCAGGACCCTGTTAGAAAAAAAAAAAAAGATAGATAGAGATAAATGTGGTTGTGTTCCAATACTTTTTTTTTAAAACACAAAAGCCAGTGGCTGGCCAATGGGGCATAGTTTGCTGACCTCTGGTCTAGATAATATAGTAAAAAAATTACCACAGTGTGTTGCTGGATAATGTTTTTAAGTAATACTGTAGCAGCCAGCTAATGCTGCTGATACTAGACACGCTACTTATATAAAGGTAAAACTTTATTAAATTTTTAGTGTTGGACATTTGTTTCTACGTCTGATATGATCTTTTTATTTTACAGCCATCTGTGAGAAAGACACACTGCAGTGGAAGGAAACACAAAGAGAATGTGAAAGACTATTATCAGAAATGGATGGAAGAGCAGGCTCAGAGCCTGATTGACAAAACAAGTATGTTTCAATCTCTTGTTCTGCTGTGGTAAAATGGTCCTATTCTTTCTTATCCCTGTCTCTGGTGTTTTTCACAGAGGCAACTCATTCTGAATGATAAATAGGAGCATTTGGATGTGTCGAATGAAAGAAGCAGAAGGTCATTGGTTTCCCAAGGATATAAGAACACATTAATATTTATTATTGAGGATAGAGCAGTCAGAGACAGCAATAAGGTTAGATGGGGAAGTGAGGCAGAGAAGAGTGGAGGTGCTTAATATTTATCTATTGGCACAGACGAGATTTTGTAGCAAATTTCTATAAAGCCCCTTTGTAGTAATCCACAGGTTTTAGAAGTATGTTCCTATTCTAATAGGAGCAGGTGAGGAGTGGGTTTGTGGTTTTCCCCAAATAGTTTGAGACTATATTTAGATTTCTTATTTGTAGTCCTGATAGAGTACTAGTCAAAAAGAGACTACCTGATGTAACAAAATAGTCTGGATATGTTTTGGACCCCTGTTGTACCTCCCATGCTCTTTTTGTTAGGAACATTTTGTTCTGGCTTATTGGGTCCGGGACACTAACAGAAGGAGATATTGCATTTTTACTTTAGATCATCCTGGTATATTTGAATCACGGCCTTTCTTAATCATTCATTGTACTCCAAGCTGGCAAGCAAATATGGGCTTTGTGATGTGCCTTTTTAAAAAAGCAGTAGGCCAGGTGCAGTGGCTGATGCCTGTAATCCCAGTACTTTGGGAGGCCGAGGCTGGCAGATCACTTGAGGCCAGGAGTTGGAGACCATCCTGGCCAAATGGTGAAACCCCATCTCTACTAAAAATATAAAAATTAGCGGGGCGTGGTGGTGCCTGCTTCTAATCCCAGCTACTCAGGAGGCTAAGGCAGGAGAATCGCTTGAACCCAGAAGGTGGAGGTTGCAGTGAGCTGAGATTGCACTACTGCACTCCAGCCTGGGTGAGAGAGTGAGACTGTCTCAAAAAAAAAAAAAATTAAAAATTTGTATTTTTTATTTATTTTTATTTATTTATTTATTTGAGACAGTCTCACTCTGTCGCCAGGCTGGAGTGCAGTGGTGTGATCTTGGCTCACTGCAAGCTCCACCTCCCAGGTTCAAGCGATTCTCCTGCCTCAGCCTCCCGAGTAGCTGGGATTACAGGCGCATGCCACCGTGCCTAGCCAATTTTTGTATTTTTAGTAGAGACGGGATTTCACCATCTTGGCCAGGCTGGTCTTGAACTCCTGACCTCGTGATCCACCCGCCTCGGCCTCCCAAAGTGCTGGGATTACAGGCGTGAGCCACCATGCCCAGCCAAAAATTTTTTTAAAAATTAAAAAACAATAAAAAGGCAAAACTGTCCGGGCACAGTGGCTTACTTACGCCTGTAATCTCAGCACTTTGGGAGGAGGAGGTGGGCAGATCCTCTGAGGTCAGGAGTTCGAGACCAGCTTGGCCAACATGGCAAAACCCCATCTCTACTAAAAATACAAAAAATTGGCCGGGCGTGGTGGCTCACGCCTGTAATCCTAGCACTTTGGGAGGCTGAGGCGGGTGGATCACCTGAAGTCAGGAGTTCGAAACCAGCCTCAACATGGAGAAACCCCGTCTCTACTAAAAATACAAAATTAGCTGGGCGTGGTGGTGCATGCCTGTAATCCCAGCTACTTGGGAGGCTGAGGCAGGAGAATTGCTTGAACCTGGGAGGCGGAGGTTGGGTTGAGCCGAGATCGCGCCATTGCATTCCAGCCTGGGCAACAAGAGGGAAACTCCGTCTCAAAAACAAACAAAAAAAAACAACAAAAAACAAAAAATTCAGACGGGCATGGTGGTGCGTGCCTGTAGCCCCAGCTACTTGGGAGACTGAGGCAGGAGAATCGCTCAAACCCAGGAAGCGGAGGTTGCAGTGAGCTAAGATTGCGCCACTGCACTCCAACCTGGGTGACAGAGTGAGACTCCATCTCAAAAAAATAATAATAATTAATAAATAATAAAAAGGCAAAACTATTGTGGAAATTTTCAAATAAAATAGAGAAGCGGGGGCCTGGCATGGTGGCTCATGCCTGTAATCCCAGCACTTTGGGAGGCCGAGGTGGGTGGATCACCTGAGATCAGCAGTTTGAGACCAGCCTGACCAACATCGAGAAACCGTGTCTCTAGTAAAAATACAAAATTACCTGGGTGTGGTGGCACATGCCTGTAATCCCAGCTACTTGGGAGGCTGAGGCAGGAGAATCGCTTGAACCCGGGAGGTGGAGGTTGCAGTGAACAGAGATCTCGCCACTGCATTCCAGCCTGGGCAACAGAGCGAGACTCTGTCTGAAAAAAAAAACTAGACAAGCTTAATGAACCTCCCATTCTGAATTTCCTCACCCTTCATTTCTCATTGCTCAGCTGTAGCACTCTTGTTCCATTTATTCTAAGTTTCTCAACCTCGATACTGTTGGCATTTAAGGCTGGATAATCTTTTGCTGTGAGGGTCTTTCTGTGCATTTCAGGATGTTTGACAGCATCCCTGGCATATGCCAACTAGATGCCCGTACCAACCTCCAGTTGTGACTACTAAAAATATCTCCAGGCATTGTGCAGTGCCCCTGGGAAGCAAAATTGTTTCTGGCCGAGACAGCCACTGAATATTGTCATCTACTCCCTTTCTCCTTCCTGGATTATTATGGAGCAAACCTCAGACATTGTCCCAGTTTTTAAAATTTATCTTATATATTTATTTATTTATTTATTTATTTTATTTATTTATTGAGATTGAGTCTTGCTCCATTGCCCAGGTTGGAGTGCAGTGGCACGATCTCAGCTCACTGCAGCCTCTGCCTCCTGGGTTCAAGCGAGTCTCCTGCCTCAGCCTCCCGAGTAGCTGGGACTACAGGTGCATGCCACCACACCTGGCTAATTTTTTTGTATTTTTGGTAGAAATGAGGTTTCACCATGTTGGCCAGGCTGGTCTTGAACTCGTGACCTCAAGTATTCACCTGCTTCAGCCTCCCAAAGTGCTGGGATTACAGGCCAGGCATGAGCCACCATGCCCAGTCACAATTTTTTTTTTAGAACTGAGTCTCACTCTGTTGCCCAGACTGGAGTGCTGTGGTGCCATTAAAGCTCACTGCAGCCTCAAATTTCTGGGCTCAGGTGATCCTCCGGTCTTGGCCTCCTGAGTAGGTAGGGCTACAGGTGCACACCACTATGCCAGGTTAATTTTGTAAAATTTTTTATAGAGATGGTGTCTCACTTTGTTGCCCAGGCTGGTCTTGAACTCCTGGCCTCAAGCAATCCTCCTGCCTCGGCCTCCAGAAGTGTTGGGATTATAGGCATGAGCCACCACACCTGCCCCATTGTCCCATTTCATATGAAAAAATAAACCATGATGTAATCTTGTCTCCTTATTTGAAAAGATGTTAGAAATTTCTTGGCATTAAAAGATTTACAGTATATTCTGTAGTTACTTTCCATATGCAGCAAAATAATTTAGGATGAATAAACTTTTTTTATTTAAATTTTAATTTTTTTAGAGATAGAGTCTTACTCTGTCACCCAGGCTGGAGTGCAGTGGCCTGATCATAGCTCACTGTAGCCTTGAACTCCTGGGCTCAAGCATTCCTCCTGCCTCAGCCTCCCAAGTAGCTGGGACTACAGGTGCACACCACCATGCTCAGCTAATCTTTATTTTTTGTAGAGACGGGATCTCACTATGTTGCCCAAGCTAGTCTTTAACTCTGGAGCTCAAGAGATCCTCCTGCCTCAGCCTCCCAAAGTGCTAGGATTACAGGCAGGAGCCACTGCACTCGGCTTGAATACACGTTTTTGTTTTTGTTTTAAGGCTAGTCAGAATAAACATTTTTAGTGGAGGACTTTTTGAGAATGGGGGGGAGCCCCTCAGGGACACACCTATGAAATCCATGATTATATTGACATAGAGCCTGCTACTAAGTCAGTGACTTTGCTTCCCCCACTTCAGGCTTTACAAGCTGTCCTCTTACAAAGGATGTGAGAGAGGCCTTTTTGATTGAAAAAGTCCATATTGGGGTGTAATCCCTGAGATCGCACAGGCTTTATTCAGAGGCATATGGATAATAAGCTATTCATGAATCTCCACTTAGGTCACTTTTTTTGGATCTGATCCCATGAATTATCAATAATTGATGAGTAATTTGACTTCCTTTGCATTGGTGGGAGTGGAGTGGGATGGGCTGTAGACAGCTTATGTCAGGAATAGACTTTATGAGTGTGTATTTTAATATTTATTTGTGATTCTTTTCTAACACTAAATATAGATGATCTTCAGTTTCTCTTGTTTTCTCTTGTGCTTCATCTGAAAAAAAAATTTTTAAATTGATTGCATTAGACTTTCTTAAAAATCATAATCTCTTTTGGGGCAGGCTTATAGTTTGAAATCTTTGTATGTTTTAAATATCCTAGTTTAGTGCATCGATTTCCAAACTGGTAAACCAACATGGTGTATTATTTTGACCTAGGACAGCATACATAGGAAGGATAGAAATTTTATAAAGCCTAGCTTTTTGGGCACGTATTACACTTTTTCAAACAAAACTATGAATGGCTTGAATTGGTTATAAACTACATCTATAGATTAAAGATGACTGTTCCTCTTTGGTAAAAGACATTGATAGGGCCAGGCATGGCGGCTCACGCCTATAATCCTAGCACTCTGGTAAGCTGAGGTGAGTGGATTGCGTGGACTCAGGAGTTTGAGACCAGCCCGGGCAATATGGTGAAACCCGGTCTCTATAAAAAATAAAAAGTTAGCCAGGTGTGGTGCCATGCACCTGTAGCTACTCGGGAGGATGAATTGAGAGGGTCACCTGAGCCCGGGAGGTCGAAGCTGCTGTGAGCTGCGGTTGTGTCCCTGCACTCCAACATGGGTGACAGTGAGACTCTGTCTCAAAAAGAAGACATTGATAAGCAGGAAATTTTTGCTCCAGTCTCCCATATTTAATTTAGCCATAGAAATGCTAAGTAGAAAACATAAATCAATAAACCAATTAACTGCACTTTTAGCCGGTGAATACCTAAAAATGATTTTAAAACTGTAGAACCATGATGTAATAATTTTAGATGACAACTAGCAAGAGTAAAGTAATTGGAACCGTTGAAGACTTAAAGAAAGTGGTTATTTTAGTTACTGGATTGTTGAATTCTTATTCATCTTTTTTTTTTTTTTTTTCCTCACCCTCCAAAGCGGCTGCATTTCAACAAGGAAAGATACCTCCTACTCCATTCTCTGCTCCTCCTCCTGCAGGGGCGATGATACCACCTCCCCCCAGCCTTCGTAAGTTTAAACTTTTAATCTTAAGGGGTGTGACGGGGCAGGCTATCCTTTGATTAGGTTAGATTATCTCACCGTTGGCTTTCAAATGCTGTTGCATTTGTATGTAGATAGTAATATAAATGTATAAATATATAAATGTTGAATATAGATGCAGGTAGTAATAGAAAACAACTTTAGTGGTATAATTTCTAAAATAACTTTAGAGTTAACTTTTGATTGCATTGTCACTAAGATACTGTATTTGTGGAATCCCAAGTGTGGATCTAAGACAGATTTAAATGGAAAGAAAGCTCAGAATGAACCTGTGATTAGATGAGCTAATACATGAATAGGAGTTGCTAGGTACATTAAATTATTTACTGCTATGAGCCCAGCACTGGAGGATTAAAATAGCTGATAAACTCCTTAGTCTTTTGCCCTATTTTCTAACCCACCTAACACCAAAATCTATACCTTAGAAAGATAAGAATTAGGCTGGGCGTGGTGGTTCACACCTGTAATCCCAGCACTTTGGGAGGCTGAGGTGGGTGGATCACCTGAGGTCAGGAGTTCGAGACCAGCCTGGCTAACATCGTGAAACCCCATCCCTACTAAAAATACAAAAGTTAGCCAGGCATGGTGGTGCACGTCTGTAGTCCCAGCTACTCAGGAGGCTGAGGCAGGAGAGTTGCTTGAACCCGGGTGGTGGGGGTTGCAGTGAGCTGAGATCACCTCACTGTGTACTCCAGCCTGGGCAATACAGCAAGACTTTGTCTCAAAAAAAAAAAAAAAAAGAAAAGAAAAGAAGGAAAGGTAAGAATTAGATCATTGAAAGTGGAGTGGATCATGGGCCCAGCTTTCTGGGAAAGTTTGTTGTTTCTGTGTGACAGACAAGAGGAGACTGAGTGCTGTACTGGGTCGTACTGTACTGTAGCTCTCCTGGGAGGGGTCAGACTGAAATCACATTCAGGACCTAGACTCAATCTTGCACACAATCACGGGTATAAACCCAGGGAAGTAGACTGTTTGTAATAGTTGCACACTAATGTAGGTGGACCACTAATGCCCTGGCAAACCTTTTCTGGGCACCTGCCATCCTAGGACCTGGTCAGGCCTCAGCCCATAGCAACTCCAAGGTTACTTCTCTCTCCTTCTCTACCTTGACTGGCTGGCACTCAACTCCATTATTTTTGATAGCGGAATAGTCTATGGTATGAATTTACCATAATTTACCTCACTATTTTCTTTCTTTCTTTTTTTTTTTTTTTTTTGAGACAGAGTCTCACTCTGTTGCCCAGGCTGGAGTGCAGTGGCACGATCTCAGCTCACTGCAACCTCCGCCTCCTGGGTTCCCTGGATTCAAGTGATTCTCCTGCCCAGCTAATTTTGTATTTTTAGTAGAGATGGGGTTTTGCCATGTTGGCCAGGCTGGTTCCGAACTCCTGACCTCCTGTGATCTGCCCGCCTCGGCCTCCCAAAGTGCTGGGATTACAGGCTTGAGCCACCACCCCCAGCCTACCTCACTATTTTCTTATTAAGTTGTTCCAAATTTTAGGTATTGTAAATGATACTGTCAGAAATATCCCTGCATATAAGTCTTTGCATTTTCAAAGAATCTTTTAAAACCATGTTTTCATTTTTTACAAAGGGATCTTAAATTAGATACTTGTGGCTTAAGTTCATCAGCTTTTTGTCAGGAGCTCTATAGAAGGTACAACCTCTCCACCCCCTTGTTTTGTTTTTTTAAATTAAAATCTCAATTTTTTCTTAACCTAGGGAATCTGACTTTATTTTATTCTCCTGTCTAGGCAGGCTTGTTCTTGCTTTTTATTCATAGATTAATGTGTTATGGCCTGTGATTTTTGTGGATCTGCTATTATAAAAAGAGACCATAAGAGGGTTGTTGTTTCAGAATTTGAAGGAGTTCATGAGATCCTTTTAGTTTGATTAAGAAGAGAAAATGTTGCTGGGCGCAGTGGCTCACGCCTGTAATCCTAGCACTTTGGGAGGTCGACGTGGGCAGATCACCTGAGGTTGGGAGTTCAGGACCAGCCTGACCAACATGGAGAAACCCTGTCTCTACTAGAAATACAAAATTAGCTGGGCGTGGTGGCACATGCCTGTAATCTCAGCTACTTGGGAGGCTGAGGCAGGAGAATTGCTTGAACCTGGGAGGCAGAGGTTGTGGTGAGCCGAGATTGTGCCATTGCACTCCGGCCTGGGCAACAAGAACGAAACTCCGTCTCAAAAAAAAAGAAGAGAAAATGTTAATATGTGAGCACACCTTAACCACAGGCTCCATTCTTTATTTCAGCGGGTCCTCCTCGCCCTGGTATGATGCCAGCACCCCATATGGGGGGCCCTCCCATGATGCCAATGATGGGCCCTCCTCCTCCTGGGATGATGCCAGTGGGACCTGGTAAGTTTGAATGTCTGTCTTTCTAGTTTGTTCCATTTAGTTTAGTTACTATGCATAGCTGACACTTAATGGAAGGAAGTCAGTATGTGTAGCCAAAGCTTGAAAATGGGGAGTTGTGCTCCACCTCTGAGGGTGGAATATTTACATAAATTATCTAATTAGCTGTCTAAATGTACTATTGTAACAAATTAAATTTGGTCAATTATTAATGATAAAGAAAAAGAAATACTTGGTTTATCATTATAATTGGATGGTGTCCAGTGACCTCGTGCTACTAAAAGCAGGATAGGTTGCTTCTGTTTTTCTTTTCCTCTCTTCTGTTTCCTTGCCTCATCCTGGCTTTTGGCCATTTATACTGAAGAGAAGGGTAGATGAGCTTGTTCCATTTTGTGGGAAGGGGGAAGGTTATAGATACATTTTCTCAGTTTTGATTTGGAGCAGAGCCACTTCTTGTTGCTTGTTTAATCTTGCAGTTTAACTTGGCCACATCATTATATTAAAAAGGCTTTCAGCCTGGTAGTTGTTTTTTTATTTAGGGAGGCGTAAAAAACTTACACTTCAAACATTTTATTTTAATGTAAATTTAAACATACATTAATTTGCAAATCTTTCTGATACATGAGCAGGACCTTTGCTTTGAGAGTGTGTCTAGGCCAGGCGCGGTGGCTCATGCCTGTAATCCCAGCACTTTGGGAGGCCAAGGCAGGCAGATCACGAGGTCAAGAGATCAAGACCATCTTGGCTAACACAATGAAACCCCATCTCTACTTAAAAATACAAAAAATTAGCCAGGTGTGGTGGCACGCGCCTGTTGTCTCAGCTACTCAGGAGGCTGAGGCAGGAGAATCACTTGAACCCAGGAGGCAGAGGTTGCAGTGAGCTGATATTGTGCCACTGCACTCCAGCCTGGGTGACAGAGTGAGACTGTGTCTCAAAAAAAAAAAAAAAAAAAAAGTGTGTCTAATGATTGGAACACTGTATATTTATTGCATAAACCAGCAAGCCATAACTATAGCACATCCTCCACCAACTTTAGTTTCATTTCTTTGAAGTGGTCTGAGACCTTGTGATATAATCTAGTTCCAATCTTTTATGATTACTTTGCCTACCAAATTGTTGAGCATTTTTTGGTGATAGTTTATCTGAGTCTTCCTAAGTATTAAGTTAGTTTTCATAGAAGCTATTCTCTTTTCACACTCATTTAATTGGTTTGCAGAAAAATTATATATATATAATTGGAGTAATAACTACAACTGACATAATCAGGTTTGGGAACAGATGTGACCAACACCTACAACTCTTCTGGAAAAACAAGCTGCAAAGTTACTAGAGTAGCTTCCTAGGCAGAAGTATCAGTATGTGTGCTGCAGGTATCACTTAGAGGAGGGGGAGAGTGTAGATAAAGAGAATTCCTGCCTTACTGACTTGTGAGCCCAAAACACAATCAAATGACTTCAATGGCTTTAGCATCCTTAAACCAGGCTCACAAATTCAAATTCTTAGAGGTTTTAGGGATGTGGTGAACTGGGGAATGCATGATTCATCTAAAGAAGTCTTCTAGAACTCAGCTTCAGCCTATGGTTGACATTTGAGAATACAGGCTTGGTGTTGCCTTTTCTCCTGAGTTTGCTTTTTGTTTTCTGTTTTTTCAAACCAGGATAAAATGATAAGATTGTGGGATTTGTGTTAAAATAATTGAGTAATTAGAGGGTGGACGGGGATAGGAATGGGTGGGGAGTATAGATAAAGTTGTCCATGAGTGGATAATTGTTGAAGCTGGATGATGGATACATGGATGTTCATTATACTCTTCTTTACTATTCTTGTGTATGTTTGAACATTTCCATAATAAAAAGTTTAAAAGAAAAAAGGAATCTAGACTTTTGTATGAAATCCCAATGTTGTCAACTGATTCAAAGTAAATTCACTATGGAGACTAAAGAAAACGAGTTTCCAGTTTTTAGTCTTTGGTCTATGTCCATCCATTTCCTCTAAGAAATTCTTCAATATAGGTTAAGCATGGGCTTTTATGTCGTATTTAGAAGTTAGTAGTATTCTCTGTTCCTGTTTAAATTGGTCTTAAATTCTGTACCTGTTGGATTTTGTGTCTTTGCATATTCTTGTGTTTCACCATTTGTGATAAGGCTATATTCAAGTTTGAATATGGTTTTCTCTTGAACCCTTTGCTGCAAACCTTTAATCAAAATTATTTAGTTAAAAATAAATTGGTAAGATTTGATATTTAAAAAGAATATAGATAACGTGAAATTATGTGGCGTAATAGTAAAATTAATATCCATGAACCCACCACCCAGCTGAGAAGTAGAACATTATCAATTCCATTGAAACTACCTGTGTTCCTCCCCTACCCCTCTGCCTGCCCTCCCCTCCCTGGCTCATTTATTTGGCTGGTTTATTGATGGGACACTTAAAAAAATTCATTAATAGTTTCTGAAATGCATTAGAAAAATCAGATTTTTGTGTGCGCTAATTGTTATAAATCACGTTATTGCCTATTATTTTTCTTGACTTGAGCTAAGTATGGTTACTAACAGGTTCTCAGCATGGGCCTCCTGCTCACCTTTCCTACAACTCCGAACAAACGCTTAGTGGTAAGATTGTCCTCTGTGCCTGTGTACATTCATGAAATAGCTCCTGGTTATATGGTGGATAACACTGATTAAAAGAGCTGACTGAAAAACATGTGACTTAGTTGTGAATTTCCCTGAGTGAGAAAAAAAGGTCAGTTTAGGGAACTAGTGTCCCTGGCGATTTCTGGAAAGCAGTCTATTAATAGTTTCCCCCTTACTATCATTAGATCATGATTCCCATATGGTTCTTGTGTTGACCTTTTTGTTTTTTGTTTGAGAATGTCTAAGTAATTTACAGATGTGATAAATTTGTTGCATTTCTTCTGTCACGTGTGTCTTTTTTCCAGCATTTTGCAAGGGGGGCTACGTTTTTTGTTTTTAATTGAAGTCCCATCAAACTCTCCCTAAATCGTATTTTCTGACTCCCTTTTTCTCCCTCTTCTTTGTTTTGTCCTGCAGCTCCTGGAATGAGGCCGCCCATGGGAGGCCATATGCCAATGATGCCTGGGCCCCCAATGATGAGACCTCCTGCCCGTCCCATGATGGTGCCCACTCGGCCCGGAATGACTCGACCAGACAGATAAGGATAGAGGGGAGGCCTTATTGTATCGGTTTTATATTACCTGTTCTGCTTCACCAGGAGATCATGCTGCTGTGATACTGAGTTTTCTAAACAGCATAAGGAAGACTTGCTCCCCTGTCCTATGAAAGAGAATAGTTTTGGAGGGGAGAAGTGGGACAAAAAAGATGCAGTTTTCCTTTGTATTGGGAAATGTGAAAATAAAATTGTCAACTCTTTCAGTTAAAAGTGTGTTCCCTTTTTCCTCCTCTCTGTGTTCTCTGTGTATTATAAAAGAAATGAAACATTCCAGTTCTGTTTCTCTAGCTCATTATCTCTTCAGCATATCCTCTGCGTGAGATTATTTTTTCTTAGCTAATGGTAAATCTCTTTGGGCATCCTCCCTTTATTAGTAAAGTCATCTTGTACAGCACTAAATCTAGCACTTGCAGAGCTTTTGTTGGTTAAAATAATAAACAGCTTGGTTCATTTTTCACATGAATAACACTTTGTATAGTAAGTGGAAAATTTTAAGTCTTTTATGCTGAAGTAAGGGAAAATAGTTCCCATCGTGTGCATGTCAGCCAAGAATGGAAAGAATTGCCTTAACCTCAGCTTCTCCTTTCTCTCAGCTCCCCTCTTTCTTGGGCTCAAATAATCTGAAAAATTTCTCCTTTTTAAAAAATAACTTTAAGTCCAGGCGTGGTGGCTCACGCCTGTAATCCCAGCAGTTTGGGAGGTCGAGGAGGGCAGATCACCTGAGGTTGGGAGTTCCAGACCAGCCTGACCAGTGCGGTGAAACCCCATCTCTACTAAAAATACAAAAAATTAGCCAGGCGTGGTGGCACATGCCTGTAATCCCAGCTACTCAAGAGGCTGAGGTGGGAGAATCACTTGAACCCGGGAGGCAGAGGTTGCAGTGAGCTGAGATCGTGCCACTGTACTCTAGCCTGGGCGACAGAGTCTCAAAAATAATAATATAATAATCAAAAATACTACTAATAATAACAATACAAAATAACTTAAGGGCCGAGTGTGATAGCTCACGCCTCTAATCCCGGCACTTGGGGAGGCTGAGGTGGGTGGATTCCTTGAGTCCATGAGTTTGAAACCAGCCTGGGCAACACAGGGAAACCCTCTCTCTACAAAAAAATACAAAGATTAGCTGGGTGTGATGGCACACGCCTGTAGTCCCAACTACTCTAGAGGCTGAGGTGGGAGGATCGCTTGAGCCTGGGAGGCAGAGGTTGCAGTGAGCTGAGATTGCACCATTATAGCCTGGGCAACAAGAACAAGACCCCATCTCAAAAAAAAAAAACAGAAAACAAAAAACAACCCAAACAACTTTAAATTAGAGATAGTGTCTCACAATATTGGCCAGGCTATTCTGGAACTCCTGGTTTCAAGCATTCCTCTTGCCTCAGCCTCCTTAAGTGTTGGGATAACAGGCGTGAGCCACTACACCTGGCCTGAAAACTTTCTGTAGCATTGGTAAAATTACACAGATTTCTGTGTTACAGAAGGTGCTTTTATTTGTTTATTTTTTGAGATAGGGTCTCACTCTATTGTCCAGGTTGGGGTGCAGTGGCTCAGTCATAGCTTACTACAGCTTTGACCTCCTGGGCTCAAGTGATCCTCCTGCCTTGGCCTCCCAAAGTGCTGGGATTGCAGGGGTGAGCCACTGCGCCTGTCTCAGAATGTGTTTTTAGAATCCTGTTTGTTACATAACTAGGCTGTAAAAGTAGCATATTTTCAGGGAAGCATCTAGAAAGGAAGCCATTGGCACTGTTCATATTCAGTGAAGTATAAAGCTTAAACTCTCAGCTGGGCGTGGTGTCTCATGCCTGTAATCCCAGCACTTTGGGAGGCCGAGGTGGGCGGATCACAAGGTCAGGAGTTTGAGACCAGTCTGGCTTACATGGTGAAACCCCGTCTCTACTAAAAAATACAAAACATTAGCTGGATGTGGTGGTGCACGCCTGTAATCCTAGCTACTCGGGAGGCTGAGGCAGGATAATTGCTTGAACCCAGGAGGCAGAGGTTGTAGTGAGCCAAGATCACACCATTGCACTCTAGCCTCGGTGACAGAGCAAGACTCCGTCTCGAGAAAAAACAAACAAACAAAAAACCTTAAAACTCTCTCATATTGCAAGTGGGAATGAAAACTATTATACCCTCTGGGAAGGCAATTTGGCAGTATCTATCAGAATTAGAATACCTGTATCTTTGACCTAGTATTTCCATGTCTAGGAATTTATCCTGCAGGTAGACTTGCACATGTATGAAATGACTGACATATGTGTATTATGTATTGCAGCAAAAGATTGGAAATAATATAGATGTCCAATGATGGGCTGATTTAAGTATAATACAGTTGCATATACTATGTTGCATATACATGCATCAATACACAGTTCCATATACTATGCATGTTAAAAGAGAATAAGGAAGTTCTGTGTACCAATAGGAAACGATCTCCAAGATACACGTTGTTCTACACATTGGTTCACCTAACAATGTATTGTTTACGGCAACCTTTTTTTTTTTTTTTTTGAGACGGAGTCTCGCTCTGTCCCCAGGCTGGAGTGCAGTGGCACGATCTTGGCTCACTGCAAGCTCCGCTTCCCAGGTTCACGCCATTCTCCTGCCTCAGCCTCCTGAGTAGCTGGGACTACAGGCGCCCGCCACCACACCCAGCTAATTTTTTGTATTTTTAGTAGAGACGGGGTTTCACTGTGTTAGCCAGGATGGTCTCGATCTCCTGACGTCGTGATCCGCCTACCTCAGCCTCCCAAAGTGCTGGGATTACAGACGTGAGCCACCGCGCCGGGCCGCGGCTATCCTTTTTTAAAGGAAATATCTGTATTTGCCTGTGTATGTATAATGGTTTCTACAAGGACAAAGAAGCAACTGATAATACTGGTTACTCATGAAAGATAAAGTGGGTGGCTGTGGGATAGATATGAGGGGAGAAAGGCTTGTCACTTTTTTTATATTGAGTCATTACCTATTTAAAAAAACAGAAGTGGCCAGGCGCGGTGGCTCACGCCTGTAATCCCAGCACTTTGGGAGGCCAAGGCAGGTGGATCACGAGGTCAAGAGATCGGGACCATCCTGGCCAACATGGTGAAACCCCGTCTGTACTAAAAATACACAAATTAGCTGGGTGTGGTGGCACATGCCTGTAGTCCCAGCTACTCGGGAGGCTGAGGCAGGAGAATTGTTTGAACCTGGGAGGTGGAGCTTGCAGTGAGCCAAGATCACACCACTGCACTCCAGCCTGGTGACAGGCCAAGACTCCGTCTCAAAAAAAAAAAAAAACCGGAAGCAAAACACCTTTGCCAACTGAGGTTGTTGTTACAGTGACATTATGGCAGAGGGTACCCTAAACCAGAAATTTATAACTGCTGATGATGAGAATCACAAGGGGCCTTTTTCAAAATGAAGATTCCAGATTTTGATTCAGTAGATCCTGGGGTAGGGCCTAGGAAATTTACATTTTGGAAAAGCTAGATTTTGTTTCTTAGCATATTTAGAAAAAACTCTTAGAAGCTGAGCGTGTTGGCTCACGCCTATCATCCCAGCCCTTTGAGAGGCCGAGGCAGGTGGATCACTTGAGCCTGGGGTTCAAGACCAGCTTGGGCAACATGGCGAGACCTCATCTCTACAAAAAAATACAAAAAAATTCTGTATTTTGGGCTTGGTGGGTGTGCCTGTGATCCCAGCTACTTCGGAGGTGGGAGCATCATTTGAGTCCGGGAGGTGGAGGTTGCAAGTAAGCAGAGATCACGCCACTGCACTCCAGCCTGGGCAACAGAGCAAGACACTCTCAAAAAGAGTGGGGAGGAGAGGAGAGAGAAAGAGAAAGTCTTAGGGTCTGCTCTATTTGAGAACATAACTGCATGTGTGTGTGTGCCTATAATTTTTAAAAGGTTTGGAGCTAGAAATTGAAATGATGGTAGTTGGGTTGCTTTTTCTCCTAGAAATTTGTGACTATTTTGAAGAGGGGCTAATTTAGGTAAATAAACCAGTTTATTTAAGTAAACTAGAGATTAGAGAGATTTTGACAAATAAATGGTCTTTATGCTGTCTATATAGAAGCTGAATCAACTGAACCTTTGACAGGATTACTTGTTGCTTTTTAGTTTCACATTTAGTCACATTTGTTTGTTTGTTTGTTTGTTTTTTGAGATGGAGTCTCGCTTTGTCACCCAAGCTTGTGTGCAGTGGTGCAATCTCGGCTCACTGCAAACTCTGCCTCCCGGGTTCAAGCGATTCTCCTGCCTCAGCCTCCCGAGTAGCTGGGATTACAGGCACATACTGCCACCCCCGGCTAATTTTTGTATTTTTAGTAGAGATGGCGTTTCACCATGTTGGCCAAGATGATCTCTATCTCCTGACCTCGTGATCCGCCCACCTCAGCCTCCCAAAGTGCTGAGATTACAGGCGTGAGCCACCATGCCCAGCCAGTCACATCTTTCTAAGAAGAACTTAAGTTTCAGAAATCGATGATTTATGTGTCTGATGTTTATAGCTCAGATTTGTTAGTAAAATCTTCTGCGGGCCGGGCGCGGTGGCTCATGCCTGTAATCCCAGCACTTTGGGAGGCCAAGGCGGGCGGATCACGAGGTCAGGAGATCGAAACCATCCTGGCTAACACGGTGAAACTTTGTCTCTACTGAAAATACAAAAAATTAGCTGGGCACAGTAGCGGGCGCCTGTAGTCCCAGCTACTCGGGAGGCTGAGGCAGGAGAATGGCGCTAACCCGGGAGGCGGAGCTTGCAGTGAGCCGAGATCGCGCCACTGCACTCCAGCCTGGCGGACAGAGCGAGACTCCGTCTCAAAAAAATAAAAATAAAAAATCTTCTGCAGACTTAACAGTTTGTTAGTAGAAACCTTGCCAACTGTGCTTTACATGTGATTCCTCAAGTTTCTGGTTTGGATGGCTCTTGTCAGTTTCTAGGTGAAGAATGTGTCTTTTGTGTATGCAAGAAAGCATTTTATGTAGCTTCAGAAAAACAGTGTGATGACCTAAAAGCTTAACAAGCTTCATCTACAATGAATACAAGTAGAAACAATAGTTTTTAAAAGTTATTTTTCAGCCTGGGCAACATGGTGAAACCTTGTCTCTACAAAAAATACAAAATATTAGCTGGGCATAGTGGTGCACGCCTGTTGTCCCAGCTATGTGGGAGGATCGCTTGAGCCTGGAAGGTCGAGGCTGCAATGAGCCAAGATAGCGCCACTGCACTCCAGCCAGGGCAGCAGAGTGAGACCCTGTCTCACAAAAATAAAGTTCTTTTTGTGTTTTTATCAACTCTTAGGGCAAAAGTATAATTATAATGAATAAGACATTTCCTTTGTGAGAAGCTGTGAAGAAGACAGTAGAACTTATTTATTGCTATTGTGCCTTTAGACATCTGGTCTTAATTCTGAAATATAATGAACTGTAATGGGAGAATTTGTAAAGGTGCACACAAGAATACTTCGAAATAACAAAATTAAAGAAGTTAGTGTCGATGTGGGATAATGTACTTGCTTCCGTGGGCAGATCTGAAGCCATTGTAAGTATGCTTAAAGTCCAAGCTGTCAGCATTTCCACTGCTAGGGCTTTTGAGTGATTTGTCAGAATTGTTTTTTTTTTTTGAGGCAGACTTTCACTCTTGTTGCCCATGCTGGAGTGCAGTGGCGCAATCTCGGCTCACTGCAACCTCCGCCTCCTGTGTTCAAGCGATTCTCCTGCCTCAGCCTCCCGAGTAGCTGGGATTACAGGCGTCCGCCACCATGCCTGGCTAATTTTTTTGTGTATTTTTAGTAGAGTTGGGGTTTCACTATGTTGGCCAGGCTGGTCTCGAACTCCTGACCTCACGTGATCCGCCTGCCTCTGCCCCACCAAAGTGCTGGGATTACAGGCATGAGGCACCTCTCCTGGCCAGTTTGTCAGAATTCTAATCCCCTGATTTTAAGCTGCATGAGTAATAGGATCATTGTACAGAGCCATAGGCTAATTTGATTAATCCAAATTTGGAAAAGCCTTTGGAAAAGTTCACTGATGATTAAGTGTCCCAGTTACATAGCTCTATACTTGAATAGGTATCTTTCCCTACCTGCCAATTAAAAAAAGCCCATTGACTTTTGTCTTCATCTAATGATAATACTTGAAGCATAGCACATGAAGTCAAAATCTCAAAGCACTTTGTAAATACTTAGTCACAGTGACCCTGAGAACAGGTCTTCTAATCCTTTCCTTCTTTCCTTTGCCTATATATCATATCCTAGCACTTCGTAGGAATGGTTGTTGAAAGGATAAAGAAGTGAAGGGTATGGCTGGGTGCAGTGGCTCACGCCAGCAATCCCAGCCCTTTGGGAGGCCAAGGCGGGTGGATCCCCTGAGGTCAGGAGTTTGAGACCAGCCTGGCCTAGGTAGTGAAACCCCGTCTCTACTAAGAATACAAAAATTAGCCAGGCATGGTGGCACACGCCTGTAATCCCAGCTACCCAGAGGCTGAGGCAGGAGAATCGCTTGAATCCGGGAGGCAGAGGTTGCAGTGAGCTGAGATCACAACACTGGACTCCAGCCTGGGTGACAGAGCAAGACTCCGTCTCAAAAAAAAAAAAAAAAAAGATAAGGAGACATAAAAGAAGGTAAGATGTCTGCACTTTGGCCGGGCGCGGTGGCTCATGCTTGTAATCCCAGCACTTTGGGAGGCCGAGGCGGGCGGATCACAAGGTCAGGAGATCGAGACCAAGGTGAAACCCCGTCTCTACTAAAAATACAAAAAATTAGCCGGGCGTGGTGGCGGGCGCCTGTAGTCCCAGCTACTCGAGAGGCTGCAGCAGGACAATGGCGTAACCCGGGAGGCAGAGCTTGCAGTGAGTCGAGATTGCGCCACTGCACTCCAGCCTGGGCGACAGAGGGAGACTCCGTCTCAAAAAAAAAAAAAATGTCCACACTTCACTTGAACTGGTAAATGTCAACACCAGTAGATGTGATAAGGTGTGTATATATAATGTAATAACCCAGAGAAACAACTAAAAGCTATACAAAGAGATACACACAAAAACATGATAGATTCTTTATATTAATTTTTATTTTTATTTTATTTTATTTATTATTTATTTTTTATTTTTTTGAGATGGAATCTCGCTCTGTCGCCCAGGCTGGAGTGCAGTGGCGTCATCTCGGCTCACTGCAAGCTCCGTCTACCAGCTTCACGCCATTCTCCTGCCTCAGCCTCCTGAGCATCTGGGACCACAGGCGCCCAACACCACGCTCGGCTAATTTTTTTGTATTTTTAGTAGAGTCGAGGTTTCACCGTGTTAGCCAGGATGGTTTCGATTTCCTGACCTTGTGATCCACCCACCTCGGCCTCCCAAAGTGCAAGGATTACAGGCGTGAGCCACCGCGCCCGCACATTTTTATTTTATTTTATTTTATTTTTTGAGGCGGAGTCTCACTCTGTCACCCAGGCTGGAGTGCAGTGGCGCGATCTTGGCTTACTGCACGCTCCGCTTCCCCGGTTCACGCCATTCTCCTGCCTCAGCCTTCGAGTAGCTGGGACTACAGGTGCCCCCCGCTACATCCGGCTAATTTATTTATTTATTTATTTTTGTTGTATTTTTAGTAGAGACGGGGTTTCGCCGTGTTAGCCAGGATGGTCTCGATCTCCTGACCTCGTGATCCGCCCGCCTTGGCCTCCCAAAGTGCTGGGATTACAGGTGTGAGCCACGGCGCCCGGCCGATAGATTCTTTATTTTAAAACTTATTACAAAACTAATTAATCAAGACACTGTGGTACTTGCATAAGAATAGACATATAGATAAATGAAACAGAATTAAGAGTCCAGAAGTAAACCCTTGCGTTTGTGATCAATTGATTTTCACCAAGACAATTCAATGGGGAAGAAAATGGTTTCAACAAATGTTGCTAGGACAACTGGATATCCCCATGCAAAATTATGAAGTCGATTCCCTGCATCACACCATATACAAAAATTATATATGGGTCATGTTAAAATGGATCATATTCCTAAATGTAAGAGCTAAAACTATACAATCTTAGAAGAGAATATAGATGTAAATCTTCATGTCTTCAGATTAGGCAATGATTTCTTAGATATGACACCAAAAGCACAGCAACACAAGTTGGGGGAAGATAAACTGGGTATCAACAAAGTTTTTTGCACTTCATTTTTCTTTTTCTTTTTCTTTTTGTTTTTGAGACAGAGTCTCACTCTGTTGCCTAGGCTAGAGTACAGTGGCACAATCCCAGCTTACTGCAATCTCTGCCTCTCAGGTTTAAGCGATTCCCCTGCCTCAGCCACCTGAGTAGCTGGGACTATACGCGTGTGCCACCACACCTGGCTAACTTTTTTGTATTTTTAGTAGAGATGGGGTTTCACCATGTTGGCCAGGCTGGTCTTGAACTCCTGACCTCAGGTGATATGCCCACCTTGGCCTCCTGAAGTGCTGGGATTACAGGCGTGAGCCACCGTGCCCAGCCTGCACTTCATTTTTCTATCAGAAAAATTAAGACAACTCACAGAATGGGAGAAAGTCTTTGCAAATAATGTATCGTGTAAGGGACTTGTATCTACAATATATAAAGAAGTATAACTCAACAAATAAAAAGACAATTAAAAAATCGATGAGATCCGTAGAGACATTTTTTCCAAAGAAGATTTACAAATGGCCAAAAACCCATGAAAAGATATTCAACATTAGCCATCTAGGAAATGCACACAAATCCTTAGCCAAATATTGGCAATCAGAATTCAGTAATATATGAACATTATATACCATGACCAAAAGAGGTCTGTTTCGGGGATGCAGGCTGATTCAGTATTTGAAAATCATTAGGCTGGGCGTGGTGGCTCACGCCTGTAATCCCAACACTTTGAGAGGCTGAGGTGGGCAGATCACCTGAGGTCAGGAGTTTGAGACCAGCCTGATCAACATGGAGAAACCACATCTCTACTAAAAATACAAAATTAGCTGGGCGTGGTGGCACATGCCTATAATCCCAGCTACTAGGGGGGCTGAGGCAGGAGAATCACCTGAACCCGGGAGGTGGAGGTTGCGGTGAGCGGAGATCGTGCCATTGTACTCCAGCCTGGGCAACAAGAGTGAAACTCTGTCTCAAAAAAAAATTACTGCCGGGCGCGGTGGCTAACGCCTGTAATCCCAGCACTTTAGGACGCTGAGGCGGGTGGATCACCTGAGGTCAGGAATTCAAGACCAGCCTGACCAACATGGAGCAACCCCGTCTCTACTAAAAATACAAAATTTCCATCCTGGCCAACATGGTGAAACCCCATCTCTACTAAAAATTTAAAAATTAGCTGGGCGTGGTGGCATATGCCTGTAATCCCAGCTACTTCGGAGGTTGAGGCAGGAGAATCGCTTGAACCTGGGAGGCGGAGGTTGCGGTGAGCTGAGATCGTGCTATTGCACTCCAGCCTGGGCAACAAGAGTGAAACTCTGCCTCAAGAAAAAAAAAATAATAATATTAAATTTAATCCACCATGTTAACAGGCTAAATAAGAAAAATTCTTGATCATAGCATTTCATGCAGACAAAGCATTTGACAAAATTCAACACTTGATAAAAGTAGAGAAAAATAGAGAACTTCCTCAACTTGTTAAAGAGCATCCACAAAAATCTACAGCTGATCTATGTGTTGGCGAAAACTGAATGTTTTGCCCCTAAGTTTGGGAATAAGACAAAAATGTCCACTCTTAGCACTCTTTTTAACAAAGTACTTGAAGTTTTAGCTACCAGAAAAAATTAAAAGACATGCAGATCAGAAAGGAAGAAACAAAATTGTCCCAATTGCATATGACATAATTGTGTACATAAAAAATTCCAAGAAGGTAACTCACACCTGTAATCCCAGCACTTTGGGAGGCCGAGGTGGGAGGATCACTTGAGCCCCAGATGTTGAAGTCACAGTGAGCCTTGAAAGCACCACTACACTCCAGTCTGGGTGATGACAGAGCAAGACTCCATCTCATTAAAAAAAGAAAAAATTAAGGAATCTACAAAACGACCTCATACTACAAAATACTACTTCAACCTATAAAAAGAGCTAATGAGTGAGTTCAGCAAAGTTTCAAGGTACAAGATAAACATCCAAAAATAATGGTTTTTCTGTATACTAGCAATGAGCACGTGGACACATACATTAAAAATAACATAACTGCTCAAAAGAAAAAACAGATGTAAATCTAATAAAACTAGTATAGGCTGGGTATGCTAAAAAGTACATAGTGCTGATGAAAGAAATCACAGAAGATCAAAATAAATATATTAGAAGACTGAATATAATAAA
Source organism: Homo sapiens (assembly GCF_000001405.40). Classification (NCBI taxonomy): domain Eukaryota; kingdom Metazoa; phylum Chordata; class Mammalia; order Primates; family Hominidae; genus Homo; species Homo sapiens. Next base: position 34,783,878 of record NC_000006.12, read on the forward strand.
TATGTTTATTCACCCTAATTTGATATACACTTTTAACCCCATTCCTGTTAAAATTCCAGCAAGATGTTTGTAGATATAGACAGGATTATTCTAAAATTTAAATGGTTGGGCCGGGCATAGTAGCTCACGCCTGTAATTCCAGCACTTTGGGAGGCTGAGACGGGCAGATCGCTTGAGGCCAGCCTGGCCAACATGTCTCTACTGAAAATACAAAAATACGAAAATACTGAAAATACAAAAATTAGCCAGGCATGATGGCAGGCACCTGTAATCCCAGCTACTCAAGAGGTCGAGGCATGAGAATCACTTGAACTCAGGAGGTGGAGGTTGCAATGAGCTGAGATCGTGCCACTGCACTCCAGCCTGGGTGACTCTGTCTCAAAAAAATAAAAATAAAAATAAAAAATTTAAATGGGAAGATAAAGAAACTAGAATAGCAAAAACGATTTTGAGAAAGAATAGGCCGGGTGTGGTGGCCCACGCCTGTAATTCCAACACTCTGGAACACCTGGAGATTGCACCACTGCACTCCAGCCTGGGCAACATACTGAGACCCCATCTCTACAAAAATAAAAATTAGCTGGGTATGGTGGCATGCACTTGTGGTCCCAGTTACTGGGGAGGCTGAGGCAGGAGGATCATTTAAGCCCAGGAGGTTGAGGCTGTAGCTATGATCACACCACTGTACTCGGTGACAGGGCAAGATCCTGTCTCTTAAAAACAAAAAAGGAATAAAGTGGGAGGATTCTACCTGATTTCAAGACTTATTACATAGCTACACTTATCAAGACTGTGTGGTATTGGGAGAAGGACATAGATCAATGAAACTAAATAGAGATCCTAGAAATAGATCCACATAAATATGCCCAACTGGGCCAGGGGCAGTGGCTCACACCTGTAATCCCAGCACTTGGGAGGCCAAGGCAGGTGGATCACTTGAGGCGAGGATTTCAAGACCAGCCTGGGCAACATGGCAAAACCCCATCTTTACTAAAAATATGAAAGTTAGCTGGGCATGGTGGCAGGCGCCTGTAATCCGAGCTACTTGGGAGGCTGAGCCAGGAGAATTGCTTGAACCCGGGAGGCGGAGGTTGCCATGAGCCGAGATTGCACCACTGCACTTCAGTCTGGGCAACAGAGTGAGACTCTGTATGAAATATATATATATAGCTGGGTGGAGTGGCACGGGCCTGTAGTCCCAGCTACCTGGGAGGCTAAGGTAGGAAGACTGCTTGACCCCAAGATCGCACCATTGCCAACACACCTGGCCACAGAACACCTATTAAGAGGGAAAAAGACAAAGGCTGGCTTTGGTGGCTCATGCCTGTAATCCCAGCACTTTGGGAGGCCAAGGCGGGCGGATCACCTGAGGTCAGGAGTTCGAGACCAGCCTGACCAACATGGAGAAACCACGTCTCTACTAAAAATACAAAATTAGCTGGGCGTGGTGGCACATGCCTGTAATCCCAGCTACTTGGGAGGCTGAGGCAGGAGAATCGCTTGAACCCGGGAGGCGGAGGTTGCAGTGAGCCGAGATGGCGCCATTGCACTCCAGCCTGGGCAACAAGAGTGAAACTCCATCTCAAAAATAAAAAAAAAAATAAAATAAAATAAAAAAAGAAGAAAAAAGACAACCTACAGCCTGTGAGAAAATGTTTGCAAGGCCCAGCGTGGTGACTCAACGTCTGTAATCCCAGCCACTCAGGAGGCTGAGGTGGGTGGATCACTTGAGCCCAGGAATTTGAGACCAGCCTGGGCAACATGGTGAAACCTTGTCTTTACAAAAAAATACAAAAATTGTCTCCCTCTCTCTCTCCCTCTCCCTCTCCCTCACCCTCCCCCTCTCCCTCTCCCCTCTTTCCACGGTCTCCCTCTCCCTCTCCCTCTCTTTCCACGGCCTCCCTCTCCCTCTCCCCTCTTTCCACGGTCTCCCTCTCCCTCTCCCCTCTTTCCACGGTCTCCCTCTCCCTCTCTTTCCACGGTCTCCCTCTCATGCCGAGCCGAAGCTGGACTGTGCTGTTGCCATCTCGGCTCACTGCAACCTCCCTGCCTGATTCTCCTGCCTCAGCCTGCCGAGTGCCTGCAATTGCAGGCGCGCGGCCACGCCTGACTGGTTTTCGTATTTTTTTGGTGGAGACGGGGTTTCGCTGTGATGGCCGGGCTGGTCTCCAGCTCCTGACCGCGAGTGATCCGCCAGCCTCGGCCTCCCGAGGTGCCGGGATTGCAGACGGAGTCTCGTTAACTCAGTGCTCAATGGTGCCCAGGCTGGAGTGCAGTGGCGTGATCTCGGCTCGCTACAACCTCCACCTCCCAGCCGCCTGCCTTGGCCTCCCAAAGTGCCGAGATTGCAGCCTCTGCCCGGCCGCTACCCCGTCTGGGAAGTGAGGAGCGTCTCTGCCTGGCCGCCCATCGTCTGGGATGTGAGGAGCCCCTCTGCCTGGCTGCCCAGTCTGGAAAGTGAGGAGCGTCTCTGCCCGGCCGCCATCGCACCTAGGAAGTGAGGAGCGCCTCTTCCCGGCCGCCATCCCATCTAGGAAGTGAGGAGCGTCTCTGCCCGGCCGCCCATCGTCTGAGATGTGGGGAGCGCCTCTGCCCTGCTGCCCCGTCTGGGATGTGAGGAGCGCCTCGGCCCGGCCGCGACCCTGTCTGGGAGGTGAGGAGCGTCTCTGCCCGGCCGCCCTGTCTGAGAAGTGAGGAGACCCCCCGCCTGGCAACCGCCCCATCTGAGAAGTGAGGAGCCCCTCCGCCCTGCTGCCACCCCGTCTGGGAAGTGAGGAGCGTCTCCGCCCAGCAGCCACCCTGTCCAGGAGGGAGGTGGGGGTCAGCCCCCGCCAGGCCAGCCGCCCCGTCCGGGAGGGAGGTGGGGGGTCAGCCCCCCACCCGGCCAGCCGCCCCGTCCGGGAGGTGAGGGGTGCCTCTGCCCGGCCGCCCCTACTGGGAAGTGAGGAGCCCCTCTGCCCGGCCAGCCGCCCCGTCTGGGAGGGAGGTGGGGGAGTCAGCCCCCCGCCCGGCCAGCTGCCCCGTCCGGGAGGGAGGTGGGGGGGGTCAGCCCCCAACCCGGCCAGCCGCCCCGTCCGGGAGGTGAGGGGCGCCTCTGCCCGGCCGCCCCTACTGGGAAGTGAGGAGCCCCTCTGCCCGGCCACCACCCCGTCTGGGAGGTGTACCCAACAGCTCATTGAGAACGGGCCATGATGACAATGGCGGTTTTGTGGAATAGAAAAGGGGGAAAGGTGGGAAAAAGAATGAGAAATCAGATGGTTGCTGTGTCTGTGTAGAAAGAAGTAGACATGGGAGACTTTTCATTTTGTTCAGTACTAAGAAAAATTCTTCTGCCTTGGGATCCTGTTGATCTATGACCTTACCCCCAACCCTGTGCTCTCTGAAACATGTGCTGTGTCCACTCAGGGTTAAATGGATTAAGGGCGGTGCAAGATGTGCTTTGTTAAACAGAGGCTTGAAGGCAGCATGTCCGTTAATAGTCATCACCACTCCCTAATCTCAAGTACCCAGGGACACAAACACTCTGCCTAGGAAAACCAGAGACCTTTGTTCACTTGTTTATCTGCTGACCTTCCCTCCACTATTGTCCTATGACCCTGCCAAATCCCCCTCTGGGAGAAACACCCAAGAATGATCAATAAAAAAATAAAAAAATAAAAAAAATACAAAAATTAGCTGGGTGTGATGGCACATGCCTGTAGTACCAGCTACTCAGTGGGGTGGGGAGAGGGTTGAGGTGGGAGAATTGCTTGAACCTTGGAGGTGGAGGCTGCAGTGAACGTGATTGCGCCACTGCACTCCAACCTGGATGACAGAGTGAGACCCTGTCTCAGAAAAAAAAAAGAAGAAGAAAGAAAGAAAGATTTGCAAATGACATACCAAACAAGAGACTAATATTTCAAATACATAAATAACTCTCAAAACTCAAGGGTAAAAAAAGAAAATCCAATTAGAATGTGGGCAAAAGATATGAAGAGGGATTTCACTGAAGCAGATATACAGATGGCAAATCATGTGAAAAGGTATTCAATGTCATTGGCCATTAGGGAAATACAAATCAAAACTACAATAAGGTATCACTACATACCTATCAAATGGCTAAAATAAATATAGTGACAACACAAATTATGGTGAAGATACAGAGAAACTGGATCACTTACACACTGCTGGTGGGAATGTGAAATGATAATAGTCATTCTGAATACCAGTTTGGCAGTTTTTAGATATGCTAAACATTCAACTACCATACAACCCAGCTATTGCACTCCTGGGCACTTATCCCAGCAAAATGAAAACTAATGCTCACACAAACACCTGTACACAAATATTTATAGCAGGCTTATTCATAATAATAGAAAACTGGAAACAGCCCAGATGTCCTTCAGCAGGTGAATGGTTAAGCAAACTGTGGTATATCTATATCATGGAATACTACTCATCAGGAAAAAGGAACAAACTATTCATACACATAACTACCTGGATGAATCTCCAGAGAATTATGCTGATGGAAAAAGTACCCTCAGGCCGGGCACGTGGTGGCTCACACCTGTAATCTCAGCTCTTTGGGAGGCCGAAGTGGGAGTATCGCTTGAGCCCAGGAGTTCAATGCCAGCCCGGGCAACATAGCAAGATCCTGTCTCTACCAAAAATAAAACAATTAGCCAGGCATGGTGGCATGTGCCTGTAGTCCCAGCCACTCAGGAGGCTGAGGTGGGAGGATCACTTGAGACCAGGAGTTGGAGGCTACAGTGAGCTATGATTGCACCACTGCACTCCATCCCAGGCAACAACACAGCGAGACCCCATCTCTAAAAATAATAATAAAAATTAAAAATAAATAATAAGAAAAAGTACAGTCCCCAAAGGTTACATACTATATGGTTCCATTTATATAACATTCTTGAAATTACAAAATTATAGAAATGGAGAACACATTAGTGGTTGCTGGGGTTAAGGAGGTGGTGGGTACTGGAGGAAGATTGGGGTGATTATAAAAGGGCAACAGTGGCTGGGCGTGGTGGCTCACGCCTGTAATCCCAGCACTTTGGGAGGCTGAGGCAGGCAGATCACCTGTGGTCAGGAGTTTGAGACCAGCCTGGCCAACATAGTGAAACCCCGTCTCTTCTAAAATACAAAAATTAGCCTGGCGTGGTGGCATGCGCCTGTGATCCCAGCTACTCTGGAGGCTAAGGCAGGAGAATTGCTTGAACTTGGGAGGCAGAGGTTGCAGTGAGCCAAGTTCACGCCATTGCACTCCAGCCTGAGCGACAGAGTGAGACTCCATCTACAGAAAAAAAAGGGCAACACTGATGGACATGTTCTGTATATTATCTATTGATGTCAATATCTTGGTTGTAATATTGCAATATAGTTTTGCAAGATGTTATTATTGGGGAGAACTAGGTAAAGGATACAAGGATTTATTTGTATTATTTCTCTCTTTCTCTCTCTCTCTTTTTTTTTTTTTTTTTTTGAGATAGAGTCTTGCTCTGTTACCCAGGCAGGGGCATGATCACTCACTGCAGCCTTCGCCTCCTGGGTTCAAACAATTCTCCTGTGTCAGCCTCCCAAGTAGCTGGGATTACAGGCACCCACCAACACGCCCAGCTAATTTTTGTATTTTTAGTAGAGATGGGGTTTCACCATGTTGGCCAGGCTGGTCTTGAACTCCTGACCTCAAGTGATCCCCCCGCCTTGGCCTCCCAAAGTGCTAGGATTACAGGCATGAGCCACCACGGCTGGCCTATTTGTATTATTTCTTACAACTGAATGTTAATCTATAATCATCTCAATATAAAATGTTTAATTTGAAAAAAATGCATGGATTGGCTTCAGATCCCTTTTGTCTTTTATTTAATTAAATTAATTAATTAATTAATTAATTTTTGAGATGGAGTTTCTCTCTTGTTGCCCACGCTGGAGTGCAATGGTGCCATCTCGGCTCACCGCAACCTCCGCCTCCCAGGTTCAAGCAGTTCTCCTGCCTCAGCCTCCCGAGTAGCTAGGATTACAGGCATGCACCACCACACCCGGCTAATTAGTATTTTTAGTAGAGACGGGGTTTCTCCATGTTGAGGCTGGTCTCGAACTCCTGACCTCAGGTGATCTGCTCGCCTCGATCTCCCAAAGTGCTGGGATTACAGGCGTGAGCCACCACACCTGGCCTCCTTTTGTCTTTATATGTCTCAGATTCTTAGAATTACAAGGAAGGATAAACACATTAATACTGTTGGTGAGAATATTAACTCTCCTATTTCCTGGTCCCTAAAGAGGCCATATTTTTGTAAGGAACGAATTTTTGCATTCAACAAAAATAACTCATTCACCAGGCGTGATGACGCATTCAGTGAGGATGCTGAGTCTCTGAGCATGAGGTAGGTTTTGCCTTACATAGCTGATTCAGATGTCCAATCTTCTTTGCTGGGGTGCTCCAACAAAGGAAGCCTGAAATGCAAAAATTGCTGTGAGGCCCCTGTGGCTGAGGACCGAATTGGGAAAAAGCAATAATAGCCGATAACATTGGCAAGAAACCTCCTCTTCCATAGGCCCTATTGGTCCCTGTTATATATTCTGGTGAGAGGTGGGCAGAGGGACAATTAATGATATTCAGTCCTACTGGAGGGGAGTGGGTAGTAAAGCACCCGGGCCGAGGATGATTTGCTTCCCTTTTATATAATATTTTGGGGACTTCTGGGAAAAATTGAACTTACTATGACTAAGGGATAGGCATAGGAATGCATGGTGTGTTATTTTTGAGACAGTCTTGCTCAGTCGACCAGGTTGGGGTGCAGTTGGGTGATCTCAGCTCACTGCAACCTCTGCCTCCCAGGCTCAAGGGATCCTCCCACCTCAGCCTCCCGAGTAGCTGGGATTACAGGCGCGTGCCACCACGCCCGGCTAATTTCTGTATTTTTTGTAGAGATGAGATTTCGTCATGTTACCCAGGCTGATCTTGAACTCCTGGGCCCAAGCGATCCGTCTGTCTCGGCCTCTCAAAGTGCTGGGATTACAGGGGAGAGCCACCGCGGCTGGCCTGATTATTCATTTTAAAAATTTAACATATATATGGTTTACCGTGCTTAGACTATCTCTGGAATTAGGGAGTAATTGTTTTGAGGGAAACAATTGTTTTGGAGCACCCTGAATGACTGACGGGGGAGACAGGGAGACATGGTTGAATGTCTTTGGTTTTATATTAAAGAATGACTACATTTAAAATGCAATATTAGCTGGGGGCCAGACTTCCTATAAGGCTGTCTCAAGAGGTTTTTGTTTTTCTTTTTTTCTCCAAGTTTTTGCTTGAAGGCTTAAGTCCGGAGAACTGTCACCTTTCCATCTTTGCCATTGGGTCTACGGGTGTCGCCGGCATGCGGGTTACACTTTTAAGCATATGGATGAAATAGAGTGCATCTAACACTTGACTGGGAGTCAGAATATTTGGGTTCTAGTCCTGGGTGGCCCTAAGTAGGTGACCTTGGGAAAGCTCTTATTTCCCAGGGCTTCCGTTTCCGTATTTGCACAGTGAAGAAGCTGATCTCTAAAGTCCTAGGTCATTTTAACAATTGACCGTCTCAGTTTCTTCTGACCCCACATTTGGGAGGGAGTGCTTCTGCAGTGAGCCGCTCAGGTCTTGAGTAAATACATTTTGCCCATCGGTTCAGGAGACGAGACTAAGGGAGGCACCAAGAGGGTGACGGGCGCCCCCTTCCCAGCTCTCCAGCACAAAGCCCTTCGCAGGTGACCGCAGCGGTTGGTTCGCGTGTCCCATCTATGGGTCTGTGAGGTCCTTGATACTACTTTTCAGTCCCCAGCCCGATACCTGGAGTACAGCTGGTGCTCAACAAATACTGAGTGAATGTGTGAGGGAAATAAATGAGAGGCGGACGCTGGCATCCGGGAGCTGCGCAATGATCTAACGAATTTCTGCAAAAATTACAACTACCCCGCCTTTCTCCTAGGTTTCAAGGCGACTGCCGGGTGCGAAAGGAACCGCACACCCCTCAGAGGCGAAAGAAGCGTTTCAGACCCGAGAGGCGGACGGGAGCGCGGAGGGAGGAAGCTCGAGCCAGCCAGCCCCGGCGCTGCGCGCGCCGCCGCCCCTCACCGCGCGCGCCTCTGGCCGCCGCAAGCAAGGCCGGCGGGTGGCGCGCGATCTTCGCGTCGCTCTGGGCGGGCGGCCGCGGCGCCGCGCTGGTGGGTGGGATCGTGGCGGAGCGCCAGGCGCCCAAAGAGGGGCGAGAAAGCGCCATGGCGGCGGCGGCGGCTGTGTCCGGTGCTCACGCCGCGGCGAGGTGAGGGGACCGCCTCTTCTCCACAACTGAGGAGGCCACAGCTGCCGGCCCACCCGCCTTCCACGCGGGCCGCGGCTCCGGCATGGCCGGGATCATTAAGAAGCAGATCCTGAAACACCTGTCCCGGTGAGAGCGCCAGCGCCGGCCCCCGGCGGTCCTGGGCCCTTCCTAACCCTCTCCGACCTCCTCCCTGACGCCGCGCTCCGGGCCCAGTCTGCCTCTCTCCAGCCCGGAGCCCGGACTCCGTGGCAGCCCCTGCCTAACTCGAGCCCGGACAGCTTCCCCCCGCGCCCGCCGGCGCCCACCGTTGTCGCCGCTCTGTGCTTCCCCCGCGCTGGGCCCTCCTGTCCTGGCGCCGGTGCCGCTAGTCTCTCCCCACTCTAACAACCCCCTGGACTTTTTCTTTCCCCTCAAGGCCCTTCTGGCCTGCTGTCCCCACCTCCCACACCTCCAAGCAGGTCACCCCGTGCTCCCTTGACCGTCTTTCCGAGGCCCCCACGAAGCCCACTCTTGCCTGCCCGAACCAGCTGTCTTCTCTCTGCTTTCTCTGGCCTTCGGGCCCCTGCCCCTTCCTTTGGGCCTCTGACCGCCCTCCTCTCCCAGATCCTATGCCCCTGCCCGTTCTAAATAACCCTGCTACCAGTCCTGCTAAGCCATTTCCCCTTAGATTTCCAACGCTGAGGCTGGTTTTCTCTTTCCCAGGAGCTCCCACCTCCTCCTCTTCTGTCTGACCCTGTTGCATCACCCTTGGAAAAGCCCAGCACCCAGGGCCGTTCCTCTGGACTTCTTTTTCCCTCTTTTGCTTTTCTTTTCATTACATAGCCTAATTGGAGAAAGGTCATGAGAGTTGGGGATAAAGTTTCCGCAACCTTCCCTTTAAGATGTGGAGGTTTTTTTGACAGCCTGTGAAAAGAACCAACAACGTCCGCTTCTGCTTTGCAGCCTTTTATTAAGCAATGTTATGTCGCTGAGTAATTTGGCATGAGGAGGCTGGCCGGCAAAACAGTTTTCAGGTGTAGCCGAGTGACTGCTGAACCCCGTGTTGCGATTGCAGGTTGTCACAACCAGTGGCCACAAAAATTGGGAGCTAGGTTTCACTTAGTTTTCACTCCTTATTCCATGCTGGAGTTGGTGATGGTTAATACCTTAACCAGCCTTTGTATCTCAAGTAGAGAGTGACCCAGGGCTTGGCTGCACAGTGGTCAGTGGTTTTCAGGAGGTAGGGGTGAGGGGAGATGTCGGTCAACATGGGACACCCAGGCTTGCACTGATGTTTCTTTCTGGGTCTTCTCATTGCTTTGGTAAGCGGTGTGTGAGACACTTTTCCTGCCACTGCATCCCCTTTTCCTGGCTGACACTTTGATCTGAGACTTTAATTAGTAATTAGACCCAGATCCATCTTTTGGTTAATCACCACGTAGTAAAAGAAAAAGCACATTGGAGGCTGGTGCTGGAAAGTGCCTTTGGACCTTTTACTCAGATTAACGTAATATATTCTTTTTCAGGTGATAGTAATCTAGATGTTCCATGAGTCTGGTTTTGTGTAAAGATATAATAGTATTTGGGGCATGACCAAAGATTGCAGAATGGAACAGATAACTTAACCAGAGGAGAATTGTATAATTTGAAAGGACATAGAATTTTAGGGCTTAGAGATGATCTCACCTATCATAGCATTGTTGTTTAAGAGCCTGGGTTCTTTCTGATTTACTTTCTCTAAAATGGGGATAAGAACAGTATCTACTTCAAGGGTACAAAAAAAAAAAAAAAGAATGAATAAGACCTACTGTTTGTCCAGCCCAGCCAACATGATGAAACCCTGTCTCTACTAAAATACAGAAATTAGCCTGGCATGGTGGTACAAGTCTGTAATCCCAGCTACCTGGGAGGCTGAGGCAGGAGGATCGCTTCAGCTCGGGAGGCGGAGGTTGCAGTGAGCCAAGATTTCGCCACAGCACTCCAGCCTAGGTGACAGAGCGAGACTGTCTCAAAAAAAAAAAAGTATATTTTAAGATAAAGTATGTAATTGAATTGTTTGTAACTCAAAGGATAAATGCTTGAGAGGATGGATACTCCATTCTGCATGATGTGTTGATTTCACATTGCGTGCCTATATCAAAACATCTCATGTACCCCATAAATATATACACTACTGTGTACCCACAAAAATTAAAAATTAAAGGTTATTGTGTTACATGAATTAATATATGTAAGGACTTAGCACAGTGCCTAACATACACTATGTGCTCAATAAAACATGAGGTATGGTTATTTTTTGGATCACAATTTGTGTGACAATTTGACATAAGCTATAGACCTTATCTCCGGAAAAATTCATATACGCAAACAGGTAATTTTTATATAAGATTAAGAGGAAGGAGCAGTTATAAACCCCTGAAGCACATGCCTGAATCCCTCAAGGCATCTTGGAACTAGGTGAATAATCCCTGATCTAGTTTCGTACCTCATTTTATGGCTGAGGAAACTAAAGCCTGGAGAAGATAAGTGACTTGCCTAAGTTGCATAGGAAGGTAAGGTAATGGAACAGAACCTAATTCTGGTACACTTTTCTCTGTAATACACAGATATTCTGTGCACTCCTATGAACGTAGAGTTTTTTTGTTTTTTTTTTTTTGAGACGGAGTCTCACTCTGTCACCAGGCTGGAGTGCAGTGGCGCGATCTCGGCTCACTGCAACCTCCAACTACCGGGTTCAAGAGATTCCCCTGCCTTAGCCTCCTGAGTAGCTGGGACTACAGGCATGCGCCACCACGCCCAGCTAATTTTTTTTTTGTATTTTAGTAGAGATGGGGTTTCACCATGTTGGCGAGGATGGTCTCGATCTCCTGACCTCGTGATCCACCTGCCTCGGCCTCCCAAAGTGCTGGGATTACAGGCGTGAGCCACCACGCCTAGCCTTGTTTTTGTTTTTTAGAGACGGAATCTTGCTTTGTGCCTAGGCTGGAGTGCAGTGGCGCGATCATGGCACTCTACAGCCTTGACCTCCCAGGCTCAAGTGATCCTCCTGCCTCAGCCTCCTGAGTAGCTGAGACCATGCACCACCATGCCCCTGGCTAATTTAAAAATTTCTTTGTAGAGATCAAGTCTTGCTATGTTGCCCATGCTGGTCTTGAACTCCTGGCTTCAAGGAATCCTGCCTCAGCCTCCCAAAGTGCCGGGATTACAGGGGTGAGCCACTGCGCCCAGCCTGAACATACAGTTTTTTTTGTTTTTTGTTTTTTTTTTTGAGACTGAGTCTCACTCTGTCGCCCAAGCTGGGGTGCAGTGGCACGATCTCGGCTCACTGCAACCTCTGCCTCCTGGGTTCAAGCGATTCTCCTGTCTTGCCCTCCCAAGTAGCTGGGACTACAGGCGCGTGCCACCACACCCGGCTGATTTTTTTTTTTTTTTTTTAGTAGAGACAGGGTTTCACCATGTTAGCCAGGATGGTCTCGATCTCCTGACCTCGTGATCCGCCTGCCTCAGCCTCCCAAAGTGCTGGGATTACAGGCGTGAGCCACCGTGCCTGGCCTGAACATATAATTTTTAAAGAAAAATTTTAGCAGTATATGCTTACACATTCCTTGGCGAACACAGTGCCTTTTTTATTAATAGATGAAGTAGGAATAAGTATCACAGACATTGGGGAAAATTTCTGATTTTCTCAGCATTGGGCAGGGGACTGAGGAAGAGGTCACATTATAGTTGCAATTTCAGGACTCCAGGAAGAGGTGGTAAATTATGAGTCTTGTTAGGGGAAAGGCCAAACTCCTGGGGCTTTTGTGTTTGTTTAGCTTGGAAAAGCTGCCTAATCACATGTGACATTTGTGTCTCTGTGTAGTCTTTACCACATACAGGCTAGCCTGCCTGGGGAGGAACTATGACTCTGTGGCTTCCCAAACCTGATGGGGAAAGAGAGAGACGGGAAGGCATATCAAGTTAAATAAAGATATAGTGTATTAAATAAATACTGTAGGTGTTTGATAATTACTTGTTGCTGATGATGCCATTTGACCTACAGGAGAATGGCCCACAGCAGAGAGGATACACCAGTGAGTCATATTATGCTTATTTGGACATGAAGTTTTTCAGATGATAAAGTATCTTGTTGGAATGCACCCTCCTTAGTAGTAGAGTATTTTGGTAAACGAGATTTGAAGAGAATGGTATTCAATATGATTTTCTTAAATGCCTACCCTAGGCCAGGCACTAATCTGGGCACTGGAGATGCAGTGAGGAAGAAATATAAATGCCTTTTAAAGGGTTTAACTCTTGGTTTTCATGACTGCTGCTCAATGCAAATAGCTTTAATGCCCAGTATTCATTTAAATAGACCTTGGAAGAAACCTTTTCTTAGAAACACAAAGCAATGATTTAAAAAATATTCAAAATTGATTTTTCACTAAATTAGGTTTTTCTTGTTTTACGTGACCTAAGCTAATGACCTTTCGTTATACAAATAAGAAGAAATATGATCAATTGTAAAGAAAGGCAAGCATCTATCGTTAATGGAAGGAGCATGGGCTCTGGAGCCAAACATGCCAGATTCACCTTCCAGCCCTGCCACTAATCAGCAGGGCAGCCTTTTGCAGTGGTGCAATCTCGGTTCATTGCAACCTCTGCCCCCCCGAGTTCAAGTGATTTTCCTGCCTCATCCTCCCGAGTAGCTGGGACTGCAGGTGCACGCCACCACGCCCGGCTAATTTTTGTATCTTTAGTAGAGATGGGGTTTCATCATGTTGGCCAGGATCGTCTTGATCTCTTGACCTGGTGATCCGCCTGCCTTGGCCTCCCAAAGTGCTGGGATTACAGGCGTGAGCCACTGCGCCCGGCCCTGAGCCTTAGTTTTCTTATCTGTAAAAGATAAGGAGGAAGAATAATACATACCTAGTAGTTTTTTTTGGCGCATTGGGGATAAAGTTTTTATTATAGTGCCTGACATATAAATAGATGTTTAATAAAGAGTCGCTATATAATGTAGCCAAAGAAGTTAGGTCCACTGTGATGGCATGGATGACAGAAACCCGGCTAGCTCTTTTAAAACCCATCAGGAGCCTTAATTATTTATTTTAAATGACCGCAGGAAATGTGAACCTCAGCGATAGAGACCTGGCTGATAGACATGATAGATATTTTGAAAACATGTTAGATGAAATTCAGAGGCATAGAAGAGTTCAGCATTTCTTTTGGAGAATAAGAGAGCCTGATTGCAAATTTAGCCCTCTTAGTTCATGATGACTGCCTCCACTCATCATCTTGATGAACACTGAGGAGCAGCAAAGATCTTAGAGATCATCGGGGCCAGCCTCCAGTTGATAGTAGGAGTTCCAGGCTCAGAGAGGCTGTTACTTTTCCAAGGTCACTTAGGTGGAAGCTTGTCGGACTAGTCACAACTTCCAGTCATGTTCTTTTTACACTAGACTTTAGTTATTATCACGTTCTTTTCCAAAATAATTATTTCATGCATTTTCTAGTAATAGTTAAATCCTATGTTTCTGTTTCCCTTTCTCATTTTCTTGTGTTGCTTCAGAATAAAGCACTTTTATTTACTTAGCAAGTATTTAATAATAGCCCACTGTGCTAATAAGCACTTTACAAATCTTAAGACAATTTAGTCCCCATAATAACCCTATGAGGTGCATATTAGGCATATTTTATAGATGAAGAAAGGAAGCACAGAAAAGTTAAATAACTTACCCAAAGTTGTAACTAGTAAGTGATAGAGATTCAAATGCAGGCATTCCAATTCCAGAGCTGTGCTCTTCAACCACTCTGCTGCTATAATGCCTCCCATCTATTGAGTGTTTCAAACTGAACATGATCATGTCACTAGCAGCCACCTGAAGAAACAATATTACTAGCATCTGAGAAGCTTCCCACCCTGCCCTGTGTCTCCTTCCAGTCATTATCTCCACCAAAGGGTAACCAATGTCCAGATTTCTAACAGCATAGATTCAATTTTGTATTTTATATAAATTGAATTATATTTATACATTTATGTCTGGCTTCTTTAGTGCAAGATTTGTGAGATTAATCCATATTTTGCATCAAGTTGTAGATTCTTTTTCATTGCTGTATAGCATTTCATTATGTGATAATACCTCAGTTTACTTGTACATTTTACTGTTGATGGACTTCTGGATACCAGTTTAGGGCCGTTATGAACAGCGCTACTAGAAACATTCTAGTACATGTCCTTTAAACAAATGTACGCATTTCTGTTGGGAATATATGTAGGGTAGAATTTTTAGATTGTAGAATATGTATATGTTTAGCTTTAATGGATACACTAAACCATTTTCCAAAGTGGCTATACCAATTTACATTTCCACCAGAAGTGTGTGAGGGATCTGATTATTTTATATCCTTGCCAGTGCTTTGCATTGTAGCCATTCTGGTGAATGTATTTTTAATTTTCTTTCTTTCTTTTTTTTTTTTTTTTTTTACTTTGTCTGTGGTAAACAAGATAGGTATTTTATTTTTGCTGTCAGTTCAGTTTTTAGATTCTGAGGTATTTAAAATTTTAGTCACAAGCATATATCAGAACCTTGAAAGCATAAGATCTTTTTTGGAGTAATGTTCAAATTACAAAGGTACAATGAAAATAATTAGGGTTATTTCTGACCATTAACCTATAACATTTCTTACTTGGAATGGATGTAATGCTCAGCCCTCTGTCAAAATGACAATCATGTACATTAAGAGAAAGGAGGGGCTATTCTCCAGGCATTTGGGTTTTTGTAAATATTTGATCTTTAGGCTACCCTGGATTTTATTTGTTTGTTTTTTTGGAGACAGGGTCTCGCTCTGTTGCCCAGGCTGGAGTGCAGTGCCATGATCTTGCCTCACAGCAACCCCCACCTCCTGGGCTCCTGTGATCCTCCTGCCTCAGCCTCCTGAGTAGCTGAGACTATAGGTGCCCGCCACCAGGCCTGGCTAATTTTTGTATTTTTAGTAGAGACAGGGTTTCACCATGTTGGCCGGGCTGGTCTTGAACTCCAGACCTCAAGTGATCCGCCCACCTCAGCCTCCCAAAGTGCTGGAATTACAGGCGTGAGCCACCATACCTGGCCTAGGCTACCCTAGATATTAATGAAATAGTTTCATACTTGCTTTGTAATCTTGCCCCATTGGCATAGCATTTTATCTTTATTAAACAAATGAAAATTTAAATAGCCAGGCATGGTGGTTCACACCTGTAGTCCCAGCTACTTGGGAGGCTGAAGCAGGAGGATCACTTGAGCCTGGGAGGCTGAGGCTGCAGTGAGCTAAGGTCATGCCACTGCACTCCAGCCTGGGTGACAGAGTGAGACCCTGTCTGGGAAAAAAAAAAAAAGTATTTAAAAGCAATAAAATTTTCAAAGCAGTACTGTAGTATGTATTTGACATTCAACAGCATAATATATGGTTCACAGTAATGAAAATTAACTGCTTCGAAAAATTGAGAAGCATGTCAATGTAGCAGAAAGAACCAGGCTTTGGATTCCAAAAAGTGGCTGTGAATTTTGACTCTGCTACTTCTAAGCTAGACATTCAGCAAGTTTTTTAGCTTCTCCAAGTTTCAATTTCTTCATCTGTAAAATGGGCATAATAACGCATAATGCTTTGAGGATTAGAAATAATGTATAAATCTCCTTGGTCCTGAAAAAGTATTCCATAAACAATAACCATTACAATTTATCTTTACTTATTAGAGTAGCTCAAGAGAGACGACTGTTAGTTTTTGGAGATAGTACTTTTTTTTTTTTCATTATCTTCAAGGTTATGCCAGACTTTTCCAGATGTCTAATTCTTTAGACATTTAGATATTTGGAAATCACATTTCTTAGTCTTTCAGTACAGAGAGGTTGAGATTAATGCTTTTGCATTGATGCTTGAGGAGAAAACCAAAGTTGTTCCTATTTATCTTTTTTTTTTTCATATCAAGGCATACCTCAAGGAGGAAACTTTGACCTCAGCATAGCTGAAATAGCTGAAATTTGTATCTTGGGTTAGGCCTTTAGAGGATTTACTTATACAGCGTCTAAGAAGATAACATATACTTTATTAGGGTGAAAAATTAGAGGTCATTTAGGTACCCTTACTTAATACAGAACCTGGTTGAATAATCTGGGTATGGCATTAATCACGGAAAAGAAAGCTCAGTTCTCTATACCCACTGTAATGTGTCCTCCAAAACAGCAGGGATTGTGTGTCTTGGTTGCTTTGAAATCGGAGAGTTTGAGGATGCGTTGAGTGGGTAAATTGGGAGAAGATATATGTAGTGAGAATGCATGGTTGGAATTCAGAACTCAGAGAACCTTAGACTTGGGGAGTAATGGGGGTTGTAGGGAGGGGAGGACAAGGAAATCCAGTTCATCCCGTATCTTTAAGGGGCCTTTTAACTCTGTGTGGTGATGGCAAGTATTTGCTACTGGTTGTGAACACAGATATTAAAGTACCGGTGCTGAATACAGATAAATATTGGAAAAGAACATTTCCCAGTATCTAGAACCAGTAGAATCAATCAGTATCTATAGTAAAGCAGAAAACTAAAGTGTAAAATAATAATATATCTTAGTAAAAGGGTATGTAGTTGGTATCTGTTTGTCACAAAAATAAGATATATTTATATAGTGGTGTGATCTCGGCTCACTGCCACCTCCGCCTCCCAGGTGCAAGCGATTTTCATGCCTCAGCCTCTTAAGTAGCTGGGTTTACAGGCACATGCCACCGTGCCTGGCTAATTTTTTGTATTTTTAGTAGAGATGGGGTTTCACCATGTTGGCCAGGCTGGTCTCAAACTCCTGGCCTCAAGTAATCCACCTACCTGAGCCTCCCAAAGTGTTGGGATTACAGGCGTGAGATTACAGCCACCGCATCTGGCTAGGCCTAGATATATTATAAAATATTTGTTGAATTGACTGTTGTTTCATTTGCCTACACAGCAATCTTTTTACATGTATGCTTGGTCTTTAGAGTGCATTGGTTGTATGTAGCTTGGATTCCAGCCTATCATTTTAAAAAATTGTGGAGGACATTGATGGCAATCAATGTATTTAAGTCAGACTTAATAGAAGCACTGTGTTACTGTGTTCCCAACAGTTATTTCTAAGTTTGAAATTTGGAGTGTGTAGTCCAATAGAAATAGTGACGTAATGTTGAATAGTTCCCTATGTTAGCCTGCAAAAGCCACATAAACTTACTATATTAAGTTCTGGGTCTTGGTTGTTAGGGAACTATATTTGAAGGAGCTGGGGAGAGGGGGGAAAAGTATTTTTTTTCCTATTCCTTGGAGTAAGTTCCTTTAGATCATTGTATCTCACCAAGGACTGTTTTTGGTTGTCACAGTGACTGAGGGGCATGACTAGCGTTTGGTGAATGGGGGGCCGTGTCCTGCAGTACATGGAATAATCTCACATAAAGAAGCATTGTCCCTTGTCCTTTTTGACTTTTGAATGTCGTTAGATGTTTATGTAGCTGAATCCACTGTATAGATTAAATGAGCTTAGACTCTATTTTACATAAAAGCACAAAATATCGCACAGCTTTATTTTATTTATTTATTTATTTATTTATTTATTTATTTTTTGAGACGGAGTCTCGCTCTGTCTCCCAGGCTGGAGTGCAGTGGCGCCATCTCCGCTCACTGCAAGCTCTGGCTCACTGCAAGCTCCGCCTCCCGGTTCACGCCATTCTCCTGCCTCAGTCTCCGGAGTAGCTGGGACTACAGGCGCCCGCCGCCACACCTGGCTAGTTTTTTGTATTTTTAGTAGAGACGGAGTTTCATCGTGTTAGCCAGGATGGTCTCGATCTCCTGACCTCATGATCCACCCACCTCGGCCTCCCCAAGTGCTGGGATTACAGGCGTGAGCCACCATGCCTGGCCTGCACAGCTTTAAACTATAGTGAATATTTTAGGAAACTGCCATGAGGGAAGATCGTTTTGAACTTTACCAAGAATTTGTCACCGTTTTGGAAAATGCTGTTACTCTTGGTATTGGAATCACCAATATGATAAAGTTGTATATGCCTGCATTTTTATTATTTATTATTTATTTATTTGTTTATTTTTGAGATGGAGTTTTGCTCTTGTTGCCACGGCTGGAGTGCAACGGTGCGATCGTAGCTCACTGCAACCTCTGCCTCCCGGGGTTCAAGCAATTCTCCTGCCTCAGCCTCCTGAGTAGCTGGGATTACAGGTGCCCACCACCAAGCCCGGCTAATTTTTTTTTTTTTTGAGACGGAGTCTTGCCATGTTGCCCAGGCTGGAGTGTAATGGTGCGATCTCGGCTCACTGAAACCTCTGCCTCCCGGGTTCAAGCGATTCTCCCGCCTCAGCCTCCCAAGTAGCTGGGATTACAGGCACCCACCACCATGCTCAGCTTATTTTTGTAGAGATGGGGTTTCACCATGTTGGCCAGGCTGGTCTTGAACTCCTGACCTCAGGTGATCCGCCTGCCTCGGCCTCCCAAAGTACTGGGATTACAGGTGTGAGCCACCCTGCCCAGCCTGTCTGCATTTTTAGTAGTCCAAATCCTGGTGATTCCACGTTTGCATGCAAACATCTGACAACTTTGTCTTCTGGTGCAGTGGTGTTGGAGCACTTAACATGTTGAAATACAAATGATTTTATTGTAAATTATTTTCCTTTTATATTATACTTTGGACATTGTATTTTACTTTTTTTGAAATCATGTGCGTAAGTAAGTAGGTTATATTATATGTAAAAAAAATCACTTGAGAGGCTGGGCGCAGTGGCTTACACCTATAATCCTAGCCCTTTGGGAGGCTAAGGTGGACAGATCGCTTGAGCTCAGGAGTTCCAGGCCACCCTGGGCAACATGGTGAAACCCGTCTCTACAAAAAATACAAAAATTAGCTGGGTGTGGGGCATGGTGGCGTGTGTTTGTCGTAGTCCCAGCTACTTGGGGGGCTGAGGTGGGAGGATTGCTTGAGCCGGGAGGTCAAGGTTGCAGTGAGCTGTGATCGCGCCACTGCACTCCAGCCTGAGCAACAGAGCAAGACCCTGTATCAAAAAATAAAAAATAATGATTTTAGTAACTAAGAGAGGCATTGTAAAGTTAAAAAAAAAAAAGGAATTGAGTTGAGTCTGTTAGGGTTGAAAACTGGTGACTTAGTATGAAATTTCTTTTGTATGAAATTTTGAAACAGCTAAAGTTTGCTCTTGTACACTCTTTTTCCCTACTATATGTCTCTTACTCACCTCTGGAGGTCTCTCTTCTCATGCCCCCAGTTGCTCTGATTTTGCCCTCAGTGCTTTGCTACTGTACCCCCAACCTGCTCAGGTCTGCATGCTCAGTTTCCCTTACTCTTTTTTTTACCAGAATCCTCAAATCTTTAGGATATAAGATTTCAGCTAAGTCAAGAGGAAAAGTAGAGAACATATTTTGGAGCAGGAATGCCACCAAATAAATAACCAGATCTAATTCAGAATATGTCCTACTAGGTCTGCTCTCCTAAGCTACCCTTACTTTCACAGCTTCTGAATCCACAGATACTCCAAAAGTTCCCAGTTTGTTTTTGTTTTTCCAAAATGATTTCTGTGGCATTGGGGACAGGACATGGGTGTGGGGAGCGTGGTATGTATCAGTCATTTGAAAGTTGAAGAGTTCTAATATGTAGAAAATCCGAGTAAGGAGGGAATACTAGTTAATCCAAGCTGACTGCTTCTGGTCATCTGTCTCGGTGCTTTCCTAGGCAATGCTGAAAACTTTATTTTTCCTTCTCAGATAAACCTGTTTTTCTTTTTCTTTCTTTTTTAAATCTTTCTTTAAACTTGGATGAAAGAAGGGGCTGCAGTTGAGGAACACATTTCATTTGAGAAAGTGTCTTCACAGCGGCTGATACGAAATTAGAGGCCTGGCAGTATATAGTAGTATGTGTATCCTTTTGCTGAGCCTCAGTAAATCCCCACACTGTCTTCCTTTCAGGCAGGCTCTGGCTCTTTAGTCCTCTGAGCCCAGGTGAGCTTCCTAGCGTCTTTAAGGAAGGTTTGCTGCAGTAATATTGGATACACATCTGTAGGTAGTGTCTTAGCTCTTCCTGGATGTCTGGGCTGGAGAGTTCAGGTAGTCTATCCTTTTTGTCAGCTGGACCCAGACCCTGAGCTACCTTTGGGGACTCTGTTTTTGAGACTATTTATTCATTAATTATTTAGGCAAACTTTATTGCCCATCTGCCATTGGTTGCCAAGCAGTAGGAACTCAAAGACAAATGAGACAAGGTTTCTCTTTAAGGACCTAACTGCCAGTAGGTCTGTAAGCAGAAAGCCCAGTAATGCATTAAGAAGTATCTGCAGAGCTGGGGGGTTGGAGTGGGGAGTGGCACAGATGGGAAGAAAGGTGATGCCAGGCAGAGGGAGCCGCATGAACAATGATACTGAGAAGCAGCAGGGTGCATTTAGGAGATTGCCTATGGTTCTGTATCACTTGAATGTAGGGTTTGAGGGTGGAACACAGCTAGAAATGATATTGGAAAGACAGAAGCTAGATCATGGAGGCCTTTTGTACTATACCAAGACATCTAGATAGGGCTCAGCTTGTTCCCTGCTGCCTTCAGTTGCTACTGCCTTTGATCTGAGGCAACTGAAACATCTCCAAACCTCTACACCTGTGTTGACTTTTTTAAAAGTCAGGGAGATTGTATGGTTTAGTTAAGGTTGCAGGTTCTTGAGCCAGACTGCCAGATTTTGAATCTTAGCTCTGTTGATTACTAGCTCTATGACCTGGGCAAGTTATTTGACCTTTCTATGCCTCAGTTTTCTCATATATAAAGTGGCGATAATAGTAATCTTTTACATCATGAGGTCATTGAGATAAATAAATTAATTTAAAATGTATAGGCCGGGCACAGTGGCTCACACCTGTAATCCTAGCACTTTGGGAGCCCAAGGTGGGTGGATGGGTTGAGCTCGGAAGTTCCAGACCAGCCTGGGTAGCATAGCAAGACTCCAATTCTACAAAAAATAAAAAAATTAGCTGGGCATCGTGGCACACACCTGTAGTCCCAGCTACTTGGGAGGATCACCTTAGCCTGAGAGGTCGAGGCTTCAGTGAACCGTGACTGTGCCACTACACTTCAGCCTGGGCGACAGAGTGAGATCATGACTCAAAAAAAAAATAGTTAAATATAAGCTGGATGGCTGGGCGTGGTAGCTCACACCTGTAATCCTAGCACCTTGGGAGGCTGAGGCAAGCAGATCACTTGAAGTCAGGAGTTTGAGACAAGCCTGGCCAACATGGCAAAACCCCATCTGTACTAAAAATACAAACATTAGCCAGGCATGGTGGTTCATGCCTGTAATCCTAGCTACTTGGGAGGCTGAGGCAGGAGAATCACTTGAACCTGGGAGGCGGAGGTTGCAGTGAGCCTAGATAGTGCCATTGCACCCCAGGCTGGGCAGCAGAAGGCGACTTGGTCTCAAAAAAAAAAAAAAAAAAAGATAAGCTGGGTGTGGTGGTGCATGCCTGTATTCTCAGCTTCTCAGGAGGCTGAGGCAGAAGGATTGCTTGAGCCTGCCCAGGAGTTCAAGACCAGCCTGGGTGATATAGCAAGACCCTATCTCAAAAAAAAAAAAAAAAAAAAAAAAAGTATAAAGTGCTTAGAGCAGTACCTGGAATAAAGTAAGCAATTATTAAATGTTAGCTATTATTTTAAAAATAATTTTATTCTCAGAGCAATAGCATCCTTTTCCATTTTTCCTGGATATTAATTTTATTATAAAAGCTTGTAGACTGGGCTTTTAAAAGGTATTTATTTCTCTGTCTCCTTTTTAAGCACTTTGCACACCTAATTCTCTCTAATGGGAAGAGTGTGCCTTCTACCTCAACCTCACAAAGAAATTTATTTTCATATTTACAGATGATAGTCTTAAACCTGGTTTAACAAGTCTGATTAATCAGACATATTAGAGTTGATTTGCAATGTGTAGAAGAATGTAGATGGATTGTTGGATAGCTCATTCCACCTATTTGGCAATTATCATTTATTTGCTTTGTATTGTTATCAAGTCATTAAGCATTAATTGAGCATCCTTTTCCTAGACTTTATGTTTGACGTAGACTAAATGTCCCAGTTCTTGCTCTTAAGGATCTCATAGTCCTTAGGGTTAGAGACCTTTGTTTTTATTTTAAATTCTTATTTGTATCCTCCACAGCTCTTTTGTATGGTTTGAGCCCATTAACCCTAG
The DNA here is from genome assembly GCF_000001405.40 of Homo sapiens. Classification (NCBI taxonomy): domain Eukaryota; kingdom Metazoa; phylum Chordata; class Mammalia; order Primates; family Hominidae; genus Homo; species Homo sapiens. The sequence continues at coordinate 34,806,360 of NC_000006.12, forward strand.
CCAGTTGAATGTGCTGCTCTCTTAGGTACGTGTTCGTGCAGTCATTTGCCCAGGTGAAACAACTCAGATGTCTGACAGGGCTTTTCTTTCACCACCATTGGTAAAAGAGAGCTCATTTTGCACAGTCTTTGCCTCTTAACCTAAGCGTACATGTTGGTCAAAGTTAGGGTCAGTTCTGCTCAGAAACTAACGACAGCCTTACTGTATGAATTTTCTTATCCTCAGTTTCTTCCTTGGGCAGTTTTCAAAGATATATGCTACACTTCTCTAAATAGCTCTTTGAGGCAGTAACATGGATAACCTATTCTCCCCCCCTCCCCAAGATGGAGTTTTGCTCTGTTACCCAGGCTGGAGTGCAGTGGCGCAATCTTAGCTCACTGCAACCTCCTCCTCCTGGATCAAGCGATTCTTCTGCCTCAGCTTTCTGAGTAGCTGGATTACAGGCTCCTGCCACCACGCCCGGCTAATTTTTGTACTTTTAGCAGAGACAGGGTTTCACCTTGTTGGCCAGGTTGGTTTCGAACTCCTGACCTCAAGTGATCCACCTGCCTCGGCCTCCCAAAGTGCTGAGATTACAGGCATGACCCATTGCACCCAGCAGATAACCTATTCTTATCCAATAGTGAATAACAAGCAATGCCTGTTAGTGGAATAGGCCTTCCTTTTCTGAGCATTAGCAAGTACATTTTCACTTTAGGTAATCTAGAGCCTGCATGTAGGTTTTAACACTAGGAATCTAATATTTAGAGTTTATCAATTATTGTCCTAGATGTAAGTTTGGGAATGGTCAAGAAGCGGAAGTAAAGGAAATTAAGGGAACTGTGTTAGGATGACAAGAACTGTTCCTAACAAAGTGAGACATGCCAATACATGAGTCATGAGGTATAGTATCTTCAGGACTAGTGTAGGGAAAGAATTTGGGCCCTAACCACCGTGGGAGCTGAATGGTCAAATGAAAGCGGGTAGAGGGTTGCTATCCCTGAGATAGAGTCACTGAGGAGCTCTAAGTTCTAATTCTAGAATGATTACAGGTGTGAGCCACTGCGCCTGGCCTGAAGATATTCACTTCTAGGAAAGAAGACTGGCTCAAGCCAAACAGATTATTAGGGCTTCAGCTAAACAGGCTGGGTTTTAGCAAGTCTTTGTGCTTAGAGGAGGGAATTAGAATGTTCAGCAAGGCTACTGTTGCGAATTAAGAAAAGAGAACCTCTGGGGAATCCTTGTTCTTTCAACTGGCCCAGTATTGGAATGGCAGTAAATGAGAGTGCTGCAAGTCATGGGCTAGACAGCTACCGTGGGTCTGGGAAATGTATGCAGTGAGTTAGATTTGTTGACAGTGTAAATCCATATCATGTCTATGAAAGAAATATGGGAATATCTGTCAAAATAGAAAATGTAGGCTGGGTGCGGTGGCTCACGCCTCTAATCCCAGCACTTTGGGAGGCCGAGGTGGACGGATCATTTGAGGTCAGGAGTTCGAGATCAGCCTGGCCAACATGTTGAAACCCCATCTCTACTAAAAATACAAAAAATTAGCTGGGTGTGGTGATGGGCACCTGTAATCTCAGCTACTCAGGAAGCTGAGGTAGGAGAATCGCTTGAACCGGGAGGCAGTGGTTGCAGTGAGCTGAGATGACACCACTGCATTCCAGCCTGGGCAACAGAGTGAGACTCTGTCTAATAATAAGAATAGAAATCAGTGGGCCAGGCGCGGTGGCTCATGACTGTAATCCCAGTACTTTGGGAGGCCGAGGCGGGTGGATCACCTGAGGTCAGAAGTGCGAGACCAGCCTGACCAACATGGTGAAACTTCATCTCTACTGAAAATACCAAATTAGCTGGGCGTGGTGGCGGGCACCTGTAATCCTAGCTACTCTGGAGGAGGCTGAGGCAAGAGAATCCCTTGAATCTGGGAGGCGGAGGTTGCAGTGAGTCGAGATCGCTCCGTTGCACTCCAGCCTGGGCAACAAGAGTGAAACTCCGTCTCAAAAAAAAAAAAAAAAAAAAAAAAGAATAGAAATCAGTGAAATTAAAAGCAGGGCAAACAGAGAATTAATATAATCAAAAATTGTTTTGTTTCTGGAAAAGATTAATGGATTTAGTTCACCTTTAGCAAGACTGATCAAGGAAAAAAGAGAAAACATAAATATTGTCAGCGGTGAAAGAGGGGTTATCATTATAGATCGTACAGATGTTAAAAAGATGTTAAGGGATATTATGAACACCTTTTTTTTTTTCTGTTGAGACAGGATCTCACTCTGTTGCCCAGGCTGGAGTGCAGTGACACAGTCACGGCTCACTGCAGCCTCAACCCCCTGGGGTCAAGGGATCCTCCCACCTCAGCCTCCCCAGTAGCTGGGACTACAGGTGCATGCCACCATGCCTAATTTTTTTATTTTTTGTAGAGACAGGGTTTCATCATGTTGCCCAGACTGGTCTCAAACTCCTGGACTCAAGCCATCCTGCCTTAGCCTCCTAAAGTGTTAGGATTACAGGTGTAAGCCACTGCACCTAGCCTGAACATCTTTTTGTCAATAAATTCAATAGCTTAAGTGAAATGCACAAAATTATTTGAATAAAGGCTCATATAGTTTCATTGGTGATTTCTTTTAAACATTTAAGAAATACTTAATACCCATTTTACAGAAATTATTTTAGGAAATAAATACTTCCAAACTTGTTTAATAAATTCAGTATGACCTTGATAAGAAAAACATGACAAAGATGTTATAAGGAAAGAAAACTTCAGACCGCCAGGTTTGGTGGTTCAGCCATGTATTTCCAGCACTTTGGAAGGCTGAAGTGGGAGGATCATTTGAGCCCAGGAGTTTGAGACCAGCTTGGGCAACATGGCAAAACCCTGTCTCTACAAAAAATTGAAAAATTAGTTGGGCGTGGTGGTGCATGCCACTAGTCTCAACTACTCAGGAGGCTGAGGCAGGAGGATTGATTGAGCCCAGGAGGTTGAGGCTGCAGTGAGCAGCAGTTGCACCACTGCACTCCAGCCTGAGCTACAGAGCAAGACTCTGTCTCAAAAACAAAAACTTCAGATCAATATTCATTGTGAACAAAGATTAATAAGTTCTTAATAAAAGACAGTTGACCCTTGAACAGTAGTGGAATTTAGGGGTACCAGTCCCCATGCATAGTTGAAAATCCATGTATAACTTTTGACTCCCCAAAAACGTTTTTTGTTTTTTTGTTCGTTTGTTTGTTTGTTTTTTGAGACAGGGTCTTGCTCTGTTGCCCAGACTGGAGTGCAGTGCTGTGATCTCAGCTCACTGCGACCTCTGCCTCCCGGGTTCAAGCGATTCTCCTGCCTCAGCCTCTGAGTACTGGAGTGTGCCACCATGCCCGGCTAATTTTTTGTATTTTTAGTAGGGACGGGGTTTCATCGTGTTGGCCAAGGTGGTCTCGAACTCCTGGCCTCATGTGATCCACCTGCCTTGGCCTCCCAAATTGCTGGGATTGTAGACATGAGCCACTGTGCCTGGCCTAAAAACTTACTACTAATAGTTTACTGTTCACTGGAAGCCTCACTGATAACAAACAGTTGATTGACACATATTTTGTATATGTATTATATATTGTATTCTTACAATAAAGTAAGCCAGAGAAAAGAAAACATTATTCAGAAAATCATAAGGAAGATAAATACATTTACAGTTTTTCTGTACTAAATCTATGCATGCCACAAGTTTACATCATCTGTTTACAAGATGAATCAGGTTTCTGAAGTGGCGGATACCGGGAGCTGCAGATCTCAATCTATAGGAAATATCAAACTATTAAACTTTTCCTTACAATGTCATGACTTTTCTCTGCTTCTTGGGAGCATTTCCAGCATCATTAGTGGCACATTGTGTGGGTCCCATGGTGTTATTCAGGGTTTACAGTATTGCACTAAGCATCATGAATAGTACACAAGAAACACAAGAGACCACTTTTTTACTGCAATATGCAATTTATTGGAGAGATGAACTGCTCTTGCTGAGATGACATGATTCACATCATACAACGTTTTAAGCAGATCCTCATAACACGTGAGCTTACTGCAGTATTAGATAGCTACAACATTATCACAGCAGTATAGCGTGTACTACAGTTAATTTTATGCAGTTATGATTATTTAGTAGTTACTTGAGACAGGGTCTCGCTGTGTCACCCAGGCTGGATTGCATTCCATGATCATCGCTCATTGCAACCTTTACTGATACTCCCACCTCAGCCTACTGAGTAGCTGGGACCACAGGCGTGTGCCACCATGCCCAGCTAATTATTTTGTTTTTTTGTAGAGATGGGTCTCACTATGTTGCCCAGGCTGGTCTCAAACTCCTGGGCTCAAGCATTCCTCCTGCCTCGACCTCTCAAAGTGCTGTGAGTACAGGTGTGAGCCATTGTGCCTGGCCAGTTATCATTTAGTACTGCATCTTTATATTTGTTTACATTTCTCCTGACTGCAAATGGTGTCATGTATAGTCTGTAAGTATTTTTGCACTTAAGTTTCGATAAATTTCAACTTTTTATAATAGATTAGTATAAACTTTAGGATAGTAAATGATAGACTAGTATCTACATATATTTTATGCATTCATGACATACCTAACCTTTTCTTAATTTAAAAAATATTTCTAGGCTATCAGGTTTGTCTGCAAGTTTTTTCAAGTTGTCACAAATCTCCAAAAATTTTTCCACACTTTTATCGAATTTATCAAAACTTAGACACACAAACATAGACTGTGCGTGGTGACATTGGCAGTCTAGAGAAATGCAAATAAACATTCAATGTGTGTTATGTTCAGGGACGGGCTGACTCATTATTGTTGATATGTGAGGTCTCCCTAAATTGAGCTAAGATTCACTGTAATCCCAATCAGTTTCAGCAGATTTTTTTAAAAACAGAAATAGGCAGGCTGATTTGAAAATCTATATGGAAATGAAAAAGACCTAGAATGGTCAGAATAATCTGAACAAATGAACACAAAGGATTTTTTAATGCCTAAAATGAAGCTGCAGTATTAAAGACAGTGTGGTATTGGCATAAGTATATATAGGTCAGATGAACAAAATAGAAAGTTCAGACATGAGTCATAGCCACGTGCGATGGCTCACACCTGTAATCTCAACACTTTGTGAGGCTGAAATGGGAGGATCTCCTGAGTCCAGGAGTTCAGCCATGGCAATATATTGAGACTATCTCTACAAAAGTGTTTAAAAAAAGGCCAGGCACCTGTAATCCCAGCACTTTGGGAGGCTGAGGTGGGTGGATAACTTGAGGTCAGGAGTTCGAGACCAGCCTGGCTAACATGGTGAGACCCCCCCCCCCGCATCTCTACTAAAAATACAAAAATTTGCCGGGCATGGTGATGCAGGCCTGTAATCCTGCCCACTCGGGAGGCTGAGGCAGGACAATCGCTTGAACCCAGGAGGTGGTTTGTAGTGAGCCGAGATCGTGCCACTGTACTCCAGCCTGGGCAACAGAGTGAGACTTCGTCTCAAAAACAAATGAACAAACAAAAACTTAGTTGGGTGTAGTGGAGTGCACCTGTAGTCCTAGCTCCTTGGGAGGCTGAGGGAGGATCACTTGAGCTCAGGAGGTTGAGGTTACAGAGAGCTATGATTGTGCCAGTGTACTCCAGCTTCGGTAACAGTGAGACTCTAGCTCTTAAAAAAAGAAAAAAGAGTTAAGCCAGGCACAGTGGCTCATGCCTGTAATTCCAGCACTTTGGGAGTCCAAGGTGGGAGGATCACCTGAGGTCAGGAGTTCAAGACCAGCCTGGCCAACATGGTGAAACCCCATGTCTACTAAAAATACAAAATTAGCCAGGCATGGTGGCGGGTGCCTGTAATCCCAACTACTCGGGAGGCTGAGGCAGGGAGAGTTGCTTGAACCCAGGAGGTGGAGGTTGCAGTAAGCTGAGATTGAGCCACTGCACTCTAGCCTGGGCAACAGAGCGAAACTCCGTCTTAAAAAAAAAAAAAAGACGAGATGAGCCACTGTATGGAAATTGCACCTTAAATAACACAACAGTTAAAAAACCCAACATTGTAAACAACAAACAAAAATTTAGAAGGAAAGAAGGTTCTCCTAAGAAAAGCATGTAATATTGTCATGCAGTTTTCTTTTTAGAGATAAGGTCTCACTCTGTTGCTCAGGCTGGAGTGTAGAGGCACCATCGTAGCCCACTGCACCCTCAAAGGATCAAGGGATCCTCCCACCCCAGCTCTTGAGTAGCTGGGACTACAGGCATGAGCCACTGCATCCAGCTAATTAATTTTTTTTTTTTTTTCATAGAGACAGGGTCTCGCTTTGTTGTCCAGGCTGGTCTTGAACTCTTGGCTTCAAGCAGTTCCAAAGTGCTGGGACTATAGGTGTGAGCCACTGCACCTGACCAATGAAGAAGTTTTGAGAGTAAAACCTATTAGGACAAACCTCTAAGATTGAATGGCTTATTATATCAGATTATCTGGGATGAAATGGCATTAGCTATATTAGTGATTGATATGTTTTGTTTGGATGATGGAGAGAATCCTGCTATCTAAACCAACTGCTTCAGTGTTGTGTTATATCTTTGTTTAAAGAGAAGCCTGTGGTGTGGCTTAGTAGTGAAAATATTTTGCTGTAGATTTGGGTAGGAAGCTTAGAAGCCAAGGCTCTGGCTGTGATCACCTCCTCAATGGAAAAAATGGTGAAGGAAGCAAAGTGTATTTGTGGACCTTTTTATTTCTCCCAGGAGGGTTCAATTTCTATGAGAGCTGAAGTCGACTGACTGTTGCAACTTATTGACCCTATTATTCCCAATAAAGATGCTGAATTACAGAGGGCATGGTGTTGTCAGAGTTGAATGAATGCTGGGTTAAGTCCCATTTCTGTTATTTACTTAGTTCCAGCTTTACCACTGGCAAGCTGTGAGTCTTGGGCAAGTCATTAAGCTTTTTGGCCATTTGTTTCCTCATTGGCAAATGTAGATTTGGACTAAACAATTATTTAAGATTCCTTCTAGCTCTGAAATTCTGCGAATTTGCAAATCTAAGAATTTTCACTTCCAAACATTGTGATACATTTTCACAAAGATGAGAGCCTTTCCCTGTCGTCTCTTTGGCACATTGCAATCCTCTGGCAGAAATGAAACTTGATCAAAATCTGTTTTTCCAACCTGATTTCATCTTAGCTTTTACACTCTGTAACAGTAACAGATGGCCAGAAAATGTTTTCCCACATACTTGAAGTGGAATAAATAGCAGGCTGCCATTAGCCTTTTTAGCTGCCCTTGGACTCTGAATGATATTATCCTCAATTAGGAACACAAATGCTTTTTTTCTGCCAGGGACTGTGGGGTATAGAAAGAGAAGTATACAACATAATTCTTCTCAAGAATTCAATATCTGGTTGCAGTTTGTGAATTTTAGACTGGCTATTGAAGATGACTTGGAATAGTTGGTTTTATCATCACGTTGCTGCAGTTTAACCCAGTTGTATTCCATTATAGGCAGAGAGTTTGAGCTATTTTCCCTCTCCAGGTGATGAGAGAGCTGAAACTTGGGCCTCTTATATAATTCTCAGAGCTGTAGTTTCCTTGGCTGAGCAAACCTCCCCAAACCTCCCCAACCCTCCCCAACAACAGTCAGGCCCATGGAACATCTTTTATTTTTATTTTTATTACTTTTATTTTTTGAGACAGAGTCTCGCTATGTCGCCCAGGCTGGAGTGCAGTGGGACAATCTCAGCTCACTGCAACCTCCACCTCCTGGGTTCAAGCAATTCTTGTGCCTCAACTTCCCAAGTAGCTGGGATTACAGGTGTGCCACCATGCCCAACTAGTCTTTGTATTTTTAGTAGAGATGAGGTTTCACCATGTTGCCCAGGCTGGTCTCAAACTCCTAGGCTCAAACAATCCACCTGCCTTGGCCTCCCAAACTACTGGGATTAACAGGCATGAGCCACTGTGCCCGACCATCTTTTATTTTTTTTAACCTATTCTTTGTTATTGCTCTAAAATGCAGGCAAAATCAGTTAAAGAATTCTTACTGCCTTTTTTGAGAAGCTTGAATAAGGCAGTATCCATTTTTTGTTGACTCCTAAAAGTAAACTGAAAAGTGAAAAAGCGTATATATGTTATATCATTATTACAGTCACAGGAGGACCGCTCATGGTGGTCCAGCAGACGTGCATGCACCATCAGCAGTCCTTCGAGTGCTTGAAGAACTCTTGGTTGTTTAGTGCTGTTCAGCTTTTGGTGATTACTTGCTTGTATTGTTAATCTTAGACCTGATGGCACAGTATCCTCTGTGGTCTCTTGTTAGCATGTTGCTAGAGACTGGGTGTCCCTGCTGGAATGGTGGAAAATTAGCCCTGGGCATGCTTAAGAAAAAATTTATTAATCTGGTTGAGTTGGTGAAGTGCAGAAAGGTTTTTGATGGAGTTACACTATTAACTTTAACAAAAAAGTTTAGATGTATTCCCCTTAACACAGGTTAAGCACACCATGGTAGATTATAAAAAGCAAAAGAATGTCCTCCAACCACTTCTGAGATACCTTATAAATTTATTCTGTGCCAGGTGTGTTTTGGGGGAACTTATAATATTAAAATGTTAGTAGAAGTAAACACCAGTGAGCACACCTGGGTTCATACTGCCTCTTCTTGCCCTGTCATCTAGGGCAAACTGCTTCATATCCGAACCTCATGCTCTTCCTCTGAGCAATGGGGATAATAATGCATACCTCATGTGGGATATTGCAAAGATTAATTCAGATGTTATGAAGACCCTTCGTTCAGTGCCTGGTGCAAAGTAAAATGTCATTATTATTTGTAGTTTGGTTTTGGTGGCTCAGGCCAGAGAATAATGCTTTTTCCCGCTTGTGGTGTACAAAATAAGTTGGTGTTTGTTTGTTTGTTTGTTTGTTTTGAGACAGAGTCTTCCTCTGTTGCCCGGGCTGGAGTGTGGTGGTATGATCTCAGCTCATTGCAACCTCTGCCTTCCGGGTTCAAGTGATTCTCCTGCCTCAGCCTCCCTAGTAGCTGGAATTACAGGCATGTGTCACCATGCCTGGCTAATTTTTGTATTTTTAGTACAGATGGAGGTTCTCCATGTTGGCCAGGCTGGTCTTGAACTCCTGACCTCAGGTGATCTGCCTGCTTTGGCTTCCCAAAGTGCTGGGATTATAGGGGTGAGCCACCGTGTCTGGCCAAATTATGTTTTAAAAATGAAATTTTCTTTTAGCTGACAAAAGGATATTGATCTGGTCCAGCCTATGGGGCAAAAATACGTGTAATTATTATTTTGTTATTTGTTTGTTTTGAGACAGAGTCTCACTTTGTTGCCCAGGCTGTAGTGCAGTGGTGCAAACTTGGCTCACTGCAACCTCTGCCTCCCAGGTTCAAGCGATTCTCATGCCTCAGCCTCCCAAGTAGCTGGGATTACAGGCATGCCTCACCATGGCCCGGCTAATTTTTTTGTGATTTTTTAGTACAGATGGGATTTCACCATGTTGGCCAGGCTGGTCTCAAACTCCTGGCCTCAAGTGATCTGTCCGCCTCGGCCTCCCAGTGTTGGGATTACAGGTGTGAGCAACCGTGCCCGGCCTGCATTTTAAAATAAGCATTCCAAAATAATTAAGATCCATGTGATCAGAGGACCATAGTTTGAGATGCATTGCCCTAAAAACTGGCAAGGTTAGGATGAAATGTAATACAATCTGATATACTTTTTTTGTTAAGGCTTGAAAAATACATTTATCTATATGGAACTGTAAATAGAGTTAGATTTTGCAAAGAACACAACGTAGAAATTAGATACTTAGCACTTACTTAGTATAATCACTCAGAGAATGTCAGTGCTAGCTAACAGTATAACTTATTCTTGACTGTGTTTATGTTTTATTTTATCTGAAGTATGTTTCTCTTTTTTCAGAGAAGTCATCAGTTTGAAAACGTCTATCTCACTTTCTTTTCTTTAAAAGTGGCTGGGCACAGTGGCTCACATCTGTAATCCCAGTACTTTGGGAGGCTGAGGTGGGAGGATTGCTTGAGCCGAGCCCAGAAGTTCCAGACCAGCCTGGGTAACAAAGGGAGACCCCATCTCTACAAAAAATAAAAAAAATTAGCTGGGTATAGTGACATGCACTTGTGGTTCTAGCTACTCTGGAGGCTGAGATTGGGAGGGTCACTTGAGCCCCAGGAGGTCGAGGCTGCAGTGAGCCGTGATCACGCCACTACACTCCAGCTTGGATGATAGAGTGAGACTGTCTCAAAAAATAAAATAAAATAAAAATGGCTTTTTATCATATGAAAGAGCAGTTTATCTTAGTGGTTCTCAGCCTTTTCTCCTTACTCCTGCCTATCAGAGGGATCCTTACTTCCATCCTTGACAGTGGCTCACTTCTACAAGAATTCTCAGCTGGGGTAGAAAGGTAACATCTTATCAGAATCTGTGCGGTTGGACAGGAGGAGACATGTAGTTGCAGTCTTCAAAACTCATTCTGCCTGTTAAAACATTCTTATCTTTCTAAGACTAGTAGTACTTCTGAACTATGCCCTGCCCCAATTTCTGAATTGATATGGCTTCCCTGGACCACTTAAGATTAGAGGAAGGGTTGCTAGGACAGTAGAAGGAAATAATTATAATATTTTATTTAAATACATAAGAGACTTGAAAAAGAATTTGCCCGTGCCTAGTGATTACAAATAATGTTGAGTTCTGTTTTCTGCTTTCGCTTCTGTCAGGACTACTGTCTCCTCAGAGTCCTTAGGGGCATGCACTGTCTTCCTTTACTTCCTTTTGTTGTTGTCTTATTAGGAAGTATTTAGATGAGTTTATTTCTCCTTCGTACCTCAGTCCTATTTCCTTGTAGATAGCCATTTGTTTAGGAAAAGGACTGAAGAACCATTTCTTTCCGGAAGAGAAATAATCACCTTCCCTCTGTGGCAAGTTGTTTTCAGAGGAAAAGAACCATTTATTGAAAACTTGTCTTTTTGGTTCAGAGAATAAAGTTAGTTCATACTCAGTAAATGTAGATTAAATTTTTTAAAGTGAATTAAAATCAGTAAAAGTATGTGTAAGGGCCTGGGATTTTATTTTACCCTATTTAGAAGCTAATTATTAACTCCTACTGTTTCATGGATGCTGGGGGAACACACAAGACTTCTGGATCAGAGACAAAGGACTTTATTACTCACAGCCTGTTTTTCATGGCCCAGCAAGCAGCATAAGTATAATGTTTATGTCAATTTTCCTTGCCTCCAGAGTCCTGTGGGAGTGACATGAATGGGCCCAGATGGATGCCTGCATATGTGTTATAGGAATAGAACACTGAGCTTGGGGAATCCATTGCTTTTATAGTAAATGGTAAGCAGGCCTGTTCTTTGTCCTAGTGGGAGAGATTATTTCATTACTGAAAGCTGTCCTCTGTAACCACAATCCTGAGAAGAGGCCTGAGTAAGAAGTGGTTAGGACCATGCATTCTTGAAAGGCCCAGCAAGACGTGTAGGAATTTTTTTTTTTTTTTTTGGGGGGGTGGAGTCTCGCTCTGTCGCCCAGGCTGGAGTGCAATGGCGCTATCTGGGCTCACTGCAAGCTCCGCCTCCCGGGTTCACGCCATTCTCCTGCCTCAGCTTCCCGATTAGCTGGGACTACAGTCATGCGCCACCACGACCGGCTAATTTTTTTTTTTGTATTTTTAGTAGAGACGGGGTTTCACCGTGTTAGCCAGGATGGTCTCGATCTCCTGACCTCGTGATCCGCCCGCCTTGGCCTCCCAAAGTGCTGGGATTACAGGCGTGAGCCACCGCGCCCGGCCAGATGTGTAGGATTAAGAGAGACCCATGAGGCCGGGTACAATGGCTCACATCTGTAATGCCAGCACATTGGTAGGCCGAGGCAGGTGGATTGCTTCAACCCAGGAGTTTGAGACCAGCCTGGGCAACATGGCAAAACCCTGTCTCTACAAAAAATATAAAAATTAGCCAAGCATAGTGATGTGTGCCTGTAGTCCCAGCTACTAGGGAGTTTGAGGTGGGAGAATAGCTTGAGGCCAGGAGGTTGAGGCTGCAGTGAGCCATGATGGTACCACTGCACTCCAGCCTGGGTGACAGGGTGAGATCCTGTCTCAGAAAAAAAAAAGAAAAAAACGAGACTCAATGGAGGAATAGCATTCCCAACACTAAGTACGTAAATAGATAATTGATAGAAATCTTAGAAAAATTTGTTACAAAATATTTGCTGTACAAAAGGTATGGAGTAGCGTAATGAAAAGCCATACAGTCACCTCTCAACTTGAGAAATAAGCGTTATCCATACAGTTGAAGCTTCCTGTCGACCCCTCCCCTTACCCCACAGGTAAGCACTTTCCTAAATTTGTCATCATGCCAATGCATTCCTGTGTATCCCTTAATATCATACGGTATTGTTTTGCATGTTCACAAACTTCTAAAAATGATTTTTACTGTCATTTAAAATTTGTTAAAGAGCTGTTTTCATAGTACCTTCTTAAGTACTTTAGAAAAAAATTGCAAAGATAAACTTTTGCACGTCATGATTTTATGGTCCAAGGAAAAGCAAAAACACTAAAACATAGTTTAGTAAAAGGAAAAGATACATATAGTGAAAAAAGTTGGTAAATATATAGATATGTAACTCTAAACTGTTAGCATCTAATATATGTAAAGACTAAGTATAGTTAAGGTTGGTGGACAAAATACCATTCATGATTGGGGTGAAAATAGTGACTATGAGAGGCAGCAGCAGTGAATTACAGGAGTGAGATTAATTTAGACAGTTTTTCTTTTTTTTTTTTTACTTTTTTTTTTATTATACTTTAAGTTTTAGGGTACATGTGCACATTGTGCAGGTTAGTTACATATGTATACATGTGCCATGCTGGTGCGCTGCACCCACTAACTCGTCATCTAGCATTACGTATATCTCCCAGTGCTATCCCTCCCCCCTCCCCCCACCCCACCACAGTCCCCAGAGTGTGATATTCCCCTTCCTGTTTTTCTTACAGGAGAGAGGGTTATGCTATGAGGAACTGGCCTTAAATTGATCCAGCCAAAAAGATGAGAGAAGGGAACTGGGAGTAGTTAGCCAGCAGGGCAGTTAGCTAAGAGATATGTGGGCCAGCATTCTGTTGGGTCATCATTTGGATTAGGAAGAATGGCCAAGACTAAGCCCCTTACCTTGAAGAGCTTAATTTAATTGAGCAGGGGTGGTTATATTATGCATTTGAGAATTAGAGAACATCCTAAGACACTGTCATATGATTATGACCTAAACATGCATTACAGATTCCAGGAATGGAGAATAAAAGAGTGTAATGTGAGTTGCAGCAGTTAGGGGAAGAAGGCCTCAGGGAGAAGTCTCCAGTTCAGCCTTGCATGGCAGATAGTGGTGTGGAGGGAAAGGGAAATGGAGTGGCTGGCGAGAGCACAGCATCGAGGACTGGAGCAGTGAGAAATAGTGAGAGGACTGGCCTGTGTGAATATTTTATTTCAAGACCATTTGACCGATAGAGTTTCCTATGGTCTGGATTTTGCTGATTGCACACTTACAGTGTAGTTCAGCAGTTTTCATCTGTCCTCAGTATTTCCTTCAAATTAGCAACTGGACCCAGTGGCTTGATGAGATTCAAGTTTAGTCTCTTTGGGAAGACTACAGGTGACTGGTTGTTCTTTTTTCATATCAGTAAAGATATGTGTAGGGGTCTGGGATTTCATTTTACCCTACTTTAATAAGCTGATAATTAGCCTGTTACTGTTTCACATTCTTAACTTCATGTAGCTCCCTCTTCTGTTATTTCAAGTAGTGCTAAAAAAAAAAATAACAGCTTGCTTCCTGAGATAATAGGTCTCTGTTCCCCTCCCTTACTTTTATCTAGAACATCTCTTTTCTTCATTTCTCTCATCCCTATCTTGCTCATTTTTAATTCTTTTCTGTGTGGGGGTCCTTTCCTAGGAAGGAGCTTGGGAAGGTTAGTTTCATGAGTTTATAGGGCTAGACTGCTCCAGCTCCTTGGGGTCTCACTACAGATCCCTTGCAGTGGACAGAACCCTCTCCCAGTGTCAGTTACTGTTGTCAAATCAGTCCCCATTGCTTTTCATTTAATAGTTGTTGGTTATCTTGGGGTTCTTCAGTTCTCAGTTGTCAGATGCCCTTTTGCTTCCCTCCACTTTATTCTGGACAGCTGGATAGCACTTATGTCTTGTGGCTGTTGTTTTTTCCCCACCCACTTGTCTATGGGGATTTATGAAGATACTTCATATTCTATTTTGTTTTAAATGTTATTCATGGACTTTCTGTGTTGTTATCTAGTTGCTCTGTCTGGTGTTTGTTTGTTTTTATAATGGGTCTTGCTCTGTCATCTCAGTTTAGAGTACAGTGTCATGATCACGGCTCACTGCAGCCTCAACCTCAGCCTCCTGGGTAGCTGGGACTATAGGCATGCACCACCATGCCTAATTTTTTTTTTTTTTTTTTTTAGAGATAGGGTCTCGCTGTGTTGCCCAGGCTTGTCTCGATCTCCTAGGCTCCAGCGATCCTCCTGCCTAAGCCTCCCAAGGTGCTGGGATTATAGGCGTGAGCCACCACGCCTGGCCCTCTGTCTGTTTTTTTTTTTTTGAGATGGAGTTTTGCTCTTGTTGCCCAGGCTGGAGTGCAATGGCACGATTTCAGCTCACTGCAACCTCCGCCTCCCAGGTTCAAGTGATTCTCCTGCCTCAGCCTCTGGAGGAGCTGGGATTACAGGCATGCGCCACCACACCCGGCTAATTTAGTATTTTTAGTAGAGACGGGGTTTCTCCATGTAGGTCAGGCTGGTCTCGAACTCCCGACCTCAGGTGATCCACCCGCCTTGGCCTCCCGAAGTGCTGGGATTACAGGCGTGAGCCACTGCGCCCGGCTCCCTCTGTCTGTTTTTATGCGAGGGTTCAGAAATACCGAAAGACTACATTGCCATTGCTACAGCTATTGCCCCAGAATCCTCATCGTAGGTTCTTTAGTAGGATGATGACACAATCATAAGTAGAATCATAGGTCTCACCTAACATCTTATATGGTGTAGAGATGGTGTGGTCTGAGTGCATTTGTTCTGGCTGGTCTGAGTGCAGTGTTTACAACTAATTGATCACAACCCCAGTTACAGTTTTCTGTGTTCCTTCACTCCCACTGCTTCACTTGACTAGCCTTAACAAATGTTCTTTAATTTTTTCTTTTCTCTAGATTCAGAAGTGTTTTGGCTGTAATACCCAATTAGCAGATTCCCATGGAAATAATAGCTTCTTATCATTACTCTTTTCAGGTTCACTAAGAATCTTTCCCCAGACAAAATCAACCTGAGCACCCTGAAAGGGGAGGGTCAGCTGACCAACCTGGAGCTGGATGAAGAGGTTCTACAGAATGTACTGGAGCTGCCCACCTGGTTAGCCATCACTCGGGTCTACTGCAACAGGGCCTCCATCCGGGTGAGAATGAGGGTCAGAATGCTGCTGTTCTCTTTGGCCAGTAGGCCTGCTTTCTGGAGGGTCAGCTACCACAGCCCTGAGACTTTGCTTTCCTCTTTCAGATCCAGTGGACAAAGTTGAAGACACACCCTATTTGCTTGGTAATGACCTTTCTTGATTGCAAGTTATCAAATGGGGATGGCCAGGGTAGGCTTTTAGAAGATAAGGGAGAAAATGATAGGCTAACCCTTTTAGGAATGGTGGGTGTCTCCTTATGTCCCTGTGAGCTTCTCTCTGAGACAGTGTGACTGTTGTCTGGGCTTATTCTGGAACTGCTGTATGGTATAGGATTAGCACTGGGACACAAGACCCAGGACTTCTCAGTTGTTTTCTCGGTTTTAGTGTAACAATTATGGCTGCCTAGGCTCTACCCTTAGACTTTTCTATCTTCCCTTGAAATTTTTTTTTTTTTTTTTGAGATGGAGTTTTGCTCTTGTCACTAAGGCTGGAGTGCCATGGCTCACTGCAACCTCTGCCTCCTGGGTTCAAGCAATTCTCCTGCCTCAGCCTCCTAAGTAGCTAGGATTACATGTACCACCATGCCCAGCTAATTTTTATATTTTTAATAGAGACGAGGTTTTGCCACGTTGGCTAGGCTGGTCTCGAACTCCTAACCTCAGGTGATCCACCCGTCTCAGCCTTCGAAAGTGCTGGGGTTACGGGCGTGAGCCACCGCGCCTGGCACTCCTTGAAATCTTGACAGAGGAAAAATTAGAAGTTTGGTTTGGGCCGGGTGCGGTGCTGTAATGCCAGCACTTTGGGAGGCAGAGGTGGGTAGATTACCTGAGGTCAGGAGTTCAAGACCAGCCTGACCAACATGGTGAAACCCCATCTCTACTAAAAATACAAAAAATTAGCCAGGTGTGGTGGCAGGCGCCTGTAATCCCAGCTACTCGGGAGGCTGGGGCAGGAGAATTGCTTGAACCTGGGAGGCAGAGGTTGCAGTGAGCCGAGATCACCCTGCAGCCTGGGTGATAAGAGTAAGACTCTGTTTCGGGAAAAAAAAAAAAAAAGTTTAGTTTGGGTTGACTGTTGGATGATTATCGGTTGAGGGCCCTTCAGAAGCTGGTTGATGTGTATCTTTATCCCAAAAACTGGAATCCCCAGGAAAAATAATATTCCTACAACTTGGATTTGTGTTTTATCTTTTTGCTCTGAGCCCATCCCGTGCTTGTCATGAGGTTCTGCTGCTAATGGAAATGGAAGGGGGAAAATGAGGACTCTCCTTGCATTTTAGTTTGTTCATTCATTCATTCACTCAGTAAATATTTATTGTCTGCCCACAATGGGTATAGCACTTGACTAGGCTCTGGAGCACGGAGATGAATGACACAGTCTGTGCTGTCATTGTGCTGTGTGTGTATTTGTGTAAATGCTTAGTTCTCCTTGACTTCTATTTCAGTGTCTGGATAAGGTAGAGGTGGAGATGAAGACATGTGAGGATCCTCGGCCCCCCAATGGACAGTCTCCCATTGCCCTTGCTTCAGGACAGAGGTTAGTTTCTTTGAACCCTGTTATTTCCAACATATTAATTGCTCCAGATCCCCTTTTAGTTAAAAAATAAAAACTTTTTATTATGGACATTTTCAAACTTACACTAAAGTAAAGAAAATGGTATAAGAACCTCCATATACCCAAGATCTAATTTCAACAATTATCAACACTTTGTCATTCTTCTTCTTCTGTTTTTTTTTTTTTTTTTCCCTGGGATAGGGTCTTGCTCTGTCACCCAGGCTGGAGTGCAGTGGTGTGATCACAGTTCACTGTAGCCTCGACCTCCTGGGCTCAATCAGTCCTTCTACCTCAGCCTCCCAAGTAGCTGGGACCACAGGCGCACATCACCATGCCTGGCTAGTTTTTTGTAGCGATGGTGTCTCACTATGTTGCCCAGGCTGGTCTTGAACTCCTGGCTTTAAGCGATCCTCCCACCTCAGCCTCCCCAAAGCCCTGGGATTACGGATGTGAACCACCATGCCCAACGTTGTCATTCTTTTTTCTTTTTCCTGCCAGTTTGTGTATGTGTATGTATGTGCATGTGGACACTATAGTACTTGAAAGCAAATCTCAGAAACCATATGATTCCGCTTGCAGATACTTTTTTTTTTTGAGATGGGGTCTCACCCTGTCACCCAGCCTGGAGTGCAGTGGTGTGATCTTGGCTCACTGCATCATCTGCCTCCCAGGCTCAAGTGGTTCCCCACCTCAGTCTCCCAAGTAGCTGGGACCACAGGCATGCACCACCATACCTGGCCAATTTTTTGTAGTTTTGGTAGAGACTGTTTCACCATGTTGCCCAGGCTGGTTGTGAACCCACCTGCAAATACTTTCATATCATGTCTTTAACAGACAAGGCCTGGAAAAAAAATATATTGCTATCACATTAAAAAGAATTAACAGGCCAGGCGCGGTGGCTCACGCCTGTAATCCCAGCACTTTGGGAGGCTGAGGTGGGCAGATTACCTGAGGTCAGGAGTTCGAGACCAGCCTGGCTAACATGGTGAAACCCCGTTTCTACTAAAAATAAAAACTCCATTTCTACTAAAAATAAAAAAAATTAGCCGGGCGTGGTGGCGGGCACCTGTAATCCCAGCTGCTCGGGAGGCTGAGGCAAGAGAATCGCTTGAACCCGGAAGGTGGAGATTGCAGTGAGCCGAGATCGCGCCATTGCACTCCAGCTTGGGCAACAAGAATGAAACTCCATCTCAAAAAAAAAAAAAAACCCAAGAATTCCTTAATATCATCTAGTACCTATTTCATAATCAATTTTCCTGGATTATCTCTAAAATATATATATGTATATATGTATTTTTTTCTTTTTTCTTTTTTTTGGTTTTGAGACAGGGTCTCGCTCTGTCACCCAGGCTGGAGTGCAGTGGCACGATCTTGGCTCACTGCAACCTCCATCTCCTGGGTTCAAGTGATTCTTGTGCCTCGGCCTCCTGAGTAGCTGGAATTACAGGTGCCCCACACCACACCTGGCTGATTTTTGTATTTTTAATAGAGATGGGATTTTGCCGTGTTGGCCAGGCTGGTCTCGAACTCCTGGCCTCAGGTGATCCACCCGCCTCAGCCTCCTAAAATGCTGGAATTACAGGCGTGAACCACTGTGACTGGCCTAAATACATATTTTTTTACGGAACAATATGGATCAAAAGAAGTCCATACTTTATATTTGGGTGATAGGCCTTTTAAAGCTCTTATAATTATATCCCACCACACACACATTTTTAAATATACCATTTATTCTTTGTAGGAATTAGGTAATCTTTTCTAAAGAATTTCACTTGTTTTATATTCTGGCTGATTGTATCATCAAGGTATCATTGAAAATGTTTCTCATTTAATCTGGTAGATTTAAAGGCTTGCCCTGATTGATTTTGTTTGCTTTTGTTTTCTTGGTAAGAATACTTCCAAGGGGGTGAAAGGTCTCTCTCTGGCCTCTTTTCTTTTTTCTTTTTTTTTTCTTTTTTGAGATGGAGTTTCGCTTTTGTCGCCCAGGCTGGGGTGCAATGGCATGATCTCCGTTCATTGCAACCTCCACCTCCCTGGTTCAAGTGATTTTCCTGCCTCCGCCTCCCAGGTAGCTGGGATTACAGGCATGCACCACCAGGCCCAGCTAATTTTTTGCATTTAGTAGAGATGGGGTTTCACCATGTTAGTCAGGCTGGTCTTGAACTCCTGACCTTAGGTGATCCACCTGCCTTGGCCTCCCAAAGTGTGGGGATCACAGGCGCGAGCCACTGAGTGCAGTCTCCGGCCTCTTTTCTAAAGGCATTAATCCCATTAATGAGGACGTTTCCTTCATGAGCTAAACACCTTCCAGAGGCCTCATCTCTAAAACTGTCACATTGGGCTATTAGGTTTCAACATATGATGAATTTTGGGGAAACATAAGCAATCAGACCATAGCACTGAGTAACATTTTAGTGTATGGATATGCCACAATTGGTTTGTCCATTCACTAGTTGATGGTCATTTTATTTCCATTTTTTGACTATTATGAATAATGCTGCTGTGAACATTTGTATACAAGTTTTTGTGTGGTCATGTGTACTTTTCTTTCTCTTGGGTAAATACCTAGTTATGGTATTTAGGGGAGGATTTAACTTTTTCAGAAACTGTCAAACTTTTCCAGAGTGGCTTACCATTTTATATTCTTTTTACATTTTGCATTTTTTTTTTTTTTTTTTTTTGAGATGGAGTCTCACTCTGTTGCCCAGGCTAGAGTGCAATGGTGCATCTCTGCTCACTGCAACCACCGCTTCCTGGGTTGAAGTGATTCTCCTGCCTCAGCCTCCTGAGTAGCTGGGATTACACACACCAACACACCTGGCTGATTTTTGTTTTAGTAGAGACAGGGTTTCACCATGTTGGCCAGGCTGGTCTCGAATTCCTGACTTCAAATGATCCACCCGGCTTGGCCTCCCAAAGTGCTGGGATTACAGGCGTGAGCCACCGCACCTGGCCTACATGCTTTTACATGTTACATGTTTTACATCCTACTTTTTTTTTTTTTTTTTTTGAGACAAAGTTTTGCTTTGTCACCCAGGCTGGAGTGCGGTGGTGCAGTCACGGCTCACTGCAGCCTTGAACTCCTGGGCTCAAGCGATTCTCCCACATCAGACTCCCAAATAGCTGGGGATACAGGCATGTGCCACTGCACCCAATTAATTTTTAAATATTTTGCAGAGATGGGTCTCACCATATTGCACAGGCTGGTCTTGAACTCCTGGACTCAAGTGATCTTTCCGACTTGGCCTCTCAAAGTGTTAGGATTACAGACGTGAGCGACTGTGCCTGGCTTTACATCGTACATTTACTCTTTATACATGTTTTTTTTGTATGTCATACCTTTACAGTCATTATTCTTCTTGATGTTCATATCTCCCCATCTTTGGCCAGTTAGAGCATTTCCAAGTGAGCTCCTGTGTCCTTTTGACAAGACCCCAGTAATCGTTCTGCTTTTAGATAGAATAAGATGTTTGAGGATTCTTTTATACAACTTTACCCTAGACCTGAACTCAGACATCTCTCCAAGGAGCCCTGATTCCCTTCAGTGAGAAACGCTATTTAGAGACTATTGTCTGCAAAACTGTGTACATTGAGTTTTCATTGCTTTAAGGCCTTTTCAGTGTCCAATGCTAGGAAAAAGGTATTTTTAAGAAAGAGAAAAATAGGCCGGGCTCAGTGGCTCACACCTGTAATCCCAGCACTCTGGGAGGCCAAGGCGGGTGGATCACGAGGTCAGGAGATCGAGACCAGCCTGGCCAACATAGCGAAACCCCATCTCTACTAAAATACAAAAAATTAGCCGGGCGTGGTGGCGCGTGCCTGTAGTCCCAGCTACTCGGGAGGCTGAGGCAGGGGAGTTGCTTGAACCCGGGAGGCAGAGGTTGCAGTGAGCCAAGATCGTGCCACTGCACTCCAGCCTGGTGACAGAGTGAGACTCTGTTTCAAAAAAAAAGAAAAAAAACAAAACAAAGAAAGAGAAAAATAAATCATGACAATATCCTGATATTTCTCTATTCAAATAAAAGAAAAGAGGATTTTGAGATAACTTTCTGGATTTAATAGTGGTTTTTAAATTCATACACTGAGTCATGGCTCCTATCAACAGTAACATAAATGATTTACTTTTTCAAGTTTCAGAAAAACAAAACCATTATAACTATCAATAACACTACTACTGAATGCAGTATCGGGGTGTGTATGTGTGTTTTAATCTTGTGAAATATCCCATTAGGGATGTATGGTCAAAATACTGTTTTTGTTTGTTTGTTTTGTTTTGTTTGAGATGAAGTTTTTCCGCTCTTGTTTTCCAGGCTGGAGTGCGGTGGCACCATCTCGGCTCACTGCAACCTCTGCCTCCCGGGTTCAAGCGATTCTCCTGCCTCAGCTTCCTAAGTAGCTGGGATTATGGGCGCCTGCCACCATGCCTGGCTAATTTTTGTATTTTTAGTAAGGACGGGGTTTCACCATGTTGCCCAGGCTGGTCTCGAACTCCTGACCTCAAGTGATCCACCCGCCTTGGCCTCCCAAAGTGCTGGGATTACATGAAATCATTCTTTAGATGGTTGAGTAGCAATTTGACATACAGAAAGGTTCTTTTATTTGTTTAAGTTTTAGATGGTTTTTAAATTTATTTTTAGCTATGTAAAATTATGTAGCTCTGAAGTTAACAACTGTGAAACAAGGCACATTATATGTACTGTATATATATTTGTATTGTCCCACCTTTTTTCTGTACAACATGTAGCATATCTTAAATACTTCTTCTACATTGTTCTTTTCATTTAAAAATATATCCTGGAAAGCCGGGCGTATTACATGGCTCACGCCTGTAATCCCAGCAGTTTGGGAGGCTGAGGTGGGCAGATCACGAGGTCAGGAGTTCAAGACCAGTCTGATCAACATGGTGAAACCCCGTCTCTACTAAAAATACAAAAATTAGCCGTGCATGGTGGCACGCGCCTGTAATCCCAGCTACTCAGGAGGCTGAGGCAGGAGAATTGCTTGAACCCAGGAGATGGAGGTTGCAGTGAGCCGAGATCACACCACTGCACTCCAGCCTGGGTGACAGAGCAAGACTCCATCTCAAAAAAAAAAAAAAAAAAGTGTGTATTTATATATATATATATATCCTAGAGATCACTCCATAGAAGTGTGAAGAGATGTTCTTTATTCCTTTTTGTACCTGTAGAATATGCTTATCTTTTGGAGGCAACATAGTTTAGCCAGTTCTCTGTTGATGGATATTTGGATTATTTCCAGATTTTTTGCTGTTAAACATGGTTCAGCAATAAATGGCCTTGTTCATAAGTCACTTCATATTTTGCCAGCATAATTTTTTTTTCTTATTCTTTCTTTTCTTACAAGAAAACCAAAGAAGCTGGCTGGGTACAGTGGCTCATGCCTGTAATCCCAGCACTTTAAGAGGCCGAGGTGGGTGGATCGCCTGAAGTCAGGAGCTTGAAACCAGCATGGCCAACATGGAGAAACTCTATCTTTACTAAAAATACTAAATTAGCCAGGCGTGGTGGCGCATGCCTGTAGTACCAGCTCCTTGGGAGGCTGAGGCAGGAGAATTGCTTGAACCTGTGAGGCAGAGCTTGCAGTGAGCTGAGATTGCACCATTGCTCTCCAGCCTGGGCGACAAGAGTGAAACTCCATCTCAAAAAAAAAAAAAAAAAAAAAAAAAAGAAGAAAACCAAAGAAGCCAAGCCAGCATAATTTAGAAAACACTTTATTGAAATATAATTCACATACCATAACATTCATCCATGTGAAGTATACAATTCAGTGGTTTTTACTGTATTCACTGGGATGTACAACCATGACCACAATCAATTTTAGAACATTTTCATCACCCAAGAGAAACTCCATACATATTAGCAGTCACTCCTCGTTCTTCCCTGCCTTAGCCCTAGGCAACCACTCATCTACTGTCTATGTCTATTCTGAACATTTATATAAATGAAATCATACACTGTGTGGTCTTTTGTGGTTGACTTCTTTCACTTAGCATAATGTTTTCAAGGTTCAGGCATGTTCAGGCATAACCTTAAAAAGGAATAAAGAACTGTTATGTACTACAACATGGCTGTTTTAGGTAAATATATACTCATTTGCTTCCGGCTACTTTAGCTTAACATTATGTTTGTGAGAGACATCCATTTTGTTACATATGTTTGTAGTTCATTCTTCCTCATTACTGTATACCATTCCATTACCTGAATATGCCATAATCCATTCTGTTGTAGATGCTTCTAGTTTCTGGTTCTTCTTCTTTTTTTTTTCTGAGACAGAGTCTTGCTCTGTTGCCCAGGTTGGAGTGCAGTGGTGCGATCTCAGCTCACTGCAACCTCTGCCTCCCAGGTTCAAGCGATTCTCACACCTCAGCCTTTGGAGTAGTTGGGAGTACAGGTGTGTGCCACTGCTACCATACCTAGCTACTTTTTCTTTTTTTCAAGACAAGAGTCTCGCTATGTCACCCAAGCTGGAGTGCAGTGGCGCAATCTCGGCTCACTGCAACCTCCACCTCCCAGGTTCAAGTGATTCTTCTGCCTCAGCCTCCCAAGTAGCTGGAACTATAGGCACCTGCCATCACGCCTCACTGATTTTTTTGTGTGTGTGTGTTTTTAGTAGAGACTGGGTTTCACTGTGTTGGCCAGGCTGGTCTTGAACTCCTGACCTCGTGATTTGCCTGCCTCAGCCTCCCAAAGTGATGGGATTACAGGTGTGAGCTACCGCGCCTGGCCTCCCCTGGCTAATTTTTGTATTTTTAGCGAGACAGGGTTTTGCCATGTTAGTCAGGCTGGTCTCATCCTGGTCTCAGGTGATCCACTCGCCTCAGCCTCCCAAAATGCTGGGATTACAGGCTTGTAGAACTCTTCTCTATGATGACTTTGGTGGTCAATCATGACTCCATGTATTTGCCAAAACCCACAGAGCCGGCTGGGTGTGGTGACTCACGCCTGTAATCCCAGCACTTTGGGAGGCCGAGGCGGGCAGATCACGAGGTCAGGAGTTCGAGACCAGCCTGGCCAACATGGTGAAACCCCATCTCTACTAAAAAAAATAAAAAAATTAGCTGGGCATGATGGCGTGCGCCTGTAATCCCAGCTATTCCAGAGTCTGAGGCAGGAGAATTGCTTGAACCTGGGAGGCAGATGTTGTAGTGAGCCGAGATCACACCACTGCACCCCAGCCTAGGTCACAGAGCAAGACTCTGTCTCGGCGGGGAAAAAAAAAACCCACAAAGCCATACACCACAAAGAATGAATTTTCCTGCATATAAGTTGAAAATATGTAGTGAAAGAGAATAGTGCTGCTATGAACCTTCTTGTGTATATATCACACATTTCTATTTTATATACCTAGCAGTAAAATTGTTGGGTTATGGGTTCTGTTTTTGTAAATATTGCTAGATAGTTATTCATAGTGATTGTACCAGTTTTCCCTCTAGCATTGCATAAAAGTTCTAGTTGTTCCATATCTGGTATTGTCTATCTTTTCATTTTAATCATCCTGGTGGGTGTGTAGTTGTATCACATTATGGTTTAATTTATATTTTTCTGACGATTGGTTTATTGAAATTTTGGATATTGTCTTTCATAAAGCACTTGTGTGTTTTGCTCATTTATCTTTGAGTTGTCTTTTTCTTATTAATTTGTAGAAGTTCTTTATATATTCTGAAAACAAGTACTTGGTTAGATAAATGTACTGCAGATATCTTCTACTCTGTACAGAATACCAAGATACTGATCACTCTTAATTTTTTTTTTTTTTTTGAGACAGAGTTCCTCTCTTGTCACTCAGGCTAGAGTGCAATGGCGCAGTCTCAGCTCACTGCAACCTCCACCTCCTGGGTTCAAGTGATTCTTCTGCCTCAGCCTCCTGAGTGGCTGGGATTACAGGCGCCTGCCACCACGCCCAGCTAATTTTTGTATTTTTAGTAGAGATGGGGTTTCACCATGTTGGCCAGGCTGGTCTCGAACTTCTGACCTCAGGTGATCCACCCGCCTCGGCCTCCCAAAGTGCTGGGATTACAGGCATGAACCACTGCGCCTGGCCCACCCTTAATTTTTTTTAAATTATTGAACAGAAATTATTAATTCTGATGTAGTCCAGTATATCTTTTTTTTCCACTTAATGGTTAGCAGTTTTTGTATCTTGTTTAAGTTCCTTTTCTATCCTAAGGCAGGAAGAGAGTATCCTATGTTTTCTTCTAAAAGCTTTATTGTTTGGCTTTTAACATTTGAATCTCTAGTCCATCTTGGAACTGATTTTTTGTTGTTGTTGTTTGATGAAGGTAGGCATCAATATTAATTTTTCTCTTTATGGATATCTGCAAACTGACCATGCACCATTTATTGAAAAAACTATTTTCCCCCTGCACTGTCACCTTTGTCATAAATCTAGTGACTCTCAGCATAGTTTTGATTTATGAGTGAGGTTGAGGATCATTTTCTTTTCTTTTGAGACGGAGCCTCGCTCTGTCACCAGGCTGGAGTGCAGTGGCATGATCTTGGCTCACTGCAACCTCTGCCTCCCAGGTTCAAGCAATTCTCCTGCCTCAGACTCCCAAGTAGCTGGGACTACAGGTGTGCACCACCACGCCTAGCTAATTTTTGTATTTTTAGTAGAGATGGGGTTTCACCATGTTGGCCAGGATGGTCTCGATCTCTTGACCTCGTGATCCACCCACCTCCACCTCCCAAATTTCTGGGATTACAGGCATGAGCCACTGCACCCGGCCTTTTTTCTTTCTTTTTTTTTTTTTTAAGACAAGGTCTCACTCTGTCACTCAGGTTGGAGTGCAGTGTCACGATCACAGCTCATTGCAGCCTAGACCTCCTCAGGCTCAGGTGATCCTCCCGCCTCAGCCTCCCAAGTTGCTGGGACCAAAGGCATGCACCACTGTATCTGGCTAATTTTTTCTATTTTTTGTAGTGACCAGGTCTCACTATGTTGCTGGGCTGAGCTCAAACTCCTAGGCTCAAGTGATGTGCCTGCTTTAGCCTCCCAAAGTGTTAGGATTATAGGCGTGAGCCACTGTGCCCAGCGTTTTTTCTTTTCTTCTTTTTCTTTTTTTTTTCTGAGACAGGGTCTGACTCTGTCACCCTGGCTTGAGTGCAGTGGCGCAATCTTGGCTCACTGCAGCCTCAATCTCCTGGGCTCAAGCGATCCTCCTATCTTAGCCTCTCAAGTAGCTGGGACTACAGGCATGCACCACCACGACCTGGCTAATTTTTAAATTTTTTTGTAGAGAGTTTTTGTAGAGAGGGCATCTCCCTTTGTTGCCCAGGCTGGTCTCAAACTCCTGGGCTCAAATGATCCTCCACCTCGGCCTCCTAAAGTGCTGGGATTACAGGTGTGAGTCACTGTGCCCAGCCTCTTTATGTTTAATATCTATTTGCATTTATTTCTTCTGTGACCTGTCCATACTTGGTCCCACTTTTATCAGGCTCTTGCTCTATTTTCTCTCTGGTTTTTGAAGTTCTTTATACATTAGGGATATTAGTTCTTGGTGACATAAATTCCAAATATATATTTTTTTTCAGTTTGAATTTTCAGACCTCCTTTTATCTCTTGTAATGAGCAGTGATTTCACCTACATGTCAAGAATTGCTGTTTTCTTCACATCTAGAGGGACTTTGTTTCCTTCATTCCTCTCCTTTTGCCATTTCTGTCCTCTCACTGTAGAAGTATAGCTATATTCTTTGGGAAGCACAGTTGATCCTTGAATAGCACAAGTTTGAGCTACATGGGTCCATGCATATGCGGATTTTTTTCAACCAAATGCAGATCAAAATATTGCAGGGTGCCACCCACATAGATAGTTGACTTTTCATATATGCAGGTCCCTCAGGGTTGGCTGTGGGATTTGAGCAGATTTTGGTATAGGAGATGGTACTGGGGGCTCCTGGAACTTCACATACCAAGGGATGACTGTATTTGACAGGGTCAAGGTGGGACTGATTTTGAACCTCTTATTCACCTGACTGTACTACTTTTCTTACCACTACTTATGCAGAGTATGCTCCATCATTGAAGATTTTTTTTTTTTTTGACACCAGGTCTTGCTGTTGTGTCTTTGAAGATTTTATAGAAACCCTATGTCTCTTTTCTGTAGTTATACTTCCCCTCACAGACATTATCTAAATATTTAGATAGTTTGTGGTTTATAAAAAGATTTATCAATTTATTCTTTCTAACAGGAGGGAGATTGTTTCAAGGTCTTCCTCTTTTATTCCATTCTTAAAAAAAAATTTCTCATTAAAGAAAGTACTGTCCAGGTGCGGTGGCTCACGCCTGTAATCCTAGCACTTTGGGTGGCCGAGATGGGCAGATCACCAGGCCAAGAGATTGAGACCATCCTGGCCAACATGGGGAAACCCCGTCTCTACTAAAAATACAAAAATTAGCTGGGAGTGGTGGCGCGTGGCTCCCAGCTACTTGGGAGGCTGAGGCAGGAGAATACCTTGAACCTGGGAGGTAGAGATTGCAGGTGGCCGAGATCGCGCCACTGCACTCCAGCCTGGTGACAGAGTGAGACTCCGTCTCAAAAAAAAAAAAAAAAAAAAAAAAAAATTACTGCAGCCAAGCACAGTGGCTCATACCTGTGATCCCAGCTATTTCAGAGGCTGAGACGAGAGGATCACTTGAGGCCAGGAGTTCAAGGCTGCAGTGAGCTGTGATCATGCCGCTGTACTCCAGCTTGGGTAACAGAGCAAGAACCTGTCTCAAAAAAATAAAAAGACTACTGTATTATCATTATAAAATAATTTAAACATCTAATATGAAGACTGTGCAGAAAGTCTCCCATAATTCTGATTGTTGGTCTACCTCATTTGTTGTAGTGAATATGGCTTTGCCGAAAAGGTGGTGGAAGGGATGTTCATCATTGTCAATTCTATCACCATCAAGATTCACTCCAAGGCCTTCCACGCTTCTTTTGAATTGTGGCAGCTCCAGGGCTATAGTGTCAACCCCAACTGGCAGCAGAGTGACCTTCGCCTTACCCGCATCACTGACCCCTGCCGAGGAGAGGTGACAGCCCCATCATTGTGAAGGGAGAGAATGGGGGAATATTCAAAGTCAGACTGATTCTTAAAGGATATTATTCCCATTTTGTGGATTTCCTCAAATGTTCCCCATTCCTGGGAACCCAGAGGCCTTTCTGTCCAGTGTTACTGCTACATCCTTTCCTCAATTATGGATCCCCAATTCACTGCTTTTTCTTGGTGGGATCCCAACTGAGAGTGCTGGGAGTCTCTGCCTTGCCAGTCTTTTTTCCTTGGACTTCTTGCTTCTTGGTTAATTTCATTCACAGGATTAAGGGATTGTACTTTCTCTCCTTCCAGGTTTTAACATTTAAGGAAATAACTTGGCAAACACTCCGAATTGAGGCAGATGCTACAGACAATGGTGATCAGGACCCAGTCACCACTCCATTGAGGCTTATTACGAACCAAGGCAGGATCCAAATAGCCCTCAAAAGAAGAGTAAGTGTGTTCTCTGGCCTCATGAAAACTTCCATCTCTTATTCTATGAGACAGCCTGGATTTGGTATTCCCTTATTGTTTGGAATGTTATTGGCCCTGGAATGACAGTTGAAGGGGGAAGGCCTGTAAATCAGTGTTGCTCAACATCCTCTAGTAATAGAATGTTTCCACCTTCCTGTTTTCTTAGTTTTGGAAACTGCAATTTTTACTCGTATGTAGGGACACTGACATAGGCACCTGGCAGTTGACTATTGCTTTTTTTTTAATTAAGGAAACTTTAGTAGTTTTATAAGAAATTGTCTCTCCAAAGTGCTTGATACTTTCACATATTGGAGATTGAAAAGCCGCTTCTGAAACTGATTGGGCAACAGTCACTTTGAAAGTTGGAATGATACGAGGTGATAAACCCCATGTTGTCTGTGGCTTCCTCAGACCAAAGATTGCAATGTGATATCCTCCAAGCTGATGTTCCTGTTGGATGACCTGCTCTGGGTGCTGACTGACTCACAGCTCAAGGCTATGATGAAGTATGCAGAGTCACTGAGTGAAGCCATGGAGAAGTCAGCCCATCAAAGAAAGAGCCTGGCCCCTGAACCTGTGCAGGTTAGAGATAAAACAGACACCCTTAGTGGGGCTAGGGACTCAGTAGGCCAGACCTAACTCATACTAATGTAGGTGGAATCTAGACTTTATTTGGGAAATTTGTCATTTACTTCTGGGTATTCATAGGCTTTGCCTGCACCTCTGATTTTTTATTTATTCTGTTCATTGGGTACCTCCAGTGTATTAAGTATACAGTGCTGGCCACTGGAGAAGAAAAATGGAATACACCTCTTGTTCCTGTCCTTGGGGCTCTCACTGTCTTGAAAGATGGACCATAAATGAATTATTACAGTATGGTGTGATAAATGCTGTAATACAATAAACAATATGCCATGAGAGCACAAAGAAGAGGCATCTCACTACATAGGCTGAAAGAGAGCATTTAGGGAAGACGTCCTAGAGGAAATGTTTTAGCATCAGTCCACTAAGACCTGGTGGGCGAGAGCTGGGAGGGCAATTCAGAACTATGAACTGTATTCCAGCAGTTATTAGACTAATTATAATTAGGCTTTTGGAGTTTGGGTTATATAATTGAAACGGACCTAAGTGAGCTACTAGGCCAACAGTTGTGAGAGGGAAGGAACATCTTGCTAAACTGTGGTTTTCTTCAGGCTGGACCAAAGCTTAAAGAAAGCCTACAAAGGATCTTTTCAGGGTCTGGACTTCCTGTTTCTCTCTCTGTCACATGTAGATCACTCCACCAGCCCCCAGTGCCCAGCAGTCCTGGGCCCAGGCATTTGGTGGCAGCCAGGGCAACAGCAACAGCAGCAGCAGCCGCCTCAGCCAGTACTTTGAGAAATTTGATGTGAAAGAGTCCTCCTACCATCTGCTCATCTCCCGCCTGGACCTGCACATTTGTGATGATAGCCAGTCCCGAGAGCCAGGTACCCCATGAGGCCTGAGCCTGGGCTGGGTGGTCCACGTCACTGTCTAGCTCTGGGCAGAGCCTGGGGATGAAGGCTCTTTTCAGAAGACATTGTGGAGTACTTTGGTTGGCTTCCCTTAATCACAGG
The DNA here is from genome assembly GCF_000001405.40 of Homo sapiens. Classification (NCBI taxonomy): domain Eukaryota; kingdom Metazoa; phylum Chordata; class Mammalia; order Primates; family Hominidae; genus Homo; species Homo sapiens. Next base: position 34,836,478 of record NC_000006.12, read on the forward strand.
CATTCCTTGGGCCTCAGCCCTCCTGTGGTAGCCCTGTTGTTTGAGGCAGTGCTGTTCAGTCTTTAGGGTACAGTAGAACCACATGTCATACTTAATAAAATACAGATGTTGGGCCTCTCCCCAAACACCTCTAAATTAGAGTCTTCAGTGGTAGAGTTCAAGCAGTGTAAACTTTTTTTTCCCCTCACCAAAGTTCCTTAGGCAATCCTGATGCTTATCAGAGGTTGAAAACGACTAGGGTGAGATTTTAGGAAAGTAAATTCAACTATAGAAAACCTCAGAATTTGTAGATTTGGGTCAGTTTAAATATTTATTGTGTGTAAATGTTCTCTTCCCAAGCAAGGTTATGTTGTAATCTCGACATACTTAGAACAACTGCCATTATATATGTGTTTGTATTTATTCAGAATGAAAAAAACTAATTGACTGATTGCTTTCCTTTATGAGCCCTGGGGAAACCACTTAATTTTCTGCTTAACCTGTTTGAGTTTCCACATTCGTGAAATTGAGTTAAATGATGTCTCACTCATTACCTCAAAAGTTGTTGTCAGGCTCAAATGAGCCAATAGGCTGAATTTGGAGGACCTTGATTATAGGCTAATATTAAGTTTTATTACCCTGCTGCTTGTTTCTTCAAAACTATCTTTGTGTTTCCTTTAAACTCTCCATTGCCATCAGTTCTTGGTTTTTGATGCTTATATATGATATTAAATAGACTTTTCTCTTGCTGGCTTATCTTCTCTAAAGGCTTTGTTTACCTTATAATAAGATCTAGATTCACTGGCCAGGCACAGTGGCTCATGACTGTAATCTCAATACTTTGGGAGGCTGAGGTGAGAGGATTGCTTGAGCTTAGGAGTTTGAGACCAGCCTGGGCAACATGGCGAAACCCGTCTCTACAAAAAATTTGAAAATTAGCCAGAGATCAGCTGCAGTGGGCTCACGCCTATAGTCCTATCACTTTGGGAGGCTGAGGTGGGAGGATTGCTTAAGCCCGGGAGTTTGAGACCAGCCTGGGCAATATAGTGAGACTCCATCTCTTAAAAAAAAATTAGCCAGGTGTGGTGGTGTGTCCCTGTAGTTCTAGCTACTCAGGAGGCTAAGGTGGGAGAATTGCTTGAGCCCAGGAGCTCAAGGTTGCAGTGAGCCATGATTTGTGCCACTACACTCCAGCCTGGGTGACACAGTGAGACCCTGTTTCAAAAAAAAAATAATCTTGAAGTGATTTCAACCCTCCTCTACTCTCATTCTGAAAGGAAAGAAAGGAGCAATGACAGTGCAAAGATTGTTTTTGCCACCACAGGAAATAATTTGCCACTCACTCATTTTGGAAGTTTGTTACTAAAACAAGTATTATTTTGTTTAGTTATTTCTTCCAAGTGTTACTTAAAGGCTTTGGGTATTTTTTGGTTTGATTGTTTGTTTAGATTTTGTTTTTAATGCTTTCAGAATTCCTAATTAAGAGTACACAATTCAGAGTTTCATCCTGTCGCTTGATAAGGGATGTTTAGTACTATTCTCTTCAAGTGCCAGAGTTCTGTAATCCATACTAAGATGTGAATGACTGTAGCTTCACCGTTCATTTATTAAACTATATTGATCTTTTTGGTGGAATTTAATGAAGTTTTAGATGAGACATTTTATTTTATTTTTACAATGCAATTATTTATCTTACAAGGAGATTCTGTACATCAGGGAGGCATCTTGAAGTACAATACACCAGGCTTTCATTTCTTCTTACATTATGATTGTGAGTTTCCATATAAGTTGGTACTTACATGGAAAGGAAACACAAAATCCATTTTTATATACATAAAACAAACACCCAAAGAGACTTGACCCCAAAATGTCTTGTTTCACTTGAAAAGAACATGAATGAGATGAAAGATGAACCAGATTACTTGGTGACACACAGAAGGCAAACAAGTAGCTCAGGAAATCAAATCCTGTTTCAAGCTTGGCACATTAAGGGTAAGAAAGGTAGTGAAAGAAGGGTTTGAAAATATCATCTCAAGCCACAAAAAATGCTGGCAGAAGACAGTCTCCAAACCAATAAGATAGAATGGTTAGAAGAAGTCAAGTTAGAGTTATTGTGTGGCTACCTTATATCCAGACCTCTAATAGACTGAGTGGAATTGTCACTTCTTTTCCCTCAGTTATCCCAAGTGTTAGTAAACTTCAAGGAGGCTGGGCACGATGACTTACACCTGCAATCTCAGAACTTTGGAAGGCCAAGATGGGCAGATTCCTTGAGCCCAGGTGTTCAAGACCAGCCTGGGCAACATCGCAAAACCTCATCTCTAAAAAACCACAAAAATCAGCTGGGCGTGGTGGCACACACCCGTAGTCCCAGCCACTCAGACTGAAGCGGGAGGATCGCTTGGCAGAGGTTGCTCTGAGCCAAGATTGTGCCACTGCACTCCAGCATGGGTGACAGAGCGAGACCCAATCTCCAAAAAGAAATCAAAACCAAACAAAAAACTTCAAGGAAGGCCGGGCATGGTGGCTCATGCCTATAATCCCAGCACTTTGGGAGGCCAAGGCGGGTGGATCACCTGAGGTCAGGAGTTTGAGACCAGCCTGACCAACATGGAGAAACCCCGTCTCTACTAAAAACACAAAATTAGCTGGGCATGGTGGCACATGCCTGTAATCCCAGCTACTTGGGAGGCTGAGGCAGGAGAATTGCTTGAACCCGGGAGGCGGAGGTTGCAGTGAGCCGAGATGGCGCCATTGCACTCCAGCCTGGGCAACAAGAACAAAACTCCATCTAGATAGACATTTTAAAATACGGGAATAATTCTCAGCCTACCATACCCGGGTGTGGTATAGGGGCAGAGATCAGGGAGAGTTCTTGTAACTCTTTCTCTGGGATTTGGGGAGAAAGGGGAAGGGAGAACTAGGTAATATAGAAAGGGCTTTAAGATTTTCTGGAGTTGTTCTGTCCAATATAGTAGCCACTAACCACGTGTGACTACTGGACACTTGAAATGTGGCTGATTCAAATTGAGATGTTCTGTAAATGTAAAATACACATTGGATTTCAAAGATATGTGTCAGGTCCATGACTATGCCAAATGTCATGCCCAGGGTTAGGTTCCAGCCCATGCTGAGGTCGAGGGGAGTGGGTGGATGGGCAGATAGCCGAAAGAACACTCGGTCGGTGGGGTGGGGCACTGCCAGGGGGTAGGCAGGTGAAATGTACTTTTATTTAGCAGCTCTCTCATCAACAGCTCTCTCGCACTGGCCCGGCTGCTTGTCCGGGTGCTCGCATGCATAAAGCTGCGCGGGTGGCTCTCCCTTACCTTCAGAGTCAGCAGCTTAACTCTTTCCCTCTGGGCACAACCCAGTTCCTGGCTCTCCCTTGCCTGTCTGCCAGACGGCCAGTCTCCCTTACAGGGGTCAATAGCTTCACTCTGTCTGGGCGCCAGCGCCTGTACAAGAGCTGTGCCATGCCGTGCTGTGCCGTGCCGTCCAAGCTGAGCCCCAAGAGCATAGCATCAGCAGGGCAGTTACACCTTTTACAGACAATAGTGGTACAGGGCCAAGGGATGACCTTCCTATGTTATGGCTACATGGCTGTGATAACAGGTGGAGTTATATGCCTGTGCTCTAAACTTGCTGAGTCATGCAGGCCTGGACATCTGCCTAGGCATATTCCTTGACCAAAGCACATCCATGTACTTTACAATATGGTACCAAAAAAAGAGTGTAAACCACCTCAATAATTATTTTCATGTTGATTCCATGTTGAAATAACATTTGGGTATATTGGTTTAAATACATATTATTGGCCAGGCTTGGTGGCTCACGCGTGTAATCCCAGCAGTTTGGGATGCCAAAGGCGGGTGGGTCACCTGAGGTCAGGAGTTTGAGACCAGCCTGGCCAACATGGTGAAACCCCGTCTCTACTTAAAAAAAAAAAAAAAAATACAAAAATTAGCTGGGCGTGGTGGCAGGCACCTGTAATCCCAGCTACATGGGAGGCTGAGGCAGGAGAATTGCTTGAACCCAGGAGGTGGAGGTTGCAGTGAGCCAAGATTGCGCCATTGCACTCCAGCCTGGGGGACAAGAGCGAGACTTTGTCTCAAAAAATAAATAAATAAAATAAAAATAAATACATATTATTACAATTAATTTCACTTTTTATTTTCTTGAGACAGAGTCTCGCTCTGTCGCCCAGGCTGGAGTGCAGTGGCACAATCTTGGCTCACTGCAAGCTCTGCCTCCCGGGTTCATGCCATTCTCCTGCCTCAGCCTCCCGAGTAGCTGGGACTACAGGTGCCCGCCACCACGCCCGGCTAATTTTTTTGTATTTTTAGTAGAGATGCAGTTTCACCGTATGAACCAGGATGCTCTCGATTCCCTGACCTTGTGATCCGCCTTGGCCTCCCAAAGTGCTGGGATTATAGGCGTGAGCCACCACGCCAGGCTAATTTCACTTTTTAAATACTGCTTTCATATAGCTATTAGAAAATTTAAAATTTCTTGTGTAATTATATTGTTGTTGTCGTTGTTGCTTTTGTTTTGTTTTGTTTTACAGTAGAGGCTCACTACATTCCCCAGGCTGGTCTCTTTAACTCCTGGGCTCAAATAATCTTCTCGCCTAAGCCGCCTGGGTAGCTGGGACTATAGGCACATGCCACCAAGTCCAGCTCACATTATTTTTATTTTAATTTTATTATTTTTTTTGATTCTCACACCTCAGCCTCCCGAGTAGTTGGGATTACAGGCACCCACCACCACGCCTGGTTGATTTTTTTGCATTTTCAGTAGCAATGGGGTTTCACTATGTTGGCCAGGCTGGTCTTGAACTCCTGACCTCAAGTGATCCGCCCACTTCAGCCTCCCAAAGTGTTGGGATTACAGGCGTGAGCCACTGTGCCCAGCCCCAGTCTATATTTCTATTAGATATCATTACTTTAGAATTATCTGTCCAATATGGTATTAAATTGCCACATGCAGCTATTTAAATTAAAATGAAAATTACAATTAAAAGTTCATTTTCATTTTAATTAAAATTAAAATTAGTTCTTTATTTGCTGTAGCCACATTTCAATTGCTCAGTATAGTCTATAAGCCATAGAACACTTCCATCATCACAGAAAGTTCTTTGGACAGTGCTGCTCTAGAGACCACTTGAAGGCCACACCTGGATGTTGGAACTGCTGACTAACATGCTCACCTATCCCTGGGTATTAGAGGTGAAATGATCGGAAACTGGATGGTTCATTGGGGTCAGCACTGTCTTGAGGTGGGACAGCATTGTCTTGTAAAATCAAACTGGATGGCAAAGATAGAAATAAGGCTTTCCCCAGAAAATAAAAAAAGAAAAAAATCAAACTGGAGCTCACATTTCAGTCTTCTGAGAGAAGATTGGTGATTGATGGGGAAGAGAGTACCACCTACTTTTTAACTGTTTTCTCTTAGGGTAAAGCCTGTTAGCCAAAAACCTTCCTTATTTCTCTTTTTTAAGGGCAGGCTATTCTCTTCCCACTAGTTCACTAGAGAATTTTAGTCATTTATATACACTATTTACCATTTATATCTCATATATGATTATGTGTTTACAATTAGATATGTTGATAATTGTTAATTATATTTGATTCCAATTCTACACCCTACTATAATAAGCTCATTCCATATAGTTTATTGTTCTTTTAGCTCTAAGCAACTCCAGCAGAGGAGGCATTGTTGTGGAACCTTCTTCCTCCAGTAGCCTAGGTCATGCATTCTCAGCTGAGATAATATCACCCCAAACAGGTGAAAATTGGCTCTTTTCTTTTAAGCTGTATTGAGATACAATCTCACACCATACAATTCATCCATTTACAATATATAACTCAGTGTATTTTGATATATTCATAGGGTTGTATAACGATCTCAATAATCTAATTTCAGAACATTTTTGTTTCCCTTAAAAGAAACCCTGTATCCATTTGCTGTCACTCCCCATTTTGAATCCCTAAGCAACCACTAATCTATTTTTGATATTTGCCTATTCTGGAAATTAAAAATTGGTTTCGGGGGTGCAGTGGGGATCTTAGATATAACAATCATCTGTGGCCCTCTAAAGCTTAACCCAGCCAGGCACGGTGGCTCACACCTGTAATCCCAGCACTTTGGGAGGCCGAGATGGAAGATTGCTTGAGCCCAGGAGTTCTATTTTTTTTTTAATTAAAAAGTAAAAATAAAGTTTAACCTGACTGACAAAATTTTATTCCTTAGTACTTAGTTTATCTCATTGAGCAGCACTGACAGTGAGTTCATGGAAGATACACAAAATGTGTGGAAGATCAGTGTTACAAACTATGACAAGTAGATGGCTGTGGTTAGAGGACTTTCTCTCAATCAGTTGCTCCATCTCAGAGTTATATGGTGAGAGGTGGCTTGCAACTGCCTGTTGCCTGCCATTGGCTGCTTTGCTAGTGTTACTTATGTTTGATCCTCAGTACTTTTGTGATTTGAACTTTGAGTATTAAATAAAAATAGTTTATTTTAAAATTTTATTTATTTATTTTTTTGAAACAGGGTCTTGTTCTGTTGCCCAGTCTGGAGTGTCATGGCATGATCATAGTTCACTGAAGCCTCAACTTCCCAGACTCAAACGATCCTCCCACGTCAGCCTCCCAAGTAGCTGGGACTATAGGCATGTGTCACCACACCTGGCTAATTTTTGTATTTGTTGTAGAGATGAGGTCTCGCTATGTTACCAGGGCTGGTCTTGAACTCCTGAGCTCAAGCAATCCTTCTGCCTTGGCCTCCCAAAATGTTGGGATTATGGGTGTGATCCACTGTGCCTGGCCTATGTTACTTTTATTTTTTTTTTGCCCACATATCTATATACAATTCAGAAAATAGTTTATGTTTTATTATTTAATTCTGTAATAGTTATTCAATTCATCATTAAGTTAATCAAGTGCTGAAAAAATGTTGACACTACTCAATGAGTAATAGTTTAAAAGTTATTTTCTTTTTTCTTTTTAATTTTTATGGGTGATAGGTTATATGTTTATGGGATATATGAGATATTTTCATGCAGGCATACGATACATAATAATCACATCAGGGTAAATCGGTTATCTATCACCTCAAGCATTTATCATTTATTTGTGTTACAAACATTCTAATTTTACTCTTTTAGTTATTTTTAAATGTACAATAAATTATTGTTGACTTAGGTTGCTTCCAAATCTTGGCTATTATGAATAGTGCTGCAGTAAACATGAGAGTGCAAATATCTCCTGGGCATACTGATTTCATTTCCTTTGGATAAATATCCAGTAGTGGGATTGCCTGATCATATGGTAGTTCTATCTTTAGTTTTTTGAAGAACTTCCATACTGTTCTCCATAGTAGTTATACTAATTTACATTCCCACCAACAGTGTCCAGGGGTTCCCTTTTCTCTACATCTTTGCCACCATTCATTTTTGGTGTCTTTTGGATAAAAGCCATTTTTACTGGGGTAAGATGACATCTCATTGTAGTTTTATTTTGTTTTTGTTTTTGTTTTTGTTTTGAGATGGAGTCTCACTCCATTGCCCAGGCTGGAGTGCAGTGGCGTGATCTTTGCTTACTGCAAGCTCCGCCTCCCAGGTTCACACCATTCTCCTGCCTCAGCCTCCTGAGTAGCTGGGACTACAGGCGCCTGCCACCACGCCCGGCTAATTTTTTTTGTATTTTTAGTAGAGACGGGGTTTCACCATGTTAGTCAGGATGGTCTCAGTCTCCTGACCTTGTGATCCACCCACCTTGGCCTCCCAAAGTGCTGGGATTACAGGCGTGAGCCACCAAACCTGGCCTGGTTTGTTTTTGAGACAGAGTCTTGCTGTGTTGCCCAGGCTGGAGTCAGTGGCAAGATGTCAGCTTACTGCAACCTCTGCCTCTGGGGTTCAAGCAATTCTCATGCCTCACCCTCCCGAGTAGCTGGGATTACAGGCACTCGTGACCATGACAGACTAATTTTTGTATTTTTAGTAAAGACAGGATTTCACCGTGATGGCTAGGCTGGTCTTGAACTCCTGGTTTCAAGTGATCTGCCCGCCTCAGCTTCCTAAAGTGCTAGGATTACAGGCATGAGCCACTGTACCCAGCCTCATTGTAGTTTTGATTTTCATTTCTCTAATGATCCATGATATTGAGCACTTTTTCATATGCCTGTTTGCCATTTGTATGTCTTCTTTTGATACATGTCTATTCAGGTCTTTTGCCCATTTTTAATTGGATTATTAGATTTTTTTTCCTGTTAAATTCCTTATTTAGTCTAGTTATTAATCCCTTGCCAGATGAATAGTTTGCAAATGTTTTCTCCCATTCTGTGGGTTGTCTCTTCACTTTGTTGATTGCTTCTTTTTCTGTGCAGAGGCTTTTTAACTTAATGTCATCCCATTTGTCCATTTTTGCCATGGTTGCTTGTACCTTGGGAGCATTACTCAAGAAATCTTTGCCCAGACCAATGTTGTGGAGAGTTTCCCCAGTGTTTTCTTGTAGTAGTTTCATAGTTTGAGGTCTTAGACTTAAGTCTTTAATCCATTTTGATTTGATTTTCATATATGGCAAGAGATAGGGGTCTAGTTTCATTCTTCTACATATGGATATCCAGTTTTCCTAGAACCATTTATTGAAAAGACCATCCTTTCCCCAATGTATGTTCTAAGTACCTTTGTCAGTAATGAGTTCACTGTAGATATAGATGTATGGATTTGTTTCTGAGTTCTTTATTTTGTTCCATTGGTCTATATGTCTGTTTTTATGCCATGCTGTTTTGGTTATAGCACCGTAGTATAATTTGAAGTCAGGTAACGTGATTCCTCCAGTTTTCTTCTCTTTGCTCAGCTGGCTTGGCTATTCTGTTTTTGTTTGTTTGTTTGTTTGTTTGTTTTTTGTGGTTCCATGTACATTTTAGGATTACTTTTCCCATTTCTGCGAAGAATATCATTGGTATCTATTTTTGTTTTGAGACAGGGTCTTGCTCTGTTGCCCAGGCTGAATTGCAGTGGTACAATCATGGCTCACTGCAGCCTCAACCTCCTGGGCTCAAGTGATCCTTCCACTTCAGCCTCCTGAATAGCTGGGACTATAAGTGCACACCACCATGCCTGGCTAATTTTTAAATTATTATTATTATTATTTTTTGAGATGGAGTCTTGCTCTGTCACCCAGGCTGGAGTGCAGTGGTACAATCTTGGCTCACTGCAAGCTCCACCTCCCAGGTTCACGCCATTCTCCTGCCTCAGCCTCCTGAGTAGCTGAGACTACAGGCGCCCACCACCACGCCTGGCTAATTTTTTGTATTTTTTAGTAGAGACGGGGTTTCAGCGTGTTAGCCAGGATGGTCTCGATCTCCTGACTTTGTGATCCACCAGCCTCGGCCTCCCAAAGTGCTGGGATTACAGGCGTGAGCCACCGCGCCCGGCCTAATTTTTAAATTTTTTATAGAAATGAAGTCTCCCTATGTCACCCAGTCTGGAGTTGTTGGTATTTTGATAGGGATTGCATTGAATCTGTAGGTTGCTGGGGTGGTATAGGCAATACGGATTCTCTAATCCATGAACATGGAATATCTTTCCATTTTTTTGTGTCCACTTCCATTTCTTTTCCCTCCCCTCCCCTCCCCTCCCCTCCCCTCCCCTCCCTTTCCCTTCCCTTCCCTCCTTCCTTCTTTCCTTGCTTCCATTTTTTTTGAGACAGAGCCTTGCTCTGTCACCCAGGCTGGAGTACTGTGGCGCAATCTCAGCTCACTGCATCCTCCACTTCCCAGGTTCAAGCGATTCTCCTGCCTCAGCCTCTGGAGTAGCCGAGAATACAGGCACCCACCACCACGCCTAGCTAATTTTTGTATTTTTAGTAGGGATGGGGTTTCACCATGTTGGCCAGGCTGGTCTCGAATTCTTGACCTCAAGTGATCCACCTGCCTTGGCCTCCCAAAGTACTGAGATTACAGGCATGAGCCCAGCCCTCCTCAGTTTCTTGTGTCAGTGTTTTATAGTTTTTGTTATAGAGATCTTTCACTTCTCTGGTTAAGTTTATTCCTATAAACTTAGGAATTGTAAATGGGGTTACTCTCTTGATTTCTTTTTCAGATTGTTTGCTGTTGGCATATTGAAATGCTACTGATTTTTGTGTATTGATTTTATATCCTGCAGCTTTACTGAATTTGTTTATTGGTTCTAATAGTTTTTTGGTGGAGTCTTTAGATTTTTTCAAATATAAGAGATCATATCATCTGCAAACAAGGATAATTTGACTTCTTCCTTTCCAATTTGGATACTCTTTATTCTTTCTGTTGTCTAATTGTTCTAGCTAGGACTTCCGGTACTATGTTGAATAACAGTGGTGAAAGTGGGCATCCTTATCTTGTTCCAAATATTACAGGAAAGGCTTTCAGTTTTCCCGCATTGAGTATGATAATAGGTACAGGTCTGTTGTATATACATTTTGTTATGTTGAGTTATGTTCCTTCCATACAGTTTTTTGAAGGTTTTTGTCATGAGGGATGTTGAATTTTATCAAGTGCTTTTTCAGTATCAGGTAAAATGATCATATATTTTTGTTCTTCATTCTGTGATATGTTGTATCTTATAGATTGATTTGCATATTTGGATCATTCTTGAATTCCTGGGATAAATCCCTGTTGGTCAGGATATATGGTCTCTTTAATGTGTGGTTGAATTCCATTTGCTAGTATTTTTTTGAGGATTTTTGCATCAGTGTTCATCAGGAAGATCGGCCTGTAGTTTTCTGTTTTCTTTTTCTTTTTTTTTTTCCAAGAACACTTTCATGTAGGAAGTTTTCTTTTTGATGTGTCTTTGTCTGATTTTGTTATCAGGGCATACTGGCTTCATAGAATGATTCTGGAAGTATTCCTCCTCTATTTTTTGGAATAATTTGAATAGGATAGGTATTAGTTCTTCTTTAAATGTTCGGTAAAATTCAGCAGTGAAGCTATTGGGTCCTGGGCTTTTCTTTGCTGGGAGACTTTTTATTATACCTTTGATCTCATTACTTGTTATTATCTATTCGGGTTTTGGATTTCTTCATGGTTTGATCTTAGTAGGCTGTATATAGCTAAGCATTTATCCTTTTCTTCTTGGTTTTCCAATTTATTGCTCATGGTAGTCTCTACTGATTTTTTGAATTTCTGCAGTATTGGTTATAGTGTCTCCTTTTTTGTCTCTGATTTTATTTATTTGGGTCTTCTCTCTTTTTTCTTAGTCTGGGGAAAAGTTTGTCAATTTTGTTTATCTTTTCAAAAAAACTTTTCCTTTTGTTGATCTTTTCTATTGTTTTTTTTTCAATTTCATTTATTTCTGCTTGATCTTTAGTATTTATTATTATTTATTTTCTTCTATTAATTTTGGATTTGGTGTCCTTGCTTTTCTAGTTCTTTAAGATGTACCATGAGGTTATTTACTTGAAATTTTTCTACTTTTCTTTTTTTCCTTTTTTTTTTTTTTTTTTTGAGATAGCCTCACTCTGTCACCCAGGCTGGATGCAGTGGCGTAATCTCAGCTCACTGCATCCTCTGCCTCCTGGGCTCAGATGATCCTCCAACCTCAGCCTCCCAAGTAGCTGAGACTACAGGCATGCACTACCATGCCAGGCTAATTTTTTTTTTTTTTTGTAGAGATGAGGTTTTGCCATGTTGCCCAGGCCTGTCTTGAACTCCTGGACTCAAGGGATCTGCCTGCCTTGGCCTCCCAAAATGCTAGGATTATAGGCTTGAGCCCGGGAGATAGAGGCTGCAGTGAGCTGTGATTGCACCAGTGCACTCCAGCCCAGGCAACAGAGCAAGACCCTGTCTCAAAAAAAAAAATAATAATAATCAATCAATCAATCAATCAGGGCCGGGTGCGGTCACTCATGGCTGTAATCCCAACACTTTGGGAGGCTGAGTGGGACAGATTACTTGAGGTCAGGAGTTCAAGACCAGCCTGGCTAACATGGCAAAATCCTGTTTCTACTAAAAATACAAAAATTAGCTTGGCATGGTGGCAGGCAGCTGTAATCCCAGCTACTTGGGAGGCTGAGGCAGGAGAATCACTTGAACCCGGGAGGTGGAGGTTGCAGTGAGCCAAGATTGTACCATTGCACTCCAGCCTGGGCGACAGAGTGAGACTTGGTCTCAAAAAAAAAAAAAAATACATAGCTATTCCGTCTCTTTTTTTAGTTTTAATTTGCATGGAATACCTTTTTCCATCCCTTTATTTTTCAGTCTATTTGTGTCTTTGTAGGTGAAGTGTGTTTCTTGTAGAGAACAGATCACTGGGTTTTGTTTTTTAATGCATTCAGCCATTCTGTGTCTTTTGATTGGAGTGTTTAGTCTATTTACATTCAACATTATTATTGATAAGTAAGGACTTGTTCCTGTCATTTAATTTGGTTTCTGGCCTTCTTTTCCTTCTGACTTTCTTTCCTGTCTTCCTTTCTGTGAAGGCGATTTCCTCTAGTGCTACATTTTAATTTCTTGCATTTTTTTTTTTTTTTTTTTGGTGCGTCTGTGGTAGATTTTTTCTTTTTCTTTTTTTTTTGTTTTTAGAGACAAAGTCTTGCTCTGTCACCCAGGTTGGAGTGAAGTGGCGTGATCTCAGCTCATTGCAACCTCCGCCTTCTGGATTCAAGCAATTCTTGTGCCTCAGCCTCCTGAGTAGCTGGGATTACAGGCATGCACCACTGCACCCGGCTAATTTTTGTATTTTCAGTAGAGACGGGGTTTCGCCATGTTGGCCAGGCTGGTCTCAAACTCCTGGCATCAAGTGATCCACCTGTCTTGGCCTGCCAAAGGACTACAGGCATGCACCACCACAACTGGCTAATTATAGGCGTGAGCCACTGTGCCCAGCCAGTTTTTTTTTTTATTTGAAATTACGATGAGGCTTACAAATAACATCTTATACCCCATTATTTTAAACTGATGACAACTTAACACTGATTACAAAAACAAACCAACTAACAAACAAGCAAAGAGGAAATTAACAAAAACTCTAATTTCATCTCCCTGGTTTTTAACTTTTTGTTGTTTTTCTATATATTTTATTATACCGTCTATGTCTTGAAAAGTTATTGTAGTTATTTTTGATAGGCTCATCTTTTAGTCTTTCTATTCAAGATATGAGTAGTTCATACACCATAATCACAGGGTTATAATATTCTGTGTTTGTCTCTGTAATTATTATTTCCAGTGAGTTTTATACCATCAGATGATTTCTTATTGCTCGTTAACGTCCTTTTCTTTCAGATTGAAAGAACTCCCTTTAGCATTTCTTATAGGACACATCTGGTGTTGATGAAATCCAGTTTGTTTGCAAAAGTATTTCTCCTTCATGTTTGAAGCATATTTTCATGGATATACTATTCTAGGATAAAAGTTTTCTCCTGGTCCTGCGCAGTGGCTCATGCCTTTAATAATCCCAGCACTTTGGGAGGCTGAGGCAGGCGGATCACCTGAGTTTGGGAATTTGAGACCAGCCTGACCAACATGGAGAAACCCTGTCTCTACTAAAAGAAATACAAAATTAGCCGGGTGTGGTGGTGCATTCCTGTAATCCCAGCTACTCAGGAGGCTGAGGCAGGAGAATCGCTTGAACCTGGGAGGTGGAGGTTGTGGTGAGCCAAGATCGTGCCACTGCACTCCAGCCTGGGTGACAAGAGCAAAACTCGGTCTCAAAAAAAAAAAAAAAGTTTTTTTCCTTCATCACTTTAAATATGTCATGCCTCTCTCTGCTAGCAGACTGAGAAGTCTGCTGCCAGACATATTGAAGCTCCTTTGAATGTTATTTATTTTCTCTTGCAGCTTTTAGGATCCTTTCTCTATCCTTGACTTTTGGGAGTTTGTTTATTAAATGCCTTGAGATAGTCTTCTCTGGATTAAATATGCTTGTATTCTATAATCTTCTTGTACTTGGATATTGGTATCTTCTCTAGGTTTGGAAAATTCTCTGTTATTATCCCTTTGAGTGAACTTTCTACCCCAATGTCTCCTTCTACCTCCTCCTTAAGGCCAATAATTCTTAGATTTGCCCTTTTGAGGCTATTTTCTGGATCTTGTAGGTATGCTTCATTCTTTTTTATTCTTTTTTCTTGTATCTCCCCTGATTATGCTTTTTCAAATAGCCTGTCTTCAAGCTCACCAATTCTTTCTCATACTGGGTCAATTCTGCTTTTGAGACTCTGATGCATTCTTCAGTGTGTCAGCTGATTTTTTTCAGCTCCAGAATTTCTGCTTAATTTTTTTAAGAGATAGGTTCTCACTCTGTTGCCCAGGCTGGAGTACAGTGGCATAATCATAGCTCACTGCAGCCTCAAAGTCCTGGGCTCAAGTAATTATCTCACTTTGGCCTTCTGAGTGGCTAGGACTACAGGCATGCACCACCACAACTGGCTAATATTTTTATTTTTTTGTAAAGACGGGGTCTCACTGTGTTGTTCAGGGTGGTCTTGAACTTCTGACCTCCCATCTCACTTTGCTTTGGGAGCAAAGTGTTGGGATTATAGGCAAGAGCCACTGCGCCCAGCCTCTGCTTGATTTTTAGAAATTATTTTAATCTTTTTGTTAAAAGATTAGGATAGGATTCCTAATTTTTTCTCTGTGTTATCTTGAATTTCATTGAGCTCCCTCAAAACAGCTATTTTGAATTCTCTGTTACTCCAGGTTTGGTCACTGGGGCCTTATTTAGTTCATTTGGTGAGGTCATGTTTTCCTGGATGGTCTTGGTGCTGGTGGAGGTTCGTTGATGTCTGGGCATTAAAGAGTTAGGTATTTATCATAGTCTTCACAGTCTGGAGTTGTGTTTACCCGTTCTTGTGAAGGCTTCCCAAGTATTCAAAAGGAATTGAGTATTGTGATCTAAATTTTTGGCCACTGCAGCTGTATCTGCATCAAGGGACACCCCAAGCCCAGTAATGCTGTGACTCAGAGGTATTGCCTTGGTGGTCTTGGGTAAGATCAAGAATTCCCTGTATTACCAGGCAGAGCCTCTTGTTCTCTTACTCTCCCCCATATAGCAGTGTCTCTCCATGCTAAGCTGCCTGGAATGAGGGGAAGGGTGACACAAGCACACCATGGCCACCACCACTGGTATTGTTCTGGGTTAGATGTGAAGCCAGCACTGTACTGGGTCTCTCCTAAGGCCCATGGTGACCACTGCCTGGCTGCTGCTGATATTCACTCAAGGTCTTCAGTCAGCAGGTGGCAAATCTAGCCAGGCATGTGTGCTTCCCTTTGGGGCAGTGAGCTTCCCCTAGCTCAGGGCGGGATCCAAGAATGCCATCCAGGAGCCATGGCCCGGAGTCGGGAACCTTAGGAATCTATGTAGTGCTCTATTCTACTATGGCTGAGCTGGCACCCAAGCCACAAGACAAAGTCCTTCCCACTCTTTCCCTTCCTTTCCTTATACAGAAGGAATTTCTCTCCAGGACCACCACTGCCCCAGGCCCACAGCAAGTACTGCCTGGCTACTGCCAATGTTTACTCAAGGCCCAAGAGCTCTTCAGTCAGCTTGTGGTGAATGCTCTCAGGTCTGGGTCTCTCCTTTCAAGGCAGTGGGCCCCTCTCTGGCCCAGGGCAGGTCCAGAGATGTCGTCTAGGAGCTAAAGCCTGGAATCGGGGACCCCAGGAGCCTGCTTTGTACCCTACCCCACTATGGCCAAGCTGGTACCCAGCTGCAAGACAAAGTCCCCTTTTCTCTTCTGTCTTCTTTCCTCAAGCAGGAGGAGTCTCTCCTTGTGGTCACCACAGGTAAGAGTGCACTGGGTCACACCTGAAGCCAGCACAGCCCGGGGTCTCAACCAAGGCCCATGGCAAATACTGTCTAGGTGCTGCTCATGTTTATTCAAGGCCCAAGGGCCCTTTAGTCAGCAGGCGATGAATCCTTCCAGGACTGGGTCCTTCCCTTCAAGGCAGTGGGTTCCATTCTGACCCAGGATCTGTTGTATCTAGAAATGTCATGCGGGAGCTAGAGGCCTACAATGGGGGCCTCAAGACTCTGCCTGGTGCCCTGTTCTACCATAGTTGAGCTGGTATCCAAATTGCAAGACAAAGTCCCCTGTATTCGCCCCTCTCCTCTCCTCTCCTCTCCTCTCCTCTCCTCTCCTCTCCTCTCCTCAGGTGCAAGGAAGCAGTCTCTCCCAGAGCTGCAAACTGTGCTGCATGGGGTTGGGGGAGGGGTGATGCAAGCATTCCTTTGGCTATCCCAGTTGGCATCTCAGGTCACTTGCACCCCAAGTCCATTGGCTCTGATCCCAGCATAGCACCAGTAGTTGCTCAGGAATTAACAATCCTTGTGGCTTTTCAAATTTCTTAAAGGATCCTAGAGCACTTTAGCATGCAGTGATGGGGCTAGCCAGAACTCAGGTAATAACCTCTAATAACCTCCGGATGGATGATTCCTCTCTGACTAGGGCTGGTCTAAATGCTCTGTGGGCACTGGCAGAATTCTGCCCTGTGTTGGCTTTCTGCTGTGACAGCACTGAGTTCCAATGCAAAGTCCCATAATTACTATGATGTCTCTCCCCCAAGCACACGGATTCTGTCTGTGCCATGAGGCCACTGCCAGGAGGCTGGGGGTGGGGTGGTGTCAGCAATTCAAAACTGTCTTTTCTACCTTCTTTGGTGCATCTTTACTTAATATGATGTTAAAACTGGGTACTGTGATCACTCATCTGATTTTTGGTTCTTATGATTTCCTGTGTGGAGAGTTGTTTTTCGTTTGTGTTTTGCAACAGGGTCTTGCTGCATTGCCAAGCAGGCTGGAGTGCAGTTATGTGATCACGGCTCACTGCGGCAAACTCTCAGGCTCAGGGGATCCTCCTGCCTCAGCCTCCTGACTGAGGCTAGGACTCCCGACTGGGACTACAGGCATGCGCCACCATACTCAGCTGTTTTTTTTATTTTTTTGTGGCAGGGGGAGTGTTTTTGCCCTGTTGCCCAGGCCCACCTCAGCCTTCCAAAATGCTGAGATTACAGGAATGAGCCACCATGCCCAGCCTGGATAGTTGTTCAATTTGGTGTTCTTGCTAGGGGAATAATCACTGGAGGGGGTGTGTTTGGCCATTTTGCTCTACCTCCTCCTCTAAAAATTCTTTTCTTTTCTTTTCTTTTTTTGAGACAGTCTTGCTCTGTCACCTAGGCTGGAGTGCAATGGCGCCATCTCAGCTCACTGCAACCTCTGCCTCCCGGGTTCAAGGGATTCTCCTACCTCAGCCTCCTGAGTAGCTGGGATTACAAGCGTGTGCCACCACATCCAGCTAATTTTTGTATTTTTAGTAGAGACGAAGTTTCATCATGCTGGCCAGGCTGAGTCTCGAACTCCTGACCTCAAGTGAACCATCTGCCTCAGCCTCCCAAAGTGCTGGGATTACAGGCATGAGCCACGGTGCCTGGCCAGTTATTTTCTTATATCAAGCAAAAGTTAAAGGTTATGTTCACTACAAATAATTTTAAGAAATTAAAATTTTTGGCCAGGCACGGTGGCTTATCCCTGCAGTTTGTAATCCCTGCACTTTGGGGGGCCGAGGTGGGTGGATCACGAGCTCAGGAGTTCGAGACTAGCCCGACCAACATGGTGAAACCCCGTCTCTACTAAAAACACAAAAATGAGCCGGACATGGTGGCGCATGCCTGTAATCCCAGCTACTCAGGAGGCTGAGGCAGGAGAATCACTTGACCCCAGGAAGCAGAGGTTGCAGTGAGCAGAGTTAGTGCCACCGCACTCCAGCCTGGGCAATAGAGTGAGACTCCGTCTCAAAAAAAGAAAAAAATTAAAAATTTTTAATTGTTTTTCATTTGTGGAAAAAAAATTGGAATATTTAAAATTTTGATTATATTGCTATTATATATTTATATAAGTTGATCATTTGCATATTTAATTTGAGACATTATAATATATACATAAATAAAACTAAAAGTTAGCAAATATAGTTTTGAAGTTAAATATTGATATATTTTTAAAATGTTAATTTAACTTTTAACTTAAAAATTATTTAGGGTTTCTTAACCCAGTAATGAATAAAAAGAGCGTGCTTTATACATGTTCTTTTTAAAATGTTAAAGCACATATATACATATAGTATGTTAACATATATATTTGTGGTATTAAAATTTCATGGAGAGAGGGCAGTTAGGAAAAAAGTATCTTAAAAGCCTACTTGGGGGGTGATTATGAAGAGTTGAGAAACAGAAACATTGTGTAGGGGTCTCTCTTGGTAGGAGAATTTGGGATGGCAAAATGTCGATTGGATGGAAATGACCCTACTGGATGAAGATATGCCAGCTTACACCTAGAGGATTCCATGGTATTTCCCTTCACTCATTTCTGTGGTGTTTTCTCTTATATTTTTGAGCATCTACTACTTACAAGGCTCTATGCTAGATATACTAGTAGGAGACAGGCTGGAAGTTGAATAGGGTGACCCAGACAATACACACATGCAGAGGAAATACTTTCTACTTTTACAGTTCTTTAGTCTAATTGGAAAGAGATGATAGAAACATGGAAAGTTCATTCATTTAGTAAGAATTAAATGTAAATTCAAGGTAAACATAATGTAATATTTGGCTTATTGCTAAAAATTTCAGTTTACCTATAATATTCTATGTGTTTATTTTATAATGTCCTGTTTGTGTAGTGTTTTTAGCATTCTATGGTACTTTGTACGTATAGTATATAATCATTGTCTAATATCAGAGCTTTAGCTCTGAGGCCAGGATATGAAAGGAAATAATATAGGTTATTGTTTTGGGGGAATCTGGCTTCTGCCTCTTCGTGTGTTGTGTTGAGGGAAAATAATACTAGGATTGGGGAAACAGTCAAGGCTATAGAGTGTGTCTGGGAAGCCTAGGACTGTAATTTCTGAATCCCGAGTTTGGCGGTCTCTTTCGCCTTTCTGGAAATCTGGCAACCATTTACAGAGACAATGGAATATACTTTCTTTTGGGTCTTTTAGAGCATGTCCATTGGATATTGTAACTCAAAAGAGGGCCTCAGCCTTGCAAATCACCTCACATCCTGGCCTTTTGGCTGCACCGTGTTATCAGCTGGGCTTTGAAGCTGGTCGTTAAGAGGACTTCTGCATGCTTTAGGTGGTGGTTTGGCTTCTTTGTTCCTTCCACTGCCATTCACCTGTATTTTTATTTTATAGGTGTCTCTGCCAACAGACTCATGGGTGGTGCCATGCAGCTTACCTTCCGCAAGATGGCGTTTGACTATTACCCTTTCCATTGGGCAGGTTAGGAAAACTCTGAATGGGGCCAATTCTCGCATAGCCCAAAATATTGAGGGCAGATTCCTGGATTCATCCCTGACCGCTTAACAGGAGGTTGCCAGAGATTGCAGTGCATGCTCAGAGGGGTGCTGGAAATATCCCTCTTCAAGAGGACGTCTGGAAACTTGCAGGTTCCACTATTGATGATTCTTTATCAGTAATGAGAGGAAGTGAGTAGGGGAGATATCTAGTGCCTGAGATATTGCTTTTGATTCTACTCTCAGCCCCTCACTTCCACTAGTGTTAGAGCCTCTCCAGTAGTCCATAGTCAAATATGGCAGCAGTCAACAGCTTGCCTTTAGGGAGCCTTTGAGAAAAATCACATATGGAACCCAGAAGAATGTGCAACCTATCATTGGATAATTTTTCCTTATCCTAGAGATTTCTGCACTGTGGGTGAGGAATCAGATTCTGAACTATGACTATACTGACAGAAAGGAAAAATTGGAACATTCATCATGATCTTGGGCTAAAATCTTTTCACTTCTTCGTTGCACAGGTGATAGCTGCAAACATTGGGTACGCCACTGTGAGGCCATGGAGACCCGAGGCCAGTGGGCCCAGAAGCTGGTGATGGAATTTCAGAGCAAAATGGAGAAGTGGCATGAAGAGACGGGTCTGAAACCACCCTGGCACCTTGGAGTAGACTCTCTCTTTCGGAGAAAAGCAGGTGGGTTATGAGGAACTGGAAGACTCCAGTTGCTTAGCCTCTTGCCATTTATCTTTGAATAACAGTGGAGATAAAGCAAGAACTAGCTAATTATCCCAGCTGTATGTAATGGAGAGACATCAGTGACTTTTTTCTTTACAGAGACCTCTTTGACTCCAGGGATAGCCACAGTGTTGATGTCATGTCATCATTTCTATTCAGTAGACTGTTGCCTTGGTCTTAAGAATAATATCATTTTTGAGTTCATCCAGGAGCTAGACAGTGTTAAGCTCTCTTTCCTACATATAACATTAATGATCTTAGGATTTTTACTTTCCTTATTCTATTAGTAATGAGAGTTGAATGTATCTGATTCTTTTTCCCACCTTATTTTTATTTAGATTCTCTTTCCAGTCCTCGAAAGAACCCTCTTGAGAGAAGCCCCTCTCAGGGCAGACAGCCTGCCTTTCAGCCTCCAGCATGGAACCGCTTACGCTCTAGCTGCATGGTGGTACGGGTGGATGACCTGGACATCCACCAGGTGAGGACATGAGGAAACATGGTTGGAAAGAGGTGGAGCAGTTTACTTGGAAGGCAGCTGGAACAGTATAAACAAAGTTTTGGAATTTGGGGACTATTTACCTCACTTCTGGGAAGATTAATAGTTTGGTCTGTTTCTTTCTGAGCATGGCTGGTGAGATCAGGACTTGGGAATTCCCCCAGTTTTACTGTGAATGCTCTGCTTTGAACCTCCCGCTGAAAAAACTAACTCGCGTATAGTGCGAGGCAGGTGTGAGAACACCTGGAATATATGTGAAAGACACTGTGTTCCCTGTGACAGACTTCAGAGGGATGGTAGAGGCTTTATGCTTCCTAAGCAGAAATGGAGGGCTGCTCTAAGTTTGATTGTTGATACTAACAAAAAGTTGTGATTGTTTAGGTTTCCACCGCTGGACAGCCAAGTAAAAAGCCATCTACACTCCTTTCCTGCAGTCGGAAACTTCACAACCTCCCTACCCAGGTCTCTGCCATTCATATTGAGTTCACAGAGTATTACTTCCCAGATAATCAGGAGCTTCCAGGTAAGCATCTAGGCTGGCTATTTTTCTGTCTAGCTCATGCTTTTCCCATTTGTCAGCCTTGGGGCCACTACGTATATTTTTATTTGTTGTTAGGAGTTTTCAGTGTTTGAGTTAATTTAGCACACTTTTGTTAAACACTCTGCCCTGTATAAATGTGTACCTTTGCTCTGTTCGTAATATAGTTAATATTAGGTAGTAAGAGCCTAGCTATTGCTTTTTACAGGATGTTTCTTTTCTTCCCTCTGCTTTCCAGTTCCTTGTCCTAATCTCTACATTCAGTTAAATGGTCTGACATTTACTATGGATCCTGTCAGTTTGCTCTGGGGAAACCTCTTTTGCCTGGATTTATACCGCAGCTTGGAGCAGTTCAAAGCTATCTACAAGCTGGAAGATTCAAGTCAGAAAGATGAACACTTGGACATCCGACTAGATGCATTCTGGTTGAAGGTGAGGGGAGAGTGTGACTTTTATCCCCTGTTAGTAGCCACAGCTGCATTTTTCCAATGGATATAATCCATGGTTTTGCTCTGTCCATTTTGTGGAAGTAAGAAAATAGTTTCACAGCCCAAAGGATCTTTTACATGTGTATTAATAGTGGGATGCTGAGATACTCAGATGACCATTCTGAATTGTGTTTCATTTTCTCTGTGAAGGTGAGCTTTCCACTGGAAAAGAGAGAGCGGGCAGAGTTGCATCGTCCCCAGGCCCTTGTCTTCTCTGCGTCAGGCATGATTGCCACCAATACACGTCATGCTCCACATTGTAGTTGTTCAGACCTCCAGAGTCTCTTCCGGGGTTTTGCTGCTGCTGAGTTCTTTCATTCCAATTATGATCACTTTCCTAAGGTTCCAGGTGGCTTTAGCCTTCTGCACATGCTTTTTTTGCATCATGCCTTTCAGATGGATTCCTGCCTGCCTCAGCCTAATACCCTCCCTCCCCAGAGACCTAAGGCTTCCTGGGATCTCTGGTCTGTCCACTTTACCCAGATCTCCTTGGACTTTGAGGGAACAGAAAACTTCAAAGGCCATACCTTGAATTTTGTAGCCCCCTTCCCCCTGTCCATTTGGGCCTGCCTACCCCTCCGCTGGCAGCAAGCCCAGGCACGGAAGCTTCTTTTGGCCTCAGAGGGGAGGCTGAAACCATCAGCCAGTTTTGGAAGTCCTGTCCAGTCTGAGGCTCTTGCCCCTGACTCTATGTCCCATCCGCGGTCAAAGACTGAACATGACTTGAAAAGCTTATCAGGACTTACAGAAGTCATGGAAATTCTGAAAGAAGGCAGTAGTGGTATGGACAACAAAGGGCCTCTGACAGAGCTGGAGGATGTAGCAGATGTTCATATGCTTGTACATTCCCCGGCCCATGTCCGCGTGAGGCTTGACCACTACCAGTACTTGGCTCTGCTTCGCCTGAAGGAGGTGCTGCAGAGGCTTCAGGAGCAGCTGACTAAGGATACAGAGTCAATGACTGGGTCTCCCCTGCAGAATCAGACAGCTTGCATTGGAGTTCTCTTTCCCAGTGCTGAAGTGGCTCTGCTTATGCATCCTGCACCCGGTGCTGTCGATGCTGACTCTGCAGGCTCAGATAGCACTAGCCTCGTAGATTCAGAGCTATCTCCTTCAGAGGATCGGGAACTGAAGTCTGATGCCTCATCAGACCAGGGCCCAGCAAGCCCTGAGAAGGTCTTGGAGGAAAGTAGCATTGAAAATCAGGATGTATCCCAGGAGAGGCCACATAGCAATGGAGAACTGCAGGACTCAGGTCCACTTGCCCAGCAGCTGGCAGGGAAGGGCCATGAGGCAGTAGAGTCCCTACAGGCCAAGAAACTGAGCAGAACCCAAGCCTCCAGCTCACCAGCTGCATTGAAGCCCCCAGCTGGCAGGGAGACTGCTGTGAATGGACAGGGTGAGCTCATCCCCTTGAAGAACATTGAGGGAGAATTGTCAAGTGCTATTCACATGACCAAGGATGCCACCAAGGAGGCTCTACATGCCACCATGGACCTCACCAAGGAAGCTGTGTCCCTGACTAAGGATGCCTTCAGTTTGGGCAGAGATCGAATGACCTCCACCATGCACAAGATGTTGTCCCTGCCCCCAGCCAAGTAAGTGGCTCTGTACCTCCTTCACTCATCCCATCTCCTTCTCCTAGTTCTGATCATTGGGTTTAAGGCCTCTTACTATGTGCATTTCTAGATTGGGAAGTACCATATAGTCCAGGAGAATGCATAGAATGGCCTATTTAATGGGCAGTTTTCAAGCCAATATTTATTGCTTCTTAGAATCAGATTATCTCCTTTTTCACTGATTCACTATTTTTTCCCCTCAAGACAGGCCTTACCGTGTTAGCCAGGCTGGTCTTGAACTGCTGGGCTCTGCAATCCTCCTGCCTTGGCTTCCTGAGTAGCTGGGATTATAGACACCTGCCACTGTACCCAGCTTGCTTCACAATTATTGATACAAATATGCTATATCAGAATAATAATAATGGCATATATATAATATTATTTTCAGTGGGCTTTCATCTAATTTTTTTGTTTGATTTGATCCCCACAGCAGCCTGGTAAGGTGGCCTCAGACATTTGTACCCCCAGTTTATAGCTGAGAAAACTGAGGCTTTAGAGAGGATGAGCTCATAGATATCCTATATCTTGTAAATAGAAAAGTTGTGGCTTTGGACTTGTTTTTTCTGGTACCTTATCAGTGTCTGTCAGAGTAATAGAGAAGGAAGAATTTCATCCATTCAGCAAGTATCTTGTGAGCGCTTTCTGTGTGCTGGGCTCTGTGTTAAGCGCCAGAGATAGAGTAGGGAGTAAACAGGAAAACACAGAAATGCACAGTGAGACGAGTGGAAAAGTATCGATTTTCCCATGGGTGCCTCATGGTTTTAGGAAAGATAGAGTCTAAGGGAAGTCTTTCCTGGAACACTTTGTGGTTTAGAGACCATGGTATAAAAACAGTGCATTTAGAGCTTTTGTCTAAGTGAATTATCTTAAGTGGGTCTCTAATGCCTGTGGGTGAGCTAGTACCTGCTAGGACAGACAGCAAGGAGGAAGGAGAGGAAAACTTCAAGGGTCGAGTTGTATAATAATACTAGCCAACATTTACTGAGTGCCTTCTTTGCCTGACAAGACACAGTCCTAAGTACTTATAATATTGGTCCACTGGATTTTTATAATAGCCCTATAAGGCAAGTATTAATATCAATCCCCATCTCACAGATGAGGAAACTGAGGCTCAGAGAGGTAAGAAACTTGCACAAGATCACACAACTTGTGAGTGGTGGGGCAAGGATTAAAAGCCTGGACTTCTAATCACCCAATGTGCTGCCTTTTCTAAATGGAGACAAGTAAGGGAGATGGAAAAAGAGCAGAGGTGAAAAAGAGAAAAGAAAGGTGTGTGAAATGAGCCCTTTTAAAACATCAACAGTGACTTCCTAACTGCCCAAGCCCGTGGCCTTTCCTCAGTCCCCCTTCTCCTGGACTCCTCTATGGTAGTTAACATTGCTGATCAGTTCATTCTGAATATTTGTAACCCCACCCAGTTACTCTCAATTCTCTGAAGGAGTCTTCTTTTTCCTTGGCTGCTCTCTTCTTCCTTTTATCCTATAGGTGTAAATACTCCACAGGGCTAGGCTGTCCATATTCTGATCACTTTTGTCATAATTTTAATTTTTAATTTTTTTTTTTTGAGACAGGTCTCATTCTGTTGCCCAGTGGTGCGATCTCTGCTCACTGCAGCCTCGACCTCCCAGGTTCAAGTGATCCTCCTGCCTCAGCCTCCTGAGTAGCTGGGACCACAGGCATGCGCCACCACGCCCAGCTAATTTTTGTATTTTTGGTAGAGATGGGGTTTTGCCATGTTGCCCAGGCTAGTCTCAAACTCTTGGGCTCAAGCGATTCACCCACCTCAGCCTCCCAAAATGCTGGGATTACAGGTGTGAGCCACTGTGCCTGGCCTATAATTTTAATTTTTTAAATTATAAAAATGGTTTGTGTTTATCGTGTTGACAGTGTAGGAAATAAGAGAGTAAAGAAGAAAATATAAAAATCACTTGTAACAATCCACAGATAACCACTGTTTACATTTGGGTGTATTTTCTTCCAATCTTTGTATGTCTGCATTCATGTGTGCACTTGTGGATGGTTATGCATATAATATCCACAAATACTGTTTTTACAACAATAGGATTATATTATTTCTACAATGTTACATGCTGCTTTATTCACTCAATGTTTTATTATGATATTTTCCCATTCATTAGGCATATGAATATATGATTTTTATTTATTTTTATTTTTGGAGATGTGGTTTCACCATGTTGCACAGGCTGGTCTTGAACTCTTGGGCGCAAGTGACTCTCCCACCTTGGCTTCCCAAAGCACTAGGGTTATAAGCATAAGCCACTTCCCCTGGCTGAATACATGATTTTTAATTGCTCCATTATATTCTAGTAAATTGATATATCATAATTTATTGATCCATTCCTCTATCTGGGGAGTCATTTAGTCTGTTTCCCATTTTACTCAGGTAGAACCAATGCTGTATGAAATGTCCTTATTTTTGTGAACTTTAATCTTTGGAATATTTTACATATCTAAATCTTTCTTTAGAATAAAAACCAAAAAGTGGCTGGGTGCGGTGGCTCACGCTTGTAATCCCAGCACTTTGGGGGGCCAAGGCAGGCAGATCACGAGGCCAGGAGATGAGACCATCCTGACTAACACAGTGAAATCCCGTCTCTACTAAAAATACAAAAAATTAGCTGGGTGTGGTGGCACGTGCCTGTAGTCCAGCTACTCGGGAGGCTGAGGCAGGAGAATGGCTTGAACCTGGGAGGCGGAGCTTGCAGTGAGCTGAGATCATGCCACTGCACTCCAGCCTGGGTGATAGAGCGAGACTCCGTCTCAAAAAAAAAAAATAATAATAAAATAAAATAAAAACCAAAAAGTGAAATTATTAGGTCAAATGCTACAAACATTTTTAAAGTTGTTGATGCATTTGCCAAACTTTCAGGTTTGTAACAGTCTGTGCTTCTTAATAGTTTCTCTCTCAGAATCCCCTGCAGGGTTTGTTAAAACATAGTGGCTGGGCGCGGTGGCTCACGCCTGTAATCCCGGCACTTTGGAAGGCTGAGGCAGGCAGATCACGAGGTCAGGAGATGGAGACCATGCTGGCTAACACGGTGAAACCCTGTCTCTACTAAAAATACAAAAAATTAGCTGAGTGTGTTGGCATGCACCTGTAGTCCCAGCTACTCTGGAGGCTGAGGCAGGAGAATTGCTTGAACCCAGGAGGTGGAGGTTGCAGTGAGCCGAGATCATGCCACTGCACTCCAGCCTGGGCAATACAGTGAGACTCCATCTCAAAAAAAAAAAAAACCAAAAACATAGTTTTCTGAGCCCTATTTCTCATTCATGGAATGAGATGGGGCCTGATAATTTGCTTTTTTTTTTTATTGAGATGAAGTCTCACTCTGTCGCCCAGGCTGGAGTGCAGTGGTGTGATCTCGGCTCACTGCTGCCTCGACCTCCCAGGCTCAGGTGATCCTCTCATCTCAGCCCCCAGTAGCTGGACTACAGGCGCGCACCATCATGCCTGGCTAATCTTTGTATTTTTTTGTAGAGACCAGGTTTTGCCATGTTGCCCAGGCTGGTCTCGAACTCCTGGATTCAAGCCATCTGCCTGCCTTGGCCTCCCAAAGTGCTGGGAATATAGGCGTGAGTCACTGCGCCCGGCCTGAGTTTTTCTTAATTCTACCTTTAACTGTAACCTTGGGACAGTTTCTTCATCTGTAAAATGGGAGGGTGGTATTTAAAGGTCCTTAAAGGTTTCTTTTCACTGTGTTAATGCCTTTTTAACTTTATCTTCCATTGCTCTCCCTGACAAAACCTATGCTTCAGCTGGGCAGAGCTATTATTCTTACCAGTTTCTTTTTGTTTCTGGCTGTATGCCTTTGTTTATGCCATTGCCTATAGAATACCCTCTTCTCACTTTCACAGTCCTTCAAGGACCACCTCAAATGTTATTTCTTACCACAAAGCCACTCTTGATCCTCTTCTCCTTGTCCTTTTTCCTCTTTGATGTTGTCTAGAACTGGGGATGTCTTACTCATCAATTTATCCGTCTCCCACTCCTGCCTAGTGCCTAGTATGGTGCCTTACATACAGAAGCAACTAAATACTTATGGAATGAATGCAGGTGGCTTCAGGTGCCATTCATCAGCACCAGAGCAGTAGGTAGCTGGTCTCTTCTGAGTCTGGGATGACCTTGAATAAACTTGACATTTAATGTTGATATGAGAGCGCTGTCCATGCAGTTAGCGATGTTGGAATAAAAAGATTCAGAAAGGCCAGTGATTGAAAAATGACTTGATCTCTTTACAGCCAGTAATAGGTAATGTCAAAGTTGTATGTTCCTAATATTGGGAACTTTATCCAGTTGTCTGAGCTGAAAGGGATGGGTATTGTAAGTGGATGGGAATAAACATGTCTCCAAAGCCACATTTGTGGTTTTTGTTTTTTTTTTTAAACAGGGAGCCCATGGCCAAGACAGATGAGGGGGTGGCAGCCCCAGTGAGTGGAGGTGCTGCACGACTCCGATTTTTCTCCATGAAGAGGACGGTATCTCAACAGTCATTTGATGGTGTCTCATTGGATAGCAGTGGCCCTGAAGACCGGATTTCAGTGGACAGTGATGGCAGTGATAGCTTTGTGATGCTCTTGGAGTCTGGTATGTGGGAGCAGAGCCAGGCAAAGTTGCAGAAGTCCAGAAAGGGTTCTCTCTGCTGCCTGTATCAGACTGGCAGGGCTAAAGAGGAGCTGAGAGATGATAATATAGACATTTTCTTAATCAAGACAAAAAAAGAGAGACAGAGAAATTTTGGTGGACTTGTGGGTTTGGGTTTAATTCCATGTTTCTAGGTTATTGGTTAATAACTGACTATATCACAGAAAGAGATTCAAACCAAAGGAGAAAGCACTAGTCTTACAGCCTTATAGCTAAGTCAGGATTAGTTTCATGGTTGGTATCAGTGGTGTGAGTGTGCTTATAGTCTTTTTTTTTTTTTTTTTTTTGCCTGTGTTGTCACTGGAAAATAGGAGCTTTTTATCTGTTAATAAAATGAGAAACTTTTAGGAATTACCTCTGTAAGTTAAACTGGTTCTTTCAGTTTATTGAAATAATAGAAACTTAGGAAATGATCCTTTAAGAGTATCTAGGCTGGGCACAGTGGCTGACGCCTGTAATCCCAGCACTTTGGGAGGCCGAGGCGGGTGGATCACTTGAGGTCGAGAGTTGGAGACTAGCCTGGCCAACATGGTAAAAACCTGTCTCTACTAAAAATAGAAAAATTAGCTGGGCTTAGCGGCAGGTGCTTGTAATCTCAACTACTCGGGAGGCTGAGGCAGGAGAATTGTTTGAACCGGGGAGGTGGAGGATGCAGTGAGCTGAGATTGCGCCACTGCATTCCAGCCTGGGCGACAGCGAGACTCCATCTCAAAAAAAAGAGAGAATGTCCTATTTATTTATTTATTTTATATTGACAAATTATAATTGTATCTATGTGGTATTAATACTAAGCGATCCTATGATATATACACACACACATACAGTGTGGGATTTTTGAGCCAAACTAATTAACATCTCCGTCACCTCAAATACTTACCATTTATTTCTCCTGTTTAACTGAAACATTACACGTTCACTAACATTTCCTCCTAACCCCTCCCATTTCCCTTTTCAGCCTCTGTTAAGCACCATCCTGCTCTCTGCTTTTATGAGTACAGTTGTTTTACATTCCATGTGTAAGTGAGCACATGCTATTTTTGTCTTTCAGTGCCTGGCTTATCTCATTTAGCATATTGTCTGTCCTCCAGATTCATCTACGTTATCACAAATGACAGGATTTCCCTCTCATAAGGCTGAATAGTATTCCATTGTGTGTTTGTACCACATTTTCTTTATCTGTTCATTGGTTGATGAACACATAAGTTGATCCCATAACTTGGCTGTTGTGAATAATGTTGTAGTAAACACAGGAATGGAGATAGTTCTTTGATATACTTTTTTTCATATTCCTTGGATATATACCCAGAAGTGGATATGGTAACTCTATTTTTAGCTTTGAGGACCCTTCATACTGTTTTCCATAATGCCCATATTAATTTACATTTCCACCAACAGGGTGCTAGGGTTTCCTTTTCTCTACATCCTTGCCAACACTTGTTATCTTTAATCTTTTTGAGAATAGGCATTCTGACAGGAGTGAGTTAATATTTCACTGTGGTTTTAATTTAAGAGAATGCACCGTTTCTTAAGCTGGGTGGCATGTACCATGTTTGTTTTGTTATTATTTTTAACTTCTTATGGAAGATTTCATGTCTATGTACAAAAGTAGACAGAATCAAATAATGAACCCTCATACACCCATTACCTAGCTTTGAAATTAAGAACTCATGGCAGGCCCGGGGCAGTGGCTCACGCCTGTAATCCCAGCCTTTTGGGAGGCCAAGGTGGGCGGATCACTTAAGGTGAAACCTAATTCTCAAATTTAAATTAAAGTTCTGAAAAATCTCCTGGGGTTCTTATATATTCACCTTAGACAGCAATTAAACTTGTGACTGGATTTCTGCCTTGGGAAGCATCCAGTCTAAAAGGAAAGAGAAGGCCGGCACAGTACCTCACGCGTGTAATCCCAGCACTTTGGGAGGCCCAGACAGGCAGATCAGGAGTTTGAGACCAGCCTGGCCAACATGGTGAAACTCTGTCTCTACTAAAAATACAAAAATTAGCCAGGGATGGTGGCGTGCGCCTGTAATCCCAGCTACTCAGAAGGCTGAGGTGGGAGATTGCTTGAACCCAGGAGGTGGAGGTTGTAGTGAGCCGAGATCACGCCATTGCACTCCCCTGGGCGACAGAGCGAGACTATTCCATCTCAAAAAAAAGAAAAAAAAAAAAGAACTCGTGGCCATTTTTGTTTCATAAACACTACTGCCCACTTTCCTTCATCTCATAATATTTTGAAGCAAATCCCAAACATATCCTTTTGTCCATAAATATTTTCAGTTATGCATTGCTAGAAAATACAGACTTAAATTTTTTTAAATTGTGGTAAAATACATATGAAATTTGCCATCCTAACCGTTTTTAAGTGGATAGTTCAGTGACATTAAGTACATTCTGATTGTTGTACAATCATTACTACTGTCTATCTGCAGGATGTTTTTCTTCTTGCGAAACAGAAACTCTGTACTCATTAAACAGTAACTCCTCATTTCCCCTCCCCTCAGTCCCTGACAACCATGATTCTACTTTATTTTTATAAATTTGCCTACTTTAGGTACCTCATATAAGTGGAATCATGCAGTATTTGTCCTTTTATCACTGGCTTATTCCACTTGGTATATCCTCAAGATTCTTCTATTTTGTAGCGTGTGTCAGAATTTCCTTCCTTTTTAAGGCTGAATAGTGTTCCATTGTATTTATATACCACATTGCTTATCCTTGCATCCATGGAAGGACACTTGGGTTGCTTCTGTTTACAGACTTTTAAAAATGGGATCAAATGTCATTACACTTTAAAAAATTAAGAGTAATTCCTTAAATTCATCAAATATCTAGTTAGTCCTCAAATTTCTAGTTGTCTCATGAATGTCATAAGTATTTTGTTTTATTTTTACAGTTGTCATTGTTTGTAGAGGTTGGATTTGAACAGAATATTTTGACTTTTAAATTCATTTGTCCTCTTTTTCATGCAGAGTCTGGTCCAGAATCTGTTCCACCAGGATCTCTTTCAAATGTCTCAGATAATGCTGGTGTTCAAGGGAGCCCTCTTGTGAATAATTATGGCCAGGGGTCACCAGCAGCCAACAGTTCAGTTTCACCCAGTGGAGAAGACCTCATCTTTCACCCGGTCAGCAGCTCTACTTTCTTCTCTGCAGAGGGTAGGCTCTGGGCTGAGAGCTTGGGACTTAAAACTAAGAGAATCTCCTTTGATAGGTCTCAGTTCTGGTCCTGAAGGTGAATGAGGTGTCTTTTGGGATTGAGGTACGTGGTGAGGACCTGACTGTGGCCCTGCAAGCAGAGGAACTGACCCTCCAGCAGCTGGGCACCGTGGGACTCTGGCAGTTCCTGCATGGACAGTGCCCAGGTAAGGATGGTAGTCATTCCACGACAGATCATGGGACTTGTCTAGGACAGCCATAGATTAACTTGTACTTGTCACTGTGCTCTAAGGGCAGCCACTCTACTAGTGCCAAGTTCTCTCCAGCAGCCATTAGGGGGAGGAAAAACTCCATTGAAGCCTTTTTTGCAAAGAGCCTCTCAGAGCTCTTTCTGGGGCTTTGCATTCACTGTGCTAGTCTCCAACTTCACTTCCAGGTACTCCTGGAGCTTATAGATGAGGACAGTGTCCACTTCATTTGTGTGTCTCTTAACATAAAACTATCTGATCAGGGAACTTCTGTCATTCAGATTCAGTCCTTTGATGTGAATTTTCATTTATAAAAGATGACAAGAAAAATCTTGGCTTATGTTACATACTTCATTTAAAAATTATTGGCTGGGCGCGGGGCTCATGCCTGTAATCCCAGCACTTTGGGAGGCTGAGGTGGGTGGATCACCTGAGGTCAGGAGTTCGAGACCAGCCTGGCCAACATGGTAAAACGCTGTCTCTACTAAAATATAAAAATTAGCTGGGCGTGGTGGCGGGTGCCTGTAATCCCAGCTACTTGGGAGGCTGAGGCAGGAGAATTGCTTGAACCCAGGAGGTGGAGGTTGCAGTGAGCTGAGATCGTGCCATTGCACTGCAGCCTGGGTGACAAGAGTGAAACTCTGTCTCAAAAAATATATATATATAAATATATTTTTAGGCTGAGCATGGTGGCTCATGCCTGTAATCCCAGCACGCTGGGAAGCTGAGGTGGGAAACCAGCCTGAACAACATAGCAAGACCTCAGCTGTACAAAAAATACAGGCTGGGTGTGGTGGCTCATGCCTGTAATCCTAGCACTTTGGGAGGCCCAGGATGGTGGATCACTTGAGGTCAGGAATTTGAAACCACCCTGGCCAACATGGTGAAACCCCGTCTCTACTAAAATACAAAAAAATTAGCTAGGTGTGGTGGCAGGCACCTGTAATCCCAGCTACTTGGGAGGCTGAGGCAGGAGAATTGCTTGAACCGGGGAGGCGGAGGTTGCAGTGAGCCGAGATCGCGCCCTTGTACTACAGCCTGGGTGACAGAGCAAGACTCTGTTTAAAAAAAAAAAAAAAAAAATTAGCTCGGTGTGGCGGTGCGTGCCTATAGTTCTAGCTGCTTGGGAGGCTGAGGTGAGTGGATCATGTGAGTCTAGGAGTTTGAGACTACAGTGAGCTATAATTGCACCACTGCACTCCAGCCTGGGCAATAGAGCAAGACCCTGTCTCTTAAAAAACATTAAAATATTGAGTAGATACTGAAGAACACTTATAAAATATATGTAAGGCATAAAATAATAACAATACAATGAACCCATTTACTCACCACCTAGTTTGTTTTATTGTTTTTTAATTTTTTTTTGAGACACAGTCTTGCTCTGTTGCCCAGGCTGGAGTGCAGTGGCACGAATTCGACGTGCTGCAACCTTCACCTCCTTCAAGCAATTCTCCTGGCTCATCCTCCTGAGTAGCTGGGAATACAGGCACACACCACCACGCCCAGCTTATTTTTGTATTTTTAGTAGAGATGGGGTTTCACCATGTTGACCAGGCTGGTCTCAAACTCCTGGCCTCAAGCGATCTGTCCATGTCAGCCTCCCAAAGTGCTGGAATTACAGGCCTGAGCCACCATGCCTGGCCCCACCACCTAGTTTAATTAATACAACAGTACCATTACCTTTTAAGTCTCTGGGAGTCCCTCTCCTGAACCTCCTTCTGTCCCTCACCTGTCATAGGTAATCACTATCCTGAATTTGTATTCATTGTTATCTTGCTTTACTTTATAATTTGTACACGTGTTTATATTAATGTATTTTTAGCTTTTTTCACATTTTTCTAAATGGAATAATAGATTGTACTATTTTTGTGATTTGCTTCTTTCAAGTAACATGATATTCTTTAAATTCATCTAGGTTGTTGAATTAGCTATAATTTGTTCATTTTTCATTACTATATAATGTTATTGTATACATACACCACTTTTTTTTTTTTTTTTTTTTTTTTTTTTGAGGCAGAGTCTTGCTGGGTTGCCCAGGCCGGAGTGCAGTGGTTGCAATCTCAGCCCACTGCAACCTCCGCCTCCCGGGTTCAAGTGATTCTCATGCCTCAGCCTCCTCAGTAGCCAGGACTACAGGTGCCTGCCACCACGCCTGACTAATTTTTTTGTATTTTTAGACAGGGTTTCACCATGTTGCTCAGGATGGTCTTGAACTCCTGAACTCAAGTGATCCACCCGCCTCAGCCTCCCAAAGTCTTAGGATTACAGGCATGAGCCACTGTGCACGGCACTTTTTGCTTTTTGAAAACAGCTTTATTGAAGTATAATTTGCATAACATAAAATTCACTCATTTTAAGTGTACAATTTTATAATTGTGTAACCATCACCACAACCCAATTTTAGAACATTTCCATGACCCCCAAAATATCCCTGTACCCATTATACTATTTACTTCTTTATTCTATTCTGGACAGCCATTTGGGTTATTTCTAGTTTTTGTTTGTTTGTTTGTTTTTCCAGTTTCAAATAGGGTTGCTGTGAACATCCTTGTACATGTCTCTTGGAATATATGTTTGAGAGTTTCCCTGGGGTTGTATTTCTGACAATATAATTTCTAGATCATTAGGGTAGGCACAACTTCACCTTTACTAGATAATACCAAATTGTTATGCAAAATGTTTGTACCAATTTGCAGTTCCATAAATGTGTAAGTTGTTCCACAGGATCCTTGGCTACACCTGAGAGTGTTCTGTTTGGAGTTTTGGAGAGATTAGCATAGATCCTGCTTTGCTTTATGAGTGACAGATGAGAAAACCAAGACTTAGAGAAAGGAGGAGACATTCAAATTTAGTAGAGTTTGGGAGTCCTGTGTTTTAAGAGCTTTTCCTTGGCCATTAGCCCACTGTCTCACATTCATAACAAGGCCAATCCTTAATCTCTCTTCCACCTTGCAAGGCATTATAGCAAAGTATCTAAGCCCATGGACTTGGCAATCAGACTGCCTGGGTTCAGATCCTCTCCTTGCTACTTACTAATTATGTAATTTTGGGCAAGTTATTCTCTGTGACTTCGTTCAGTCAGATGAGAATGATGATATTCCTTTGACATAGGGTTATTATGAATATTGGTATATAAGGTGCCTAGAAGACTCCCTGGCCGTTAATTAGTTGTCTTCCTTGTCTTTCTTCACAAAGGTACATGCTTTCAGGAATCCTCAACTTTGAAGACTGGCCACATCAGGCCAGCTGTGGGCCTTCGCTTTGAGGTGGGGCCTGGAGCAGCTGTTCATTCCCCCCTGGCCTCACAAAATGGCTTCCTACATTTATTGCTTCATGGCTGTGACCTCGAGCTGCTCACTTCAGTGCTCAGTGGCCTGGGGCCCTTCTTGGAGGATGAGGAGATCCCGGTGGTAGTCCCCATGCAGATTGAGCTTCTGAACTCCAGCATCACCCTAAAGGTGTGAGGAACCTTTGGTTTTTGCCAATGTAAGGGCACATTGGTTTTTGCCCTGGACTTTGTCAAGCAAGGAAGCAGTGACACCTGTTAACCTCTTCCCTTTTCACTGTAAAATATGGTGAGGATCAAGTGAGGAAATATTAATACATATTTGCATTCTCTGTCAGTGTTATAGTGGTATATAAATGTGTGTTGCTGTCAGAAAAGCCAGGGTTCAGGTGAGGAGACCTTGTCTGTAACCCTAACCCTGTCTTTGGCATGCAGCATTACCATGTGCAAGCCATCAGGTTATCTGATTCTCAGTTTCACCATCTCTAGATGGGAGAATCTGCCATGCCTCTTATACCTTCCAAGAATGTATGGACAAACTGGCATAAAGCTGCTTCAAGCTGAATGATGGGAGCATGGGTTGTGTTAAATTGCTCTGAGCTGGTGGGGGGCATCATGTGGTTTCTCTCTTTCCTGCAGGATGATATCCCCCCCATCTATCCAACATCTCCAGGCCCCATCCCCATCACTCTGGCCATGGAACATGTTGTGCTGAAGAGGAGTGATGATGGTGTGTTCCACATAGGCGGTGAGTCAGGCTTGTCAGCCTGTTGGTTTCTCTGCCTTTTCTCCTAAAAGTGAATAGGTGACACCTAGGAACTGTTTGGGAGTTGGCAGCAGTTTGTCACTTAGAACCTTTACTTGTTTTCTCCAGCTGCTGCTCAGGACAAACCATCAGCTGAAGTACTTAAAAGTGAGAAGAGACAGCCCCCAAAAGAACAGGTGTTTTTGGTGCCCACAGGAGAGGTTTTTGAACAGCAGGTGAGGACCTAACAGAACAGTAGCTGCCCATAACCCTTGGGGGCTATACTTGTGAAACTGGTAAAACCCGGGGTTGGGGGGCAAAAAGGTTGCGTGTGCTGCCTGCATGTGGGTGTTTTGGGTTCCTGTCACCTAGCAGCGGCTTCTAGAAGTGCTGACTAGAGGATAAATGTCAGGAGCTGGAGACGAATGGTTGCTGAGGACATACTGCACCTGCCAATGAACTATGAAGAGGGAATCAAGGTCTTAGAAAAGATATGGTTATCTTAATCATTGACATAACTTGTGGATTTTTCTCCTTGAACTCTTCCTCCCTGTTCCCTTTACTGGCGGTTGTTGCAAGATGGTATTACCGTATTTAACTGTTAACTACTTATTGTTCCTCAGGTGAAAGAACTGCCTATCCTACAAAAAGAACTTATAGAAACTAAACAAGCCTTGGCCAATGCCAACCAGGATAAAGAAAAACTTCTTCAGGAGATTAGGAAATATAACCCCTTCTTTGAGCTCTGAAACCAGTGGCTCAGCCATCTGTGCCAAGGAGAGAGGCTATCACCAGCAATAGCACCACCTAGGACAGAGGGCACTGTCCAGTGCTGAATAAGTCACTACGGATGCCAGAGGGACTGGGGAGCACTCACTTCACTTGTGTGGGTGTGCTTTCCACTAGCTGTTCTTACTTGGACTGAGGACAAGGGCAAAGCATGATTGTATCCCAGGAAACTGGGGCTTGCCCTGTGTGTGGCACAAGCATCATGTCTTGCCTGTATAAAGCCTTTTGGTCCTCTGTGTACTAGGTGGAATCTTCTCAACACTGTAGGGCCATTTCACCTCATGGTTTCATGGCAGGGACATTTGCTTCCTTCACAGGCCTGTGTGAACAAGCAAAAGTACCCACCTCCTCGGTCACCCACAGAGCCACCAAAGATTCCATGTCCCAGAGCTTCCCATAGCAGACCTGAAAAGTCCATGACCTGAGCTTTGGCCATGGTAGTGGAGTGGAACAGGAAATAGTCCAGCAGAGGAGTGTGGGGGAAGGGGGCAGGAGAGGCACAAGAATAAGGGAGACCTGGACTCTGCCTTTTTGGGAAAAGGAACCAAGCTCATAGCAATTTGGCTGATAACACAATCAGATTTTTCCAGGTTAAGCTTCCTTTCTGTTATACTTTCATCATTGTGATGCTGTGGTAGAAAGTAAATAACAGTAGTGGCTCAGTCATTTAATCTTTCCCCTCTATAATACAACTTACTTGAAATTTAAATCAAGAAAAAATTTCTGACGCTGAGCTAGGTTGGTGGCATGATATGCCAGGGGTCAGTGGGGGAGCTTGCTTCTGAGCCCCCTGTTGTCCGCCTGGAGTCCTGCTTGTCTTTCCCAGCTGTGCTGAGTGGCTCTTCTGTCTCCCTGGGGTCCCTGGCACATCTGCTTTCCCAGCTCTGTGACCTTACCAGTTCTCTCCTCAGCCCTTGGTGGTTTGGGAGCTGAATATATGTTTTAAACTTTTACATAAACAACTCAACCTGTTGCCTCTCACTTCCCTCCATCACTGTGGCTTTTAAAACTCATGTATTTTGACTCAAGTGAAAAAAACACAAAAATCCCTCATCCCAGCTAGGTTTTGCCCCCTGCCCTATAAGAGAGCTATTTCCCCCTTTCTTTCCTTTGAATTCTTCTCCAACACCATCCCTTCATTCATACTGCCCTGTGATACACTTGAAGCTGTGTTGATTGGACAGACGTTCATCAGCTAACTTACCTTTACTTGGCAAGATGGTAAAATAGTAACTTAGTGATGTTACTAAAGTCTCGACCATTCACCTTTCCATACTGAAGGAAAGGTAAAAAGGTTTCTTCTATGGGAAATTATGCTTGACTTGCATACTCTAGTTTGATGAGGATAAAAAGAAACATGTAATTGCAGTGGTGTTTACAACTAATTGATCACAACCAATCATAGATTTCTTTGTTCCTTCTCCACTCTCAACACTTCATTTGACTAGAAAAAAAAAATGTATTCACCAAGGAACAGGACCCAATTTGTTCAGACTTTTGTTAAGTTTCTTTACTAAGGCAATTTTTGAAACACCAGTTACTATGGGATGGTGGGAATTTTTCATGCTTAAGAAATAGAGACTTAGGAACAAAGAAACATCTTTCTGGAGAAGATGCTAATGGGAAGTTACCTAAGGCTTGATGCTTGGTTCAACCTTATTTAAAATTTTTATAAATGACCTGAAAGTAGGATTTTACAGTGAAATCAAATGTCACTACTTCCAGGCAGTGAAAGGTAATCTAGAAGAGGTTTAAAAAACACAAAACCGGTCGGGCACAGCGGCTCACGCCTGTAATCCCAGCACTTTGGGAGGCCGAGGCGGGGAGATCACGAGTTCAGGAGATCGAGACCATCCTGGCCAACATGGTGAAACTTTGTTTCCACTAAAAATACAAAAATTAGCTGGGTGTGGTGGTGGGTGCCTGTAGTTCCAGCCACTCGGGAGGCTGAAGCAGGAGAATCGCTTGAACCCGGGAGGCAGAGGTTGCAGTGAGCCGAGATAGCGCCATTGCACTCCAGCCTGTCAACAGAGTGAGACTCCGTCTCACAACAAACAAACAAACACAAAACCACAGAAGGGTTACTAATAAGCAGGGCTGAGAATACTCAGAAAACTGACAGGTGAGGTTCAACATAATATAAGGAAATGTATTTATGGAAGAATTATCAACTGATATGCCTGAACACTGTTAGAACTCAGGAAAGAAACAAGCATTGCTGAGGGGGAGGAGAGATCAATGTGCTGCTGTGGCCAAAAGCCTAATTGCCCTGTGGGCATCATCAGGAAGGGCTTTTGGAGATAACAGAGAACAGCACTTTATACAAAACCATGGATATGTCTTGATCGGATTATCTGTGTTTCTAGTGACCTTATTTACAAGATATATGATAAAGGGAGGAAAGGTCCAGAGAACAGCCAAAATTATCAGGGGATGGAGGTATATCCATATGAGGACACATTTTTAAAATATAGACTCTATCCTGCAAAGATGAAAGCAGAGGGGAGTTAGATCAAATATCCAATCAAGAGCAAGGACCCGGTCCTGTACTACTAGCTCTAGGGCTCTATCTCATAGCCTTAGTAAAGAAAGCACTTCTCATAGCAAATCAGAAATGTAAGGAGCTCATTGTCTAAGAAGGGATGCCACCAGAAACTATACATGGGTGCAGGTTTATGAGGAATCCTTGCATGACGGCCTTCTACAAGGAATTATAGAAAAGTAGGGCTACTTGGTAATATACAACTGAGAGGGTAACTGTGTCCCTCAACAAACTACTCCTTAGTGCCTCTTTCAAAGGCAGAATGTTGATCTGAATGGATCACTGGTCAAGTATGGCATCTCTAATGTTCTTGAAGGGGGAGGAAGGAGATCTGGTAGCTGGAAAATATAATTATTCCACGTTAGGCTCACCTGAATTGGTTTAAAATCATATTCTGATTCTCTTCTCATCCCTTCCTCCCCTCACCCACCATATACCTCTGGCATCCCTCCATGCAAAGAAATGTCGAATAGGCATTTCTTGGTATAATTTACCTACACTTGTGCTTGTGGGGTGGGAGTAAAAACATATCCAGTAAGTACCAAGGCTAACCTCCTAATGGCTGGAGCTCAGTTAGGTCTCTGGGCTCTCTAAAGGAGTCCAGAGCTCTTGTCCATGTCACAAATGGAGCCTTAGAATTTCTGTCTTTCCTTATGTGGCAGCTTTGGCCATTGTGTCTTGAAATTCTCCCTCAGGAAATGTGATAGGGGATATTATCCCATGGGATTTTAGTAAAAATCAGCTTGCCTAATTTCATATTCGTGTTCATAATGAAGAAATGCGAAGTGGTGGTAGTCCTCAGGATTAAGTGTAAAGGAAAATATGCAAGGAAAAAGTAGCAGTGTCAGCCCTTTTGGACTGCTTATGATTTCTGCCTTAGAGCTACAAGACTTGGAACAAGAAATAACAATACCTCAAGAAAATGTCTGGAGAGATAGCACCACTGTCCCTCAAAGACTTCAGCCACTGCACATTACCAATTCAGCTGTGAAGCATTTACAACTGTATTATCTGTGATTGTCTGCATTTCCTGTTTACATGCATGTGCTGGGGATATGCTTTAGTGTGTATGGACTAGAGTTTAAATCCTGTCTTTAACTGGGCTGCAAGGATGGCTATCAATCCCAAATTCTGTTTTCAACTCACTGGAATAATTAATCTGGTGTTCCTGATATAAAACAGGTGGGTTCTATTCACATGATGGCTGCTCTTTACCATATATTTCACCTGACCCTCATTTTGCCATGGGCCTCAACCTTTATGTGTGCTTTTTATGGCTCTGAAAGGACTGGCTCCCGTGTGTGGAATATACAAGGTATAAACACCACCCCTCACATACCCCTGTAACTTAAATGCTTCCATTTAACTCACTTAGATTACTTTCCCCTTAGTGGTAAACGGGTTGGGGGATGGGTGGTAGTGCAAAGAAGGTAGTTTGAAATATTGCCATAGTAATATGGGAACTTTTTATTCCAACCCTTTACCCTGGCTTTTTTTTCTCTCAATATTTGCCTAAAATTCTAAAATGAGTTATAGTAAAATCATAAAACTATGGAAACAACTGAACTTTGGTACACAAGTTAGTTCGATGACATCTTGTTATTTGAGAACAGTAAAAGGTGTGTCATTGCCTCATGATTTATCATAGTCATTACTAAGGGTTTCAGAGAGAATCTGGTGTGAAGCACTATCCTTTCAGACACTAAGGCCTTTACCTAGTTGCTCCCCTACCTTCTGTCGGAATAGGATTATTCCCATGCACCTCTGGGTAGGTATAGGTAGTAGCTATTGAACGGGGATTATTTTCCCCATGGCACAAGGGGAAACACTCTTGGATAACCTTCAACAATGAGGCTTTGCTAAGTGGCCAGACTTGGGATTTGATCTTCCTCACTTGTTATTTATTAAGTTTAAGCCTTATTCAGTATCTCTAATTGCAATAGATATAGTTCCTGTGACTTCTAAAAAAAATTCCTGTTAATGCTGAGACAGTATCTTTTTTGTCAGTTTATTAATTTTTGGTCAAGATTTAGCCTGAGTCTTAAAGCATTTATTTGTGGAATGCCCCACTGAAGTGTCTTCTCCATTGGCTAAGTACATGTTTAAAGCCATGGGTTTTAATGTAAGATACTTTCAGTATCTAATTCTGTTTCCCCCACTGAGGGTGCTAAAGAGAATTAGAATCTTTACTAAGACATGCTCAGGAAAGCTTCACGAGAGAACAGCTTCAAAATCCTCCCTATGACACTGAATGGTAGTGAGGAAAGAATTCTTGGGGATGCCAGTTACATACAATAGCCTTATTACTGCTA
Source organism: Homo sapiens (assembly GCF_000001405.40). Taxonomy (NCBI): domain Eukaryota; kingdom Metazoa; phylum Chordata; class Mammalia; order Primates; family Hominidae; genus Homo; species Homo sapiens. The sequence goes on from NC_000006.12 coordinate 34,877,333, forward strand.
ATCACTGTCAATAAAAGGTCACTTCATTCACCTCTATTTGAGGAAAACAATGAGAATGTATCTGATGAACTAGAATCCTTGTCAGTATTGGGAAATTTTAATGTTGCAATATCTAGTCAAACTTTGAGTGTACTGGTTCTGTGAACCACCTGAAAAAACAAATTAAATGTATTAAACCATAATGATTGTTGTATATCCGTTGATAAGAATCTGAAATATATGGGCTTTTATATTGTTTATTTTCATCTCAGTCTTGGGGGGGGAATTATTACACTGTTTTTAACAGTGCTTGAAGTACTCTTTTATGAGATAAAATTTTAATGGTTCTACTAGAAAAAGTGCTCAAATTTTCACAAAATAGCCAAAACCAGTTGTATTGGAACACCAAAAAAGAATGATCAACTTCCCATTCCAACCAGCTAGACAGAAAATGAATACACCTAGGGCAAGTTGGAAAACAGTTTAATGATCACTCACCAAAATCCACAGGAGAATCTTAAATGTTTACAAGCACCAATTATTCTGCTATTCCTGCCATTACCGCATCCTTCATGGTAGAGTATCACAAGTAAAAGTTTCTGGTTGTTTCATCTACTTAAAACCAGATATAAGAAACAACCTAAGTCTTAGCAACTTCAGGCTTCAATGTGAAACCATTAAAGCCCTCAGCACTTTAGGAGGCTGAGGCAGGAGGACTGCTTGAAGCCAGGAGTTCACGACCAGCCTGGGCAACAAAGCAAGACCCCATCTCCATAAAAAATAAAAATAAGTTAGCTGGGCACAGTAGTGTGTGCCTGTAGTCCTAGCTACTCAGGAGACTGAGGTGGGAGGGTCACTTAAGCCCAGGAGTTCAAGGCTGCAGTCATGCCGCTGCACTCCAGCCTAGGTGATAGAGCAAGACCCTATCTCAAACAAAACGAAACCAAAACAAAACAAAACTCTCTTGGAAAGGTTTTCTCTCTGAAAGCAGTTCCCCTGTCCAGAAGATGCTTATGGCCCACGTATCTTCTTCCAACTGGTCAAGACAGTTAAATACTTCAAAATGCCCCAAGAGGTCCCAAAATTTAGTCAAGGCAAGTATCAATCAGGCTACATACTTTCTAGGTGTGACAAATATCAGAGTTTTGAGAAAGACATTAAAATCATCATGGAATCCTTGGAGGCCTGAGATACTAAAGCACCAATGCAGACAGTCTTATAGGAAGTCTGGAACCAATACTTCTTCCGTCAGTAACATAGGCCTTTCTAGACTTTGGTCTAGAAGAAGATGATTTTTTTGTGCTTCGAGTTAGGGATCTGTCCTTTTGACTTTAACCTTCTAACGGCTTCCCTCATATGTTTGGGTTGTAGTGGTGGCATTTCTCCCCACTTCTCACACACATCCAGTGCTAAACAGAGGGTAAGGAGAAAGTCTGATTATCACACAATAATTTACTAATCACATAATCCTTTTGAGTCCTGTAATTCTTGTTAACTTTTCTTAAGCTTGCTAAGGAAATAAACAGACATTTTTCCTTTTTAAGAGAATATTAGTATAACGTCTCATAACAGGCTTTATCATAGACAACAGTTTAAAATATATTTCCTATAGGCCATATGCTGTGGCTCATGCCTATAATCCCAGCAGTTAGGGAGGCCAAGGTGGGAGGATTGCTTGAGCCTAGGAGTTCGAGACCAACCTGGGCAACATGGCCAAACCTTGTCTCTACAAAAAATTAAAAAGTTAGCCAGGGGTGGTGGTGCGCACCTGTGGTCTCAACTACTCAGACTGAGGCAGGAGAATCACCCGAGCCCAGGAGCTAACTGTTACAGTGAGCTGTGATCGCATGATCAAGGCACTCCAGCCTGGGTGACAGAGTGAGACCCTGTCTCAAATAACTACATAAAAATAAAATTAAAAATTAGCCAGGTATGGTAGTGCACGCCTACAGTCCCAGCTACTTGGGAGGCTGAGGCAAGAGGATCCTTTGAGCCCAGGAGTTTGAGGTTGTAGTGAGCTATGATCACACCACTGTTACCATCTCATTTTGTATACCATCTTAATTTGTGATTTGTAAAAGGAAAAATAAAAAATATTAAAAAAAATAATAAAGATCATGCCACTGCACTCCAGCCTGGGTGACAGAGTGAGACCCTGTCTCAAAAAATAATAATAATTTAAAAGTATATATCTCCTGCTCAAAAAAAAAAAAAAAATTTCACCAGCTAGAGTAGCAATGGGAAACAGCCAGGCTTTTTACTCAATAAAGGGGTCAGGCAGTTCCTAGGGATCACAACATTAGGGACAACTCACCATCCCACACAGGTCACCCCTGTGATTGCTTTTCTTGTATCTTTACTTTTGGCAGCAGAAATGAGCAAAGTCCACTGCAGAAAATACAAAGTCTACTTCTTTCACCCTGGGCTGAGGAAAGGAATCAGGGAGGGGATTTCCCAGATGGTTCCTTACCATCTGTTATTGAAACTTGCAAGGAATAACAGTCATGTTCTCCTAAATAAAGGGCTCCCCACTTGGTCAACTTCAAGTGCAAATGAGAACTCCCATAGGTGCTTTAATAAGCTCCTTTGTGTAGATATTCTTAAAAATAAGACCACCACAGGTACAATCCAGTATTTGTAACCAACACTACTCACCTTCTTCTACCACCTCCCCGACGAAAACCTTGGAAATACCAGACATAGCAATAACAACATTCTGAGACACAGAGGTGCCAGTGATGGACTGGATCAGCTTGAAAGAAGCACAAAGACTCCGTGATCACAATAGTCAAAGACTGGCTTTGGAACACAGTACCAAGTAATTCACAGAAAAAGGTAAGATAACTGAAGTGCATTTTTTTTCCCACCTAAATAATCCCCTGACTTGTCTAACACCTCACTTCAAATGCCAATGGACATGGCTCTTGAGTTCAGTTCTAAAACGTGATGGAGATGAAGTGTGGTGGTCCATCCTTACCCTTTTGATGGCTGCCTTAGGGAAAGCTGAGCGGCGATACATTTCATAACGGTTCAGCTGCTCCTCAGAAAAAGAAGAAACCAGGATTCTAAACAAAGATCCAGGTAACTAAGTTAACTTATAAGAACGAATACTCAAGATATTATGAAGTCAATAAAAGTTTCAGACAATTCAAAAACGAATTCTTAAAGGGGTCAATGGCATTAGGCTTGGTGCCTTGAGGAATGAAGATAAAACACTTCTACTCCAAAGGAATTTGAGAAAACGTAAAACAAAAACTTCTTTTCTTACCTGTTAACAAAAAGAACAACACTGGGTCACTGTATCGTACTACACAGACTGTTTGCAGCATTAGACACTATCTCCATAACTCTATCTTATTGAATTTCACACTGATGGTAAAAATTTAATATACAAATTTATAATCAAACCAGTAGTTTTCAACATTAACAGATTTAGGGGAAATATCTGCAAAATATGTGGAAACAGTTAATACTCCTAATGTATAATTCTTTCAAATGAATAAAGGGGCCATGTCAATTTTTGAAAATGAACAAAGTACATGAACAGGAAATTTACCAAAATACCAATGGTCAATCAACATGGGGGAAACAACCTTCATTATTAACTAAGGAAATATTATTTTCATAGATAACATTTTTCATAAATCAGACCACTATTAAAAAAAGAATGGTATTAGAATATGGGACACAAACACATGCTGGCAGAGTGAACTGGAACACCTTTTTGGAGAGAAATTTGGAAATACATATGAAAAGCCTTTGAAAATGTTCATACTATTTGAATTAGCAATTACACCTCTAGGAGTTTATCTTAGGAAGTAATGGACAAGTATGCAAAGATATGTCCAAAGATCCTCATCATAATGTCAAAAGTAAAAATACCCAACCAGAAGCACTATAGGGATTGGTTAAATTATAGTTCAACAACATAATGGGATACAATGTAGCCATTAAAAATTATGATTTATGAGCATATTTACTGACATGAAAATATTTAGCTATACATATCAAACATCTAAAAAAACTTTGAAAAGGTACATACCCAAACATTATACCCAACTATATACTTAGAGTGAACTCTGCGTGGTGAGTTTATGGGTGATTTTTTTCTATTTTTCTGTATTCTCTGAATTATTTGCAATGAGCCCATACTACTTTTACAATCAGAAAATGTAATAAAGCTATTTCTATTTTTAAGAAAACTATGACCTAGATGTATAATTAGTGACATGGAAAACATTCACCATATCTAATGTGAAAAATAGGCTACAAAACAGTATTTGACATTTGTGGAAAAAAAAATTTATAGATATATATGTATAGAAACTATCTTGAAACTTATAAGCAGGATATATCTCTGTGGTAAGGTAATTATTTTTTCTTCTTATCTATTTATTTTTTTTGAGACAGCATCTGGCTCTATCGCCCAGGCTGGAGTGCAGTGGCGCAGTCTTGGCTCACTGCAACCTCTGCCTCCTGGGTTCAAGTAATTCTCCTACCTCAGCCTCCCGAGTAGCTGGGACTACAGGCACCCACCACGACACCTGGCTAATTTTTTGTAATTTTAGTAGAGACGGGGTTTCACCATGTTGGCCAGGCTGGTCTCAAACTCCTGACCTCAAGTGATCCACCCGCCTCAGCCTCCCAAAGTGCTGGGATTACAGGTGTGAGCCACCGATCTCGGCCTTCTTTTTATCTATTTATATTTTCTATGCTGTAACATAATTATTTGAAAAAATTGTTTTTGGCCAGGCACAGTGGCTCACACCTGTAATCCCAGCATTTTGGGAGGCTGAGGCGGGCGGATCACGAAGTCAGGAGTTCGAGACCCGCCTGGCCAACATGGCAAAAACCTGTATCTACTAAAAATACAAAAATTAGCCAGGCATGGTGGCAGGAGCCTGTAGTCCCAGCTACCTGGGAGGCTGAGGCAGGAGAATCGCTCGAAACCAGAAGGCGGAGGTTGCAGTGAGCAGAGATTGCACCACCGCACTCCAGCCTGAGCAACGAGAGCGAAACTCTGTCTCAAAAAAAAAAAATTTTAAATAGAGGCCGGGCACAGTGGCTCATGCCTGTAATCCTAGCACTTTGGGAGGCCGAGGCGGGCAGATCACGTGAGGTCATGAGTTCAAGACCAGCCTGGCCAACATAGTGAAACCCTGTCTCTACTAAAAATACAAAAATTAGCTGGGCATGGCGGTGCATGCCTGTAGTCCCAGCTACTCGGGAGGCTGAGGCATGAGAATCGTTTGAACTCAGGATGTGGAGGCTGCAGTGAGCCGAGATCACACCATTGCACTCCAGCCTGGGCGACACAGTGAGACTCTATCTCAAAAAAATAAAAAATAAAAAAAAAAACATAACATAACATAACATTAGAGAAAGGGTTTCACTATGTTGCCCAGGCTGGTCTCAAACTTAGGCCTCAAGAAATCCTCCCACCTTGGCCTTCTAAAGTGTTGGGATTACAGGCGTGAGCCACCATGCCCAGCCATAATGTATTAATCGTTTTATTTTCTTTTGAGTTTATAAAAGAAAATTTAAACACCAAGAAAAATTTATTAAATTTGTGTGGTCAAGTGAGAGCCTCGAAATGGGGAATGATAAGAAAGTGACTTACTGCATCTTCTGAATCTCATCTTCATCTACTTTCTGCTTTTTCTCTTTCTTTTCTTTGGTATCTATTTTCAGTTTTTTGGCTGCAGGATTAAGTAATGATGAGTCTTCCCTTTCAACTGTTGTTAAATCTGAGACATCCTGACTCTCGAGCTGGGAAGATGAAAGAAACTCTATTATATATTTGGCCTACTTTCCAGGCTTGGGCAAAGTAAGAAGACATCATCCTTATCACAAAACAACAAATCCATTTATTGAGTAGTTTTTCAGTTCTAGGCACTGACTGTACCATCAAGGATAAGATACAGTATCTCTCCTAAGGGAAGATTATGGCTCAGCTATGGAAAGAAAACCTGCTAAATAATCTAGTTTTCCAGTTTGGCTATGAGCACAGCTCCAGTATCTGTTTACAAGGGTAATGAAATGCCATGGATCATGAAAATCACCCTCCCCCGGGCCCACTCTTCTGACCTTATTTTTCAGAGGGGATGTCAGCAAAGTCCCCTCCATCCAGCCAGCTCTTCTGCTTCCAGATCTATAGATCTCTTTACTGCTGATGATTCCACATGGAAAGAATATTAAAAAGGAGGCCCCTTCTCATCAAAACAGTGTTTATTTCAATTTGGGACTTTCAAGTGAGCTTCTCACACGTAGTGCTCTTTTGTTCTTATTCTTCAATCCTACTGTTTCATGCAAATGTTTATTTCACATTACTAGTCTTTTTGAAGATAGGTTTGTCTCTTATTATTTATATCTCCCCCCCATCAGCATTTAATGCAATTTTACTTATGCTGGATGTTTAATAAATGCCTGTTCAAACCCCACTTAAAAGTAGGCAAAGACACTTCTCAAAACAAGACATACCTGTGGCCAACAATCATGTGAAAAAAAGGTCAGCTTCACTGATTAGAGAAATGCAAATCAAAACCATAATGAGATACCATCTCATATCAGTCAGAATGGCTATTATTCAAAAGTCAAAAAATAACAGATACTGGCAAGGTTGTGGAGGCAAAGGAAAGCTTTTAAACTCTTGGTTGGAGTATAAATCAGTTCACCATTGAGGAAGGCAGTGTGACAATTCCTCAAAGACCTAAAGACAGAATTACCATTTGACCCAGCAATCCCATTACTGGGTATATACCCAAAGGAATATAAATTGTTCTATTATAAAGACACATCCACACTTATGTTCATTGCAGTGCTATTCACAATAGCAAAGACATGGAATCAACCTAAATGCCCATCAATGGTAGACTGGATAAAGAAAATGTATTTTCCAGTATACACCATGAAATACTATACAGCCATAAAAAAGGAGATCATGTCCTTTGCAGGGACATGGATGGAGCTGGAGACCATTATCTTTAGCAAACTAATGTAGGAACAGAAAACCAAATACTGCATGTTCTCACTAATAAGTGGGAACTAAATGATGACAGCACACGGACACATAGAGGGGAACACACACTGGGGTATATGGAAGGGTGAAGGGTATATGGAAGGATGAAGGGTGGCAGGAGGGAAAGGATCAGGAAAAATAACTAAGGGACACTAGGCTTAATACCTGGGTGATGAAATAATCTATACAACAAACCCCTATGACACACATTTACTTATGTAACAAAACCTGCACATCCTGCACATGTACCCCTGAACTTAAAAAACTGGCTGTTTAATAATAAAAATCAAATCCAAACTTCACCCCCTCTGACTTAATGTAGAATCTTAAGTATACTACAAAACTCATTAATGAGATTTAACTTGTCCCTAAAGAGGAATTCAAATTTAAACTCATACAGGAATATGGGAATAGGTGGGATGAAGGTAGTCTATCTTTGACAATCTTTTCAATTTCTTTTTAGTTACTGATTTATACAAGTTTTCTAACTGTGCTTCAAGTTTGGTGGTTTGTATTTTCCTTTAAAAAATCACCTATTTTTCTCAGATTTTCACATTTATTTGGCCTAAACTTGAACATTAAATGTCTTTATAACTTTAAAGATCTCCATATTAGTGCCTATAGCCTTTCATATTTTGTAATGTTATACATTTACATTTTAAATAATGTTTTAATTTTATCATTTATGTTTTTTAATGTGCTAATTCATTAGTGTCTACTTCTATCCTTATTAACTCCTTGTTCCTACATTCTTCTGATTTATTTTGTTCTTTATCTTTTTTTTCTCCCCCAGACTCGCTCTGTTGCCCAGGCTGGATCATAGCTCACTGAAGCCTCAAGTGATCCTCTTGTGTCAGCCTGCCAGGTAGCTAGATCTGCAGGCGTGACCCACTCCACTAGGCCCTTTTTCTGGTTTCTTGAGTTAGGTGCTTATTTGCAATATCTTCTGGCTGTTAATAAAAATATGTAAGGCTATATATTTTTCTTTAAATAAAGCTTTGGCCAAATCCCATATACTTTGATAAAGTGTTCTATTAATTTCTTTAGTCTAAAGGCTATTTAAAAAATAGTTTAAAATTTCCAGGGGGTTAGTTCTTTTTTGGTGGGGGAGAAGCTTTTTGTAGTTAATTTCAAGTTTAATGCATTACATTAACAAGATGTGGCCTGTTATGATTTCTACTTTTAAGAGTTCATATTTTTCTTTGTGGTCTGGTACATGATCGATTTTTAAAAGTGTTTCAGAAACAACATAATTTTATCCTCTGTTCGGTGCAAATTTAGATATGTAGTGAGCCCTCTGTGTACTAAGCTAATTATTCAAATCCTTGCTGTCCTTGACACCTGTTTTAAAGTTTCCTTCTTGGCCAGGCATGGTGGCTGCCACCTGTAATCTTAGCACTTTGGGAAGCTGAGGCAGGAGGATTGCTTGAGCCCAACGAGTTGGAGACCAGACTGGGCAACATAATAAGACCTTGTCTCTACCAAAACAATATTTAAAAAACCTTTAGCTGGCCGGGTGCGGTGGCTCATGCCTATAATCCCAGCACTTTGGGAGGCCGAGGCGGATGGATCATGAGGTCAGGAGTTCAAGACCAGGCTGGGCAACTTGTGAAACTTGTGAAACCTCAGCTCTACTAAAAATACAAAAATTAGCTGGGCGCGGTGGCACGTGTCTGTAATCCCAGCTACTGGGGAGGCTGAGGCAGGAGAATCGCTTGAGCCTGAGAGGCGGAGGTTGCAGTGAGCCGAGATTGCGCCATTGCACTCCAGCCTGGGCGGCAGAGCGAGACTCTGTCTCAAAAACGAAACAAAACAAAACAAAAACTTTAGATGAGCGTGGTGCAGCATGCCTGCAGTCCCAGTTACTGGGGAGGCTGGGATAAGAGGATTGCTTGAGCCCAGGAGGCAGAGACTGTGCCACTGCACTCCAGGCTGGGTGACAGAGTGAGACCTTGTCTCAACAAACAAAAACTGCCTTAAAGGAGCTTGCAGTGAGCCAAGATCACGCCACTGCACACTCCAGCCTGGGCAACAGAGCGAGACTCGGTCTCAAAACAAAAAACAAAAAACAAAAAACAAACAAAAAACCTGCCTTAAAATACTTTTGTCAAATGTTCTCTTTTCCTTTTTCTTTCTTTTCTTTTCTTTTTTTTTTTCCGAGACGGAGTCTCTGGTACCCAAGCTGGAGTGCAGTGGTGCGATCTCGGCTCACTGCAATCTCCGCCTCCCAGGTTCAAGCGATTCTTGTGCCTCAGCCTCCTAAGTAGCCGGGATTACAGGCGCCCGCCACCATGCCCAGCTAATTTTTGTATTTTTAGTAGAGACGGGGTTTCGCCATGTTGGCCAGGCTGGTCTCAAACTCCTGACATCAGGCGATCCACCCACCTCGGCCTCCCAAAGTGCTGGGATTACAGGCGTGAGCCACTACGCCCAGACAAATTTTCTCTTTTTCTAAAAGTTTGTACTTTATACATTTTGATGCAACTTTATGCTCTGAAAGGCTATTTCCATCTAATCTACTGTTCACCCACGATCTCTTAAATCCCTTCTAGCTGTAAGACCCCAAGATTCTACTTCTAGAAATGTAATCCTGAGAACGATGAGTTTCTGGTCCTGACCGATACTCAGCTAGGCAACACTGCTGAACTCTCTGTAGCATAAAAACACCAGACCCAATTGATGGGTCCCTGATCACCGGGTGCGGTGGCTCACGCCTGTAATCCTAGCACTTTGGGAGGCCGAGGCGGGCGGATCACGAGGTCAGGAGTTCCAGACCAGCCTGGCCAACATGGTAAAACCCCGTCTCTACTAAAAATACAAAAATTAGCTGGGCATGGTGGTGTGCGCCTGTAATCCTAGCTACTCGGGAGGCTGAAGCAGGAGAATCGCGTGAACCCAGGAGGCGCAGGTTGCAGTGGGCCAGAGATCGCGCCATTGTTCTCCAGCCCGGGCGACTCTCAGGTTAAATCGTGTTCGATATAAAAGTCTATATCGATATAGACTTTTCGATATAAAAGTCTATCTCCCTTTGACAGGTCTGATCGACCCTCCTTCCTATAAAGACAAAAGTTGTCTTAACATCTAAGAGGAACCATATTGCGGTGAAAGGGGTGCTACGAATCCTGGGTTTTAGCTCTTGCACTACGTCTCAGTGTGACATTGGATCCCAATTTCCTCACCACCAAAGCCAACGGGCTATTATAACTCCCTTAGAAGTAGCTTTAATCCCTAAAGACAAGACTAAAAATATTAACAGTGCTTGAGCCTCTGGAACCGAACCAGCACTGGAGTTTTGTTTGGTCGTCCCCTCTCTTCCCCCTCAAGATTAACGATCTGGAGGGAATTCTGGTGAGTTCGAGTTCTCGTAACTTGTTAGGGACTAACCAGAAGCCCGGCGAGCAGCCAGTAACACAATCTCTGGGTATTCCTTCAGCCTCATCAGTACATCTCTTCCTACCTCGCCTTCCTCCGCTGCAGCTTCTTTCAAGTCCACATCTGCGTCTCCGTCAGTTTCCTCTGGGATTCCATCGGTGTCGGTAGCCCCCGGGTCCCCGGGCACAGCGGCCGTCTCATCCGACTCCCCTGTCTCTCCACCTTTGTCGGAGGGCGACTCGTGGGCATCGTCCATCACGGATAGGATTGGAGGGGAGAGGAGATCGCGGAGATGCCTGAGGCAGAAGCTCGGAAACCCGAGCTGCACAGGCCAGGATCTTACTTCCTGTCGTCGCGCAGCGATGACATCACCCCTACCGCTCTCCTGAGGGGTCATTTTGAGGCGCGCGTAGAGGACTAGAGGACTCATTTTAACTTTGGTTTGGCGACAGTGGGAAGCGGGAAAATTGGACGTAAAGAGCTCAGACTATGGATCCTCCTCGCTAGGAAACCAGCACTTGTGAAGGAGCGCAGTTTTGTTTACTAAATAACTTTTTCCTTTTCGCCTGTCTAAAAATGCAATGTCAGTTAATCCCTTCGTTAACCCCTCAGAGTAAAGTTGGGGGACTGGGAGAAAACTCAGTTCCGTTGTATGGCGGTGTCGTGGAATGAGGCTCCCCGGGACTGGTAAACTTTCAGGCAAGGACTCAACCTTGTATATTTCAACTGGCCCGAAACCGCGGGCCTGTGTGTACATAGAATTGCTAGCATTTCCCCTCCATTCCGCAAGCACCTTAACAACAAAAAGTCATATAGCTCGAGCAGAATTTATCCAATTCATTTATTCATCCACAACTATTGACTGCCTACTTCGATTTAGAAACAGTGCTAGTACCAGGGAACAAAACACACATAGTTTCTACCCAATTAAATGATTTTTTTCAGTTCGCCAGTACTGAAGATTGAGGTTTGTTTTTACAAGTCTGACACTTTTCTATCAGTTTGGTTAATCTCATTAAAACTAAGAGGAAAGCCTAAAGAGAGGAAGGTGTCTCCTTTGAACGTTTCACTTTAATGAACTAGTTCACGTACTGGGAGGATGAAGTGGTGAGGATATTTCTGTTTTAAAATTTTCTTCTCTTCCCTCATTGAGATACGAGGGGGAGGGCGTTTTATTCACCTGGGTATGACTAGGTCCCCGCACCTATTACATATTTAATTTATGCGTGCTGAAAGAATGGACTTGGAAATGTAGGTGCGCGTTACATTTATCTCTTTGTTTCTACGCTGCCTGGACGAATTACCGTATTTCCTGTCCCAGGAGCTCCCAAAACCTTTGGGGAAGGAGCGCACTTCGGGAGGCGCGTACAGGTGGGCCTGTTTGTCCCTTTCCACCTGCATAATGGGGGCCCACAAGGCGCTGTCCCCATGCCCCGAGAGGCGTGTCTCGGCACAGCAAAGTCCACCTGCGCTGGTCCGCGGAGCCCCGCCCAGCTAGGTGAGCTAGGGGGCGGGGCGCGGGGGCGCGGTGACGCGTGACGCCGGATCCCGGAAGTGACGCGCTCGTGGGGAAAAGGCAGGGAGGGGGTGGTGTCCCCAGCCGGTTTGGGGGGTGCGTTGCCCGGAGACGGAAAGTTTGGGAGCCCGAGCAGGCTCGGCTGCAGCCTCGGGGAGGGGGTCCAGCGGGTGGCGGCCCTGGGGATGGGGAAGGAGCAGGAGCTGCTGGAGGCGGCCCGCACCGGGCACCTCCCGGCGGTGGAGAAGCTGCTGTCCGGGAAGCGGCTCTCCTCAGGCTTTGGGGGCGGCGGCGGCGGTGGCTCTGGGGGCGGCGGCGGCGGCAGCGGCGGCGGCGGCGGCGGCCTCGGCTCTTCCAGCCACCCCCTCTCCAGTCTGCTCAGGTGGGTACGCGCCAGGGCCGGGCCGCTGCCTGCAGACCCTTTCTCCCCCACCCGTCTCTTGGGTCCCCAGAGAGATCGGGGGTCCTGAGACTCGGGCGGGGTGGGCTTGTGGCGTGCCCGGGGCGAGGCAGGCGGCCCGCGGGCCAGGGTACCGGAGGGCGCGCAGGTCCGAGTCCACGCTGCTCCGGGCTCGCCTGGTCTCCCGTTCTGACCCGGCTGCGAAGAATGGTGGGAGTGCCCAGGTGGCAGCCTCCGCCGCATGGCACAGCCAGGGTTCACTCTCGCTCGCTACAGGGTGCCAGCTATCGTAGCTCACAAAAGCCAATTAAGAGCAAATATGTATATCTTATATATATATATATGAGATCTCCCTCACCTCCTGCAGAAACTCCTACGCCTTGTAGAATCTCGAGGCTCCTCTGGAGGAAATTCTATTGATTTTCTTCTCTGAGGAACTTGGAACCTTCCACCAGGCTACACAGGACCTCGCTTTATTTTTTTTTTTCCCTCGAGACGGAGACTTGTTCTGTCAGCCAGGCTGGAGTGCAGTGGCGCGATCTCGGCTCACTGCAACCTCCGCCTCCCGGGTTCAAGCGATTCTCCTGCCTCTGCCTCCCAAGTAGCTGGGATTACAGGCGCCCGCCACGACACCAGGCTAATTTTTGTATTTTTAGTAGAGACGGGGTTTCACCATATTGGCCAGGCTGGTCTCGAACTCTTGACCTCAGGAACCGCCCGCCTCGGCTTCCCAAAGTGCTGGGATTACAGGCGTGAGCCACCGCGCCTGGCCCCTCGCTTTTGTTTTATTAAAATTGCCTCTGGATGTATCATTTTCAAGATGTTCGTCTTTGAGCCTCTCTTGTGCTTGAAGTTCAAATTGTAGTTCCTTGTAGTGAACCTCATTGGATTAGTCTAAGTGGCATATGCAGGATTCATCCAGGGGCTTATTCATCTAGAAATAAAGGCAGAGAGACTTGTTTAGGAAACCGAAGGATGCTGTAAACTTTTCCAAGGTCTGTTGTTAAACGCTTCAATCTGGAGCTGTAAGGACCGAGGGAAAAACATCAGTTTTGTGTGGCTTCGAAGGGGGATTGGGGGTGCTTTGTTAGTGTGAGTTAAATGTGTTAGTTCAGCAGCGCTTTCATAGCCTGATTTCTTTTTCCTTCCTTGTTCTTTTGAGGTTTTTAAGAAGTGGAAGTTCATTTAGAAATGCCTTCGTTAGCTTTTGTTCCCCATTACTTTATGTAACTTCAGTTTGAGTGAGCTTGGACCATATAAGCCTAAGGCGCTAATAAATTGTTATTAATAGATATTAAGCACTGAGTACCAACCCAGGTCTTTACAGGAAGATTTTAAAAAGCAATATAAGTAGGTACTTAAGATTTGTTGAAGAAATAAAAGTATCAGTTGCAGGACAATAAATTTCTAAATAAATGGATGGTGGATGGTATTACTCGCTGTAATTGCTAGCAGCTCAGAGAACAGAGACATCATTTAGGGATGGAGTGGAAGTCAGGGCTTCCAAAAGGAGGGAGACTTAAGCTGGCCTTGAAGGATGTGAGGATTTGGGTAGGTGAGTTATGATGGGCATGTTTCAGGTGGGTACCCCATGATCAGAGGCACAGAAATGAGAATGGAGACTTATTTGGTGCTCCTTAGGCAACAGGAGAAGAACTTCCTGCCTGCACCCTTGAGAGGTTGGGCATAATAAAGGTAAATAATAATGGATGGGTATACTTCCATATATCATGTTTATATTCTCAGTCCCTAGATCAGTGCCTGACAACTTACAGGTGTTTAATAAATGTACAGTGAATGCATGAATTGGGTTTTGAATCTTACCTGGATTTGCCACTCTGCAGTTCTGATGTCTGAGAGGTGACAAGACTGTACAGGTTTGGAGATGCCTCTGTCTTTAATGAGTTGATGACATAGCATTTGGAGATTTTCCAGAGATATCTTAACCCTCAGCATATCCTGCTAAAGTGAGAAGTTTCTCATATCTCCCACCCTCAAACACAGGTCAAATTATTCTTTTTTTTTTTTGGAGACGGAGTCTCGCTCTGTCCACAGTCTGGAGTGCAGTGGCAGTATCTCAGCTCACTGCAACCTTCGCCTTCCTGGGTTCAAGCGATTCTCCTGCCTCAGCCTCCCAAGTAGCTGGGACTACAGGCAAGCGCCACCACACCCAGCTAATTTTTGTATTTTTTGTAGAGATGGAGTTTCACCATGTTAGCCAGGCTGTTCTCAATTTCTTGACCTCATGATCCGCCGGCCTCGGCCTCCCAAAGTGCTGGGATTACAGGCGTGAGCCACCTTGCCCGGCCTCAGGTCAAGTTATTCTTAGTGCGCTCACTCGGAGACTATTGAAATTCTGCTGAGGATTTAACTGCCATATAGTTAATATAGTTAAGCAAGACTAGGAAACCTGTTGAGCACAATGCTTCTACTTTGGGCCTCTTGCTGATGTGTCCTGTCTCTGCCATAAAGTGTGTTAACTCTCTATTCCCTAGAGTTAGAGAGCTGGCTCACCTTGACTTGCTTCTGTGTCTTTTGTAGAGAGGGTAAATGCCTAATAGCTTCCCAACCTCTCATTCCTGTGACTCCTAGGGGCAGGGAGGATCTGGAGGCACTAGTTACACTAATTAGAGGTGACTCTGGTTAAAGCTAGTAAAAGATTTCTGAGCAAATGAGACCATGCCTAGGTCAGTATGTCCTCCCTTTTTAGATGTGGACATAGTGAAGGGTAGGTTACCTCTGCTCCCAACCCTCTCTCCCCTAAAGACCCTGGATTATTTAATGAGAGCTGTGGAATCATAGCTTCAGATTTGGCCTTTGTATTAGCGGCCATATTCTACCCCTATTTGTACTGCCAACTGTAACTTGCCTGAAGTAAAGCTGGCAGAAATAGGAGCTTACAGTTGCAGTGGAATAATTGTTCCAGACCACACATGTGTTTGTGTATTCACCTGTTTGTGTTCCCCCATCCCGTATTCCACAAAGGCTTTGTGTTTATTCTTAAGCTAAAAAATGCCCTCTTCTCTTACCCATCCCTTTTCCTCTACACAGCTTGGGCTTAGGTTTTAACTTCTTAAAGCCCTTCCTGATGACCCTAATACACACAGATCTCTCAAGCTTCCATGTCTTTGGAGCACGTCATCTGTAGTGTACTTTGCTTGCCTAGCTTTCACAGTTGATCGCTTTGGCCTGTCAGTATAATGTTTACATATAGCAACCCTCACCGATTGATGCTATACCTGAGAATCAGAAAGTCAGCAAAGAAGACTTCTACTAGAAAAACATGTTGTTACAAACTTTGTGTTCTTCTAGCCTTCCTTATTTACTGGATATTTATTCAGGAACAGTATAGCATTATACTGTCCACTTTTTCTTAGCATTAAGCATGTTATAGCATTAAGACCACTTGTTTTTGTGTCAGACTTCCTGGATTCACATTCCACTGCCACCACTGACTAGCTGCTTGACATTATTCAAGTTAACCACTTTGATACTCAATTTCTGCATCTGTAAAATGGGGATAATACTATCTGCCTTATAGGTATCATCTTAGATAATGTGTGTACGGGACTTACCATAATTCCTGGCATATTCTAAGTCCTCAGTCTTAGTCATCCTCAGTTCAGCACATACGGTTTTGCTGTGTTGCACCTGTTCTGTGCAAAGTACCATGCCAGACACATTATTTATTTTTATTTTTGTAGAGATCGTGTCCCACTATGTTGCCCAGGCTAGTCTCAAACTCCTGGGCTCAAACGATCTTCCTGCCTCAGCCTCCCAAAGTGCTGGGATTATAGGTGTGAGCCACAGTGCCCTGCCTGACACATTTTAAATGGTGTTTTTTCATGCTTGGGGATCTGTTTTCCAAGCATGGCAGACTAGAAAGAGTAAATAAGGGAGAGGAATCATTCATATACCCAATGTTTACCCATGATATACTTTGTGCCAGGCCAAGTGATTGCTAGATGCACTGCAAAATATGTCTGAGACCTGGGACATTGTACGTGGTCTGTCAGAATTAGCCCCTCTCTTCATACATGTTCTGTTCCCTTACAGAGTTTATAGTAGTATGATACGTCTGTGTAACAGGCCAACAAAAAGGAGACAGAGAAAGCACACAAATTTAGCATAATTTATCCTACCTCCCGGCTGTTTGAAGCTATTAACATAGGTGTATATAGCCCTATATACCTATGTAAGCCCCAAGCATCAGTTTACTGTATCTTTGTGCTATGATTTATGTTTATTATGACTGTTAGCCATCAAATAAAGATTAAATTATGTTCAATATAGCTTGTTAGTGAAAGAAGAAAAAAAATATAGTTTTCTATCCAAAATGGTTTAAATATAATTTTTTTACTTAAAAGGATAAGCAATAGATTATCTAGAAAGCACAGTTATCCAGAATGTCTAGGCTTACAGAGGCTCTGGATTGCATGGATTATACTTTATATAATACTAACTCATTTTCTGATTGTTTAATGGATGCATGCCTTCGGTCTATACCTTGGGAGCTTGGGATAGGCATTCTATCAAACTTCTTAACTTACAGTATTTTTTAGTTCTGGGCACGTAGCGGGCACTCAGATTCTCATGTAACAAGACAGTTTGCTATGTTTAGAGTTATAGTGAAATACTGATTTCCAAGAAAGAAACTCCTGTATAAGAATATTGTAAGATTTGGTTAAAAGTAAATTCTATCAACTAAAAGGCCAAAAAGATCTGAGAAAAGGAAATGTTAAAACCAATCATGGCCAGGCACAGTGGCTCACCTCTGTAATACCAACACTTTGGGAGGCTGAGGCAGCTGGATCACTTGAGCCCAGGAGTTTGAAACCAGCCTGGGCAACATGCTGAAATCCCATCTCTACGAAAAATACAAACATTAGCCAGGCGTGATGGTGTGCACCTGTAGTCCCAGCTACTCGGGAGGCTGATGTGGGAGGATTGCTTGAGTCTGGGAGGTTGAGGCTGCAGTGAGCCAAGATTGTTCCACTGCATTTCAGCCTGGGTGACAGAGCTAGACCACGTCCTCACACCACCACCCCCCAAAAAAAGAAGAAAAAAGAAAACCAGCCACAATAGCTTCAAACTGTAAATTGAGTTATGAACTAAATACTGATGTATATGAATGGAAAAGTAAAGTGAAATGTACTTCTTAGGGTTCAGAAGCACAGAGAAACTAAACCGAAGATCACAGTTGAGGAGATTATGTTATGGTTTAGGAATATTTTATGCTTAATTTCTCAAGCATGAGAAGGGTGAATAAGAAAAGAGGAAGCCAAGGAGACTTGCTGGAGAATCTGAAAATTTATAGATAGTAGCAATGAATGTGGCTTTAAACTAATTTTTATGCTGCCATTTCATTGGGGGAATAAAAGAAAAAGAAAACTATTCCAAAACAGATATGAATTTCCCAAGATGTGAAAATGTTCTGAAATAAGGAATGAAGCATGAAAAATTTTGAAAAATGGACCTCATTTGGAGGATAATAACAGATTCTCCCAAATGTCAGAAAATATGGCAAGTAATTCATTGTTGTAAAGAAAGCTTCCTAATATTTATTTAAGGACTTTGGTTTTTTTTTTTTTTTAATTAAAAAAAAAAATTTAAGAGACAGGAGTCTTGCTAATGTTGTCCAGGCTGACCTTAAACTCCTGGGCTCAATTGATCCTCCTGCCTCATCCTCCTGAGCTATTGGGACTGCAGGCACATGCCACCATGCCAGGCTAGACTTCTTCCTCTTGTTAGTGTTATTATTTTTTAAACAGTGATTAGCATAACCATTCTATTGAAATGGTCCTTTATTCATTCCCAGAATGGATCTGAACCTTGGAGATTATAATGGCGTGACAGCCTTTTCTCATGCTGACCTTTTTACTTTTGCCCACTACTGTGCCAGATTTCTTTTGAAAGTGCCTATTTTGAGCAAAATGATTTTAACATCTTAAGGAAGAGGGCAACACTGACCATGTAAGGATTGTAGAATGGAAGGGCCTGGAAACAGATCTTGTGGATTTGAATTTGTCTGATCTAAGTTCCTGCTCTTCTAAGAGAATGCAAAAACAAGATAAAATGCAACTATCCACTAGCATAGCAGTTTTCTGGGTCTTCCACTAAACTATCTTAATTAATTAAAAATAGTTTTTCAAGAATGTCTTTCTTTTTTTTTTTTTTTTTTTTTTTTTCTGAGACAGTGTCTCTCTCTCTCGCCCAGGCTGGAGTGCGATGGCACGATCTCGACTCATTGCAGCCTCCACCTCCCGGGTTCAAGCGATTCTCCTGTCTCAGCCTCCCGAGTAGCTGGGATTACAGGCGCACGTATTTTAGTAGGGACGGGATTTCACTGTGTTGCCCAGGCTGGTCTCGAACTCCTGAGCTCAGGCAGTCTACCCTCAGCCTCCGGAAGTGCTAGGATTACAGGCGTTAGCCACCGTGCCTGGCCTTTTTTTTTTTTCTTTTTTTTTTCAGAGACAGTGTCTCACTCCTTCATCCAGACTGGAGTACAGTGGTGCAATCTCAGCTCACTGCAACCTCTGCCTCTCAGGTTCAAGTAATTCTTGTGCCTCAGCCTCCTGAGTAGCTGTGATTACAGGCATGCACCACTGCACCTGGCGAATATTTGTATTTTAGTAGAGACAGGGGTTTCACTATGTTGGCCAGGCTAGTCTCGAACTCCTGACTTCAAGTGATCTGCCTGCCTCGGCCTCCCAAAGTGCTGGAATTACTACAGGTGTGAGCCCCCACGCCCAGCCAAGAATGTCTTAAAATACTCCCTTTAAGTGTGATTTTGTTGGGAGGGCAGCCCTGTTCCTGCATTTTGGAATTGCTGTACTTACATTTTTGCTTTCTCTAAAGCAGAGTGTGGTTCCCATGTTAAAAAACAAAAGGAAACAAAAAAAGGTAACATGCTTGGAAATGACTTTTGTGGTAGTTACTTTATATGTAAAAATCTAGAAGGTGCCTAATCTTAAACTGAGTAAGGCATTTACTTAGAATTAAAGATAATTTACCCAGCCTGGGCAACATGGCAAGACCTCGTTTCTACAAAAAATAAAAAAACTAGGCCAGGCGCAGTGGCTCACGCCTGTAATCCCGGCACTTTGGGAGGCTGAGGCGGGTGGATCACCTGAGGTCAGGAGTTAGAGACCAGCCTGGCCAATATGGTAAAACCCCATCTCTATTAAAAATACAAAATCAGCTGGGTGTGGTGGCCTGCATCTGTAATCCCAGCTACTTGGGAGGCTGAGGTAGGAGAATTGCTTGAACCTGGGAGGCAGAGGTTGTAGTGAGCCAAGATCGTGCCATTGCACTCCAGCCTGGGCAAAAAAGAGCGAAACTCCATCTCAAAAAAAATAAAAATAAAAAATTAGCTGAGTGTGATGGCATGCACCTGTGGCCCCAGCTACTCAGGAGGCAGAGACGCAAAGGTGGGAGAATTGCTAGAGCCCAGAAGGTGGAAGGTTGAGGCTGCAGTGAAAAGAAAATTTACTACAAAGTTTAAGATTTAAAGTCAGTGGTCTCCCTTTTTCCTGCATCCTCCAATTGAAGTTCAGTTTTTACTTTCTTAGTTGCAAAAATTAGAGACAGGAAACAATGAAACAAGCTTGTGATCTGAAGAATTTGACTTGTATCTAGTAGCTTCAGCATGTTCACGGGTCATAGGAGGTTATGGTCCCAGTGAAAGTTACATTCTTGGCCAGAAAAATCCCTTCAGGAGGTTCTTTTTCCCACATTGGATTGTTCACCCCAAACAGCTGTGAATTCTGGTTTGCAAAAGGAAGTCCAGGCTATTTCTGCCCTAGTCTTTCATAGGGAAAGTAAATTACTGGGTTTTTAGCCCAGAAACACTAAGGAAACCCCAGAAGTAGACAGTGGAGAGTTTGTTCTTAGAAAAATCAGGCTCTCCTGTGGGTAGGAACTTGGTCTCTTTTTTGGAGAGCTCTCAGAAAATATTTCCCACACTGATTTCCAAAGGATTATTGGGAGATTTTCTGTGGTAGAGAAAATTATATCGTATAATATGTTACATTCATAGAACATCTTCACATAACTTTGGTGTGGTTAGAGTTAATGGTAGTAATACTGGAAATTATATGGTATGTCTTCATATTTATCCTTTCTCAGTAATTTGTAGATCAAGTTTGTTTAGTTTACAAATCAAAAAAGAGTTTTTAAAACAAGTCAGTTGTCTCTGCTTTGAAACAAGATAGTTGTATCTGTTTGTGATATTATTACCACTGATCCAGGAAGCAGAACTGCCTCCTGGCCTACTTAAGTGGTGAGGACATACTATGGTGGCTAAGGATCAGGTTCTGACCCAACTCTGCCTTGTGACTTAGGCAAATTAAGTCACTTTTCTGCGCCTCTGTGTCTTCATATATATAATGGGCCTGGGATGGTGCCTATCTTCTAAAGCAGCATTAAATGAGCTAAAGGATGTAAGGCATATAATGCCTGGCACATGGCAAGGGTTTGGTAACCCTCAGCTGCTAGAATCATCTAATGGGAGCCAGGTGCTTGCCACCCTTGATGAATCAGAGTGAGGACCCTGTTAAGGACATATCTTTTATTGATGTTGCCATTTTAACATTTATAATAATTCACAGCAGAAGCTCCCAACCTTTTAAACTATGAAGAGTCCCATAGTTTTAAAAAGCCTGAAAATTGGCAATGGTGGCAAAGTTACAAAGCAATCCAGGTCCACAATCCTTTGTTTGAAACCTTGGGGCCAGATATGTTTTCAGGGTGCTGACTCAATATTGTATATTGAGTCCCTAGTGGGACTGTGGCAGCACCCTGGAAACATTGTATTTCTACAGCAAAACCTGTAAATATTGACTAAATGGGATAAATATGAAGCCGCTTCATATCAGCGTAGGTCAGGTTTTGCAGCTAAATGACTGCTGCTAACTTATGAAAATATATTTTCAGAGCTTTTTGGATTTCTGAATTGTTGATAAGGGACTGTAAACCTCTGCCTTTATGGTAGAAAAATTGCAAGACAAAGAAATGCACTAAGAAGAAAATAAAATCAGTTATAATTTTACCACCTACAGAAATTAACTTGAAATTTTGGTGTACAATCTTGTTTTTTTCTGTGCAAACTTTTTTTTTTAACAGAAATGACATTATTTTGTATATACTTTGTCTCATGTTTTCACGAACTATATTGTGAAAACACTTTCCTATATTTTCTGTCCTCCTCAACCTCATTTTAAATGGATGTGATATCCGTGGTATATATGAATTGTAATTAATTTAACCCCTTTCCTGACATGGAACATGAGTTTGTTTTTCGTTTTTTGCTATTAGAACAGCTCTGTGATGAACATGCATGTGGATAAGTTTGTGTGTACATTCTGCTTATAACATTTGATATATTCAATAGAATGGTAGGTGTAGTTTCAACATTCAGCCATTGCAGAAATCAACAGCTGAATATTCAAATTGCACCTCAAAATCAACAAGAAACATACATGTTGTTGAATTTGAGGACTCATAGTAATTCTGAGGCCCCTTACATCTCCTGGGTCCTTCTGACTGGGAAGTAATATACTGATTTATGGTTGCTAAATACTACTTATATTCAGAAAGTAACCTTTGTGCAAGCCCAGGACTTTTTAATGGTTAACTTAAGGCTTTACTGGTTCTTTTTCATAGACCAAATGTTTAGAAGAGGGCCATTAATAATACAAATGCATGGAGCAATATGCTCCAAGCAGAATAAAATAAAAACAGCTTTATGGCCCAGCATGGTGGCTAATACCTATAATCCCAGCACTTTGGGAGGCTGAGGCCAGAGGATCACTTGAGCCTAGGAGTTTGAGAGCAGCCTGGGCAACATAGTGAGACCCAGTTTCTATTAAAAAAAAAAGTAATTAAAAAACAAAAAAAATAGCTGTTATTTTGTAAAGTAGAGATGAGGTCTTGCTATGTTGCCCAGTCTGGACGCAAATTTATTTTTTCTTTTAAATTATAGTTGAGACCTATTTACAAAAAGACTGATGGCCAGAAAAGATTACAAAACAAATCAGTTCAGAGCTGTTTACCTGAGTGTCTGAAAGGTTCTTAGACTTTCTGATGTGGTTTTTAGAACTTTAACTCTTTGCTGTACCTGGGGAGGAGCCCCAGTCTTGGCTTTGCTCATAACTATCCACATCATGCTCACCACTCTTCCTCTGATCCAGCCTGGTGGAGTCTGTGCATTGGCTTTTGTCCTCAATGGGGCCAGCCGCCTGATTCTTGCTTTTTCAGGTTGCCCTGCAGCCATGATCAAACTTCAATGCAAAGTCCAGCCCATACTGTAGTATTTGAAGTCAGTAACTCAATAGCTCAGAAATGTTGCTACTGACAGTATTGTGGGTGAGTGTGTATGTGTGTATTTGGGATGGGTGGGATGGTTTCACTTCTTGAGCACTTAATACTTTGCTCTGTCTGTGCCAAGGGCTTTACATACATGTATTTGCTCAGTTTACCTACACAACATGCCTGCAAGGTAATTATTGTTATTTCCATTTTACAGATGAAGAAGCAAAAGTTAAGAGAGAGGTTAAAGTGACTAGCCCAGGGCCACACAGGGGAGTGCAGAGCCTGGCATCTTTGTGATTCCAAAACTTTTGCTTATAAAGCACTGCATTTGGCCACTTGGAGAATCAGTCTCTTTGGATGAGACTTAAGCGACCACTTACTATATGCTTAGGTAAAATTTTGCTGAAAAGATTAATTAGGGATTTATTTAAGTTTAATAGTTGCTTTTATACCACTTCATGCTATACCCTTCTAAGCACTTTACAAGTATTAACTCATTTTGTCCTCATAACAACTCTCTCTGTTTTTTTTTTAATAACAAAAATAGAGATGGGGTCTCACTATGTTGCCCAGGTTGGTCTCAAGTTCTGGAGCTCAAGCGATCCTCCTGCTTCAGCCTCCCAGAGTGTTAGAATTACAAGCATGAGCCACCACACCTGGCCATAACAACTGTTTGAGGAATACACTAGTAGTATTGCCATTTTACTGGTGAGGAAACTGAAACACAGAGAGATGAAGTAACTTGCCAAGGTGCAGTAAGCTAGTAAAAGTTAGAGCTTAGTTTTGAACCCAGGCAGACAGGCCCCAGAGTCTTTGCTCTTGGTTATTATGCAACTGGGACTTCTTCCTTTTACCCAAGAATGTAACACAAAGTCCTTTGGGAAGACTTTGACTACATACAGTGAGGTAGGCTCATTAAAAAAAAAAATTGGCAAATTCCCTGGAACACAGGAAAGTTAGATAAAGAGAATGCCTTTACGTCTATGCCAAATAATATATTAGTTTAGAGAATGTGGGGGACTTCCCTATAGCTCCCACATTGCTTTTTCGGACTTCTAGAAAATTCTCATCTCATGTAGGTGCACGTGTTCATGAATTTTACCTGTGAGAAAATTTAAGTGGTCCCTGTGCCCCCCGCAACCAGTTCAAAATGATAAAAATTAGTTTTGGACCCATAAGCTACATAAACTGCCAGATGCACTACCAGGGCCAAAGTTTGTACAGGGGAAGTGAATCTAAACAATTGGCAAGAACCAAAAGCCTGTGTATTTGAAGTTATTTCCAACTCTGTTTTTTTTTTTTTTAAACAATTCGCTCCCTCATTAGTGATTAACAACCAAAATTTGCATTCTCAAATAATTAGTTGGCCCATAAAATGTTTTTCAGACAGTATTATCTGGCTGGTTCAAATGATGGTTGATGCTGTCTTGAAGCCTAGGATTATGGGATGGGAAATGTTACTTTCCATAATCCTTGGTACTTTAATCTTCACAATCCTTCAATACAGGTATTAGTGCCCATTTTACTGATGATTTTCTAGTGGTTAAATGACTGGCTTAGAACTGGGCTGAGGTGGGGTTTTTTTTGTTGTTTCTTTTCTGAGATGAGGTCTCACCCTGTCACTCAGGCTGGAGCACAGTGATGCAATCACAGCTCATTGTAACTTCAGCCTCCTGGGCTCAAGCAATCTTCCCACCTGAGTCTACTGAGTAGCTGGGACTACAGGCTCATGACACCATGCCCGGTTAATTTTTGTATTTTTTGTAGAGACGGAGTCTTGCCATGTTTCCCAGGCTGGTCTTGAATTCCTGGGCTTAAGAGATCTGCCCACCTTGGCCTCCCAAAGTGTTGGGATTACAGGCGTGAGCCATCACACCCAGACAGGACTGAGGTGTTCTGTTTGTGAGGCCTTTAAGGGTCCTATTTTATGCAGAATCATGGCTACCAAAAAGACGTCTGTGGAAGTATAAGGTGGAAAGTATAAGGAGAAGGTAGTATTCTAGCTAAGTAGCTCTGAAAATACCTATGGGTCCTATATACCTAACAGTAATAGAATAGGCCTATTACTTTTTACCTACAAATGAAAATACTTTAGATATTGAAATTGGCAGAGATTCCACATTTGTTACTTTTTAATCTATTGCTATCTCCATAATTGTGTGTTTAAGACTCAGCTGGAGAATAGTTTTCTTGCTAGTCACTCATCAGCAGTCTCTCTTGCCATCTTTAGCAGACCCAGAGCAGAGTTTCAAAAGACTTTTCAAGTAGATGATCCAGGGCTTAGTGCTTCATTTTAAGGTTTAAGTTTTTCTTTTTTGTTTCTTTTTTTTTTCTTTTTGAGACGGCGTTTCGCTCTTGCTGCCCATGCTGGAGTGCAATGCGTGATCTCGGCTCCCTGCAACCTCCACCTGCCGGGTTCAAACAATTCTCCTGCCTCAGCCTCCCAAGTAGCTGGGATTACAGGCATGCGCCACCATGCCCAGCTAGTTTTGTATTTTTAGTAGAGACGGGATTTCTCCGTGTTGGTCAGGCTGGTCTGGGACTCCTGACCTCAGATGATCCACCCGCCTCGGCCTCCCAAAGTGCTGGGTTTACAGGCGTGAGCTACCGCGCCTGGCCCAAGTTTTTCTTTTTAAAAGAAGGAGTGTATAAAAAATCAGGTCCAGTACTTTTACTAGATATGTTTTGTCGACCAAATTGACAGAGCTGTCTTTTTAAAAGATGTCTTTTTCCAGGCCAGGTGCGGTGGCTGTAGTCCCAGCTACTCGGGAGGCTGAGGCAGGAGAATCGCTTGAACCCGGAAGGCGGAGGTTGCAGTGAGCCAAAATCGCGCCATTGTACTCCACCCCGGGCGACAAAGCAAGACTCCGTCTCAAAAAAAAAAAAAAAAAGATGCCTTTTCCTTATCCATTATGATCTGTTAGACTTGCTATTGTCTTCAGTTACCATCATTTCCGGTTACCTTTCTCTTTAACATATGTTCTTTTGTAAAATTTATAGTTCATTTACAGAGAAAACTGATGAAAATAGCAATCCAGGTACCCTAGCGTCTTCTCATTCAATTGGCAGATATTTATGAAGACCTGATTCTTTTGGGTGAAATTTCACAGTCACTTAAAAATATCTGTGTTTGCTGAGAGGAATGCATTATACCAAATTATAAGTTTGGTATAATGCTGCTAGTACTAGCAGAATGATATAGTAGAAGCTAAAGCCAATATTTTTTTGGATGTATGTGTGGGGCGTTCCCACTGTAATCCATAAAACCCATTTCCAGTAACTTCTGTCTTCTGTGTTTTTTATCCTAATATTGTTACTTTCAAATTGGCTCATTGTGGGGTTTGATTGTCATTCTGCTGCACCAATTTGCCCATAAACCTCTGTATCTCTTTAACAGGCAAATCATCATGTAGAAAAACTTTTTTTTTTTTTTCCAAGAGAGGATCTTGCTCTGTTGCCCAGGCTGGAGTGCAGTGGTGGGATCATAGCTCAAGCTCTCCTCCAACCTCACTCAGTCTTTTGAGTAGCTAGGACTACAGGCATGCACCACCAAGTTTGCCTAATTTTGTTTGTTTGTTTTTTTAAATTGAGACAGAGTCTCGCTCTGTTGCCAGGCTGGAGTGCAGTGGTGTGATCTTGGCTCACAGGGGCCTCCACCTCCCGGGTTCAAGCGATTCCCCTGCCTCAGCCTCCCGAGTAGCTGGGACTACAGGCACGTGCCCTCATGCCCGGCTAATTTTTTGTTCGTTTGTTTTGTTTTTGTATTTCAGTAGAGACGGGGTTTCACCATGTTGGCCAGGATGGTCTCGATCTCCTGACCTTGTGAGCCACCCGCCTCGGCCTTCCAAAGTGTTGGGATTACAGGCATGAGCCACTGTGCCCAGCCCATCTGCCTAATTTTTAATTTTTTTATAGAGGTGGGGTCTTGCTTTGTTGCCCAGGCTGGAATGCAATGGCACGATATTAGCTCATTGTAGCCTTGAACTCTTGGCCTCAAGCAATCTTTCTGCCTTGGCCTCCCAAGGTGCTGGGATTACAGCACTGGCTGAAGAACATTTTCTGATGGATTGAATCAGCTGTGAGTTTGGGCCACAAATCTGGGACTTTTTAAAAAATATGAATACAGTCGTCCCTCAGTCTCCATGGGGGATTGATTCTAGGACCCCTCGAAGATACCAGAATTCCAGCTCAAGTCCTTTATATAAAATGGCGTAGTATTTGTGTAAAACCTGTGCTCATTCTCTCGTATGCTTTAAATCATCTCCAGTCTAATTATAATACCTAAATACAGTATAAATGCTATGTAAATAGTTATTAAAACATATTTTTTAGGGAACAATGAGACAAATAGCCTGTACATGTTTAATATAGATGCAGCCATCCATTTTTTTTCTGAATATTTTTTTTCCATGGTTGGTTGAATTCACAGATCTAGAACCCATCAATATCGAGGGCTAACTGTATTATGTAATAACCTAATAACCACCAGGATTGCCTTTCCTATAATTAAAAAAAAAATTATGGGCTGGGCTCAGTGACACAAGCCCGTAATCCCAGCACTTTGGGAGGCTGAGGTGGGCGGATCACGAGGTCAAGAGATTGAGACCATCCTGGCTAACATGGCGAAATCCCGTCTCTACTAAAAATACAAAAATTAGCTGTGTGTGGTGGCGCACGCCTGCAGTCCCAGCTACTTGGGAGGCTGAGGTAGGAGAATTGCTTGAACCTGGGAGGTGGAGGTTACAGTGAGCTGATATTTCGCCACTGCACTCCACCCTGGTGACAGAGCGAGACTCCATATCAAAAACAAAAAACAAAATGTTTTGCACTTCCTGTTGCTCAAGGTGACATCTGATTCTGATTTTCTTTTCTTTTCTTTTTTTTCTTTTCTTTGTTTTTCTTTTGACAGTCTTGCTCTGTCACCCAAGCTGGATTGGAGTGGCATGAGCTCGGCTCACTGCAACCTTCGCTTCTCAGGTTCAAGTGATTCTTCTGCCTCCGCCTCCTGAGTAGCTGGGATTACAGGTGTGTGCCACCACGCTCAGCTAATTTTTGTATTTTTAATAGACACAGGGTTTCGCCATGTTGGCCAGGCTGGTCTTGAACTACTAGCCTCAAGTGATCTGCCTGCCTTAGCCTCCCAAAGTTCTGGGATTATAGGCGGGAGCCACTGTGCCCGGTCAACGTCTGATTTTCTATTGGTGATGACATAATGAGGTTATTGGAGTCATCACATGATGAATCTGGCTGGCATTAGGTTTCCTCATTACCAGGAACTGGGCCTTGTGAGATTTTGACACTTACCACATCATGCTCACCACTCTTCCTCTGATCCAGCCTGGTGGAGTCTGTGCATTGACTTTTGTCCTCAATGGGGCCAGCCGCCTGATTCTTGCTTTTTCAGGTTGCCCTGCAGCCATGATCAAACTTCAATGCAAAGTCCAGCCCATACTGTAGTATTTGAAGTCAGTAACTGAGTAGCTCAGAGGTATTGCTACTGACAGTATTGTAGGTGAGTGTGTATGTGTGTATTTGGGATGAGTGGGATGGTTTCACTTCTTGAGCACTTAATACTTTGTCTGTGCCAAGGGCTTTACATACATTTATTTGCTCAGTTTACCTTCACAACATGCCTGCAAGATAATTATTGTTATTTCCATTTTACAGATGAAGAAGCAAAAGTTAAGAGAGAGCTTAACTGACTGCTTTTTGTCATTGTTTTGCTTGTGAATAACATTGTTTTCACCTCTTTGATTGGTCTTTGGTTTCATGTGGCCGTCAGAGTTTGAGTAGAGCAAAATCTTCTCTCCCTCTTTCATTGATTTTTATTTTAGCCTTCAGTTTGATGTGTAACTACCTGAACGAAATCCTTAAGTTTGAGTTAAGCCTTAAGTCTGTTCTTGTTGTAGGATTTTGGCTTGGTTAAGGTCTGTCTGGATCACTGGGGTCTGGCAAGTATCCATTTCTCAGTTTTATCCTCTGGTCTCTGTGCTTGAACTCTGAAGGGAAGAGGACATGGCTAGACAGAAAAAACAGTACGCAGGAAACATTGTCTCCAGGAACTTTTCTCTCTTAGAGTGCATACTGGCTCTGGGGAAGGGCCTGAGTGAGCAGTGCCCCTCGGGGATCTTCTGCCTAATCCCACCTCAACCACCATCTAGCCGTATGATCTTGGGAATATTTTTTACTCTTCCTGTAGCTCAGTTTTCTTACCATTAAAAAATGGGTGGCAGGGGGCAGTGTTTTTAGCGTTTCCTGGCAGAGGTCCAAGGAAAGGTGCATCAGTGTGTCTTAAAACATCTGCAGAGTTAGACTGGGGAAAGGAGCGACTGCTTACTGTCCTCTTACTGTGTGCCAGGAACTGTGCAAGGCCTTTTACATGCCTGGTGCGAAAGGTCAAGAAGAGAAAGAGGTCTGTCTTCTCCCTTCATCCATGGGAGTGTGTGAGTGGGAGGTTGCTCTCTCTGCTCGTGAAACTTTCATCAGCAAATACTAATTAGTGCTTAATTACTATATGTTGTGCATACCACTGTAGCAGATAACTTAGGAACACAAAACTTGACAACTCCCTTAAGAAATTGGCTTGGTTATCTGTGAGTTTTCACTATCAATGACTGAATAAATAAGTGGGGCAGAACAGACAGGTCTTTCTTACAGAAGAATTCCAATTATAAATGTAGGAATAATGAGGGGAATAGAAAATCACCATTAGCATACCATAGTAATAATTGCTGCAGGCAAGATCTACCAGTGAAGAATGAAATTGGGTGAAAGCTGAAGGAGAAACAATATTTATATGGCTTCAAAGTATCTTCCCCAGAATATTTATTAATTCCTATGGCAGCTTCAACCGATGTCCACTTGTTCTTTGGTAGTCCTCTCTCTAGGAGATGGAATTTAATTCTCTTCCCTTTTTGAGTGTGGGCTAGACTTAGAAACTGGCGTCCAAATAATAGAATATGGAGAGAGAACAGTGGTAACTTTATAGTGGGAAAATCTGGTAGCCACTGCCTTTACCGAGTAATGAAGGTTAACATCACCAGTGATAAGTCATGCTGATGTCACATATCCCCAGATGTGATGTGATGAAAAGGACACTTTGCCTCTTGTGTTCCTTCCCCAAATCCATAACCTCAGTCTAATCATGAGAAAACAGAAACACAAATTGAAGAACATTCTACAAAATACTGAGTAGTACTCTTTAAAATTGTCAAGGCTGAGAAAGACAAGCAAAGACTGAGGAACTGTCACAGAGACTCAAGAGCCAAGACCATTCAGTGCAGTGTAGGGTCCTGGAACAAGGGACATGAATGTAAAAACTAGGGAAGTATCAACAAAGTCTGTAGTTTAGTTAAGAGTATTGTACCAGTGTTAATTTCTTAAGTTTTGATCAATGATTTCTTAAGTTTTGATCAATGTACAGTCATCCCTGGGTACATGTGGGGTATTGGTTCGAGGACCCCCATCTATAACAAAATCCTTGTATACTCAAGTCCTGAGGTCAGCTGTGAGAAACCCAAGTATGTGAAAAGTCAGACCTCTACACACACAGGTTTTGAATCCCACAAACGCTATATTTTTTATCTGCGTTTGGTTGGAAAAAATCTGCATGTAAGTGGACCCAAGCAGTTCCAACCTGCATTGTTTAAGTATCAGCTTTACTATGATTCTGTAAAACGTTGACATAAGGGGAAGCTGGGTGAAAGGGATACGGGGCTCTGTGCTATCTTTGCAACTTTTCTGTAAGCCTAATATTATTTCAAAATAAAAAGTAAACAAGCAAAGGGCCTATTTGATAGAGGCTCTGAAGTCAAGCTGCCTGGTTTCATATCTTGCCTCTGCCACCTACCAGTTGGGAGGTATAGATAGCTTTCTGAATTGCTTTGCCTTAGTTCCTTCATCTATAATAATAGAACTTCTCATATAAAGTTGTGTAATGATTAAATGAGGTAATGCATGTGAAGTACTTAGAATAGTGGCAAGCCAGGCATGGTGGCTCACACCTGTAATCCCAGCACTTTGGGAGGCTGAGTTGGGAGGATTGCTTGAGTGCAGAAGTACAAGACTCACCTGGGCAACACAGCAAGACCCTATTGTAAAAGGAAAAAAAAGAACAGTGGCTGGAATGTAGTAATGACGGCTGCTAATATTAATATTTATACAGAGGAAGTCCAGCCTCCTTTTAGTTACTCAGCCATTGAGCCAGGGATGTAAATAGTGCTGGAGGAGTTTGGAGGAAGAGGCTATGGTAATGGAGTAGGGTGGTCTGGAGACCCCTCTCCTAGACTACTTGTACCCCTAGGAAGTGGGGCCCTACCTTTCAAGAAAGCCAAAGATTCAGATAGCTGATAGAAGATTGGTGTGGAGGAGGGCAGGGAACAGCTAGAGGCAGAGGTAGAGAAGCTTAAAATAAGAAAGACCTGTTTGCCCAGCAGTGAGTAAGCGGCTATCCAGCAGGAGTCAGCGGAGGTGAGGTTGGTAAGGTTGGCTAGTGCTGGATCGTCATGGGATTGGATGCTGGCTTGATAGAGTCTAAGACCTTGTGTCTAGGCCACT